>NC_000010.11:31531411-31835694 GCF_000001405.40 Homo sapiens | reverse complement strand
CAATTAACTGAAGATAAGGATTTTGATCAGGTGTATTGATTTTGGTATATCACACTTGTTAGCCTAAATTGAGAAGTACCTACTTTACTAAAAGAATGCAACATCAATTAGAAATTGTGGAGCCTGCAAAGTAATTATGAACTTGTGAAATTTTCCCCAGATTACCTAGTAGAATTTGAAGTTTATTGTTTTCTTGCCTATTAGGATAGAATAATATTGTTACTCAATTTAACCATAATTTGCTAGTCCTTATTAAAGCATTCCTGCTTATTTTTAATATAAAGTTTCTTTTAGAGTATCAAATACTTAGACCAACAAATATTCATGTATAAGTTTGTATATATTTTATGGGACTTAAGATATTTTTTATGAAGCTTTCTTAGTAAGCAACACAAAAACATTGGTTGATTTTGACACATATTATGTAGAGAAAGTATACTAAATAGTATGAAATAAAAATCTGTTTAAATTTTTTTCTTTTTTTTTTTTTTTCTTTTGAGACGGAGTCTCGCTCTGTCGCCCAGGCTGGAGTGCAGTGGCGCGATCTCGGCTCACTGCAACCTCCGCCTCCCACATTCAAGCAATTCTGTGTCTCAGCCTCCCAAGTAGTTGGGATTACAGGCATCTGCCACCATGCCCAGCTGATTTTTTTATTTTTAGTAGAGATGGGGTTTTACCATCTTAGCCAGACTAGTCTTGAACTCCTGACCTCGTGATCCACCTGTGTTGGCCTCCCAAAGTGCTGAGATTACAGGCGTGAGCCACCGTGCCCTGCCTTAAATGTTTTTCCTAACTCTTACTTGTGTATCCAAACCTATATTACCCATCTGCCTATTTATTTTTATGTCAAATTCAAAAACTTAGATATTTAATAGTTAAAGCTTTATTTTCTCTGTTATTGACCCTCATATTTCTTTCTTGTTATAGTACTGTTAATTTATTGGTAAATTACTTCATCATATATGTATTGAATGCCAACTACATGCTTGATACAGTACTAGGCACTGGTTATTGATGAACATAACAGATGTGGTTCCAACTTACGGCCTAATGGAGTGGATAATGAAGTAATAAAAGTAATAAAAAATACACAATTGTACTTTGCATTAAGGGTGTCTTAGTCCATTGGGGCTGGTATAGCAAAAATATAAACTGAGTGGCTTATAAACAACAGAAATTTATTTCTCACAGTTCTGGTGGCTGAGGAGTCCAAGATCAAGGCATTGATAAATTCACTGTCTGGTGAGGGCACCTTCCTGGTTCATAGATGGTTCCTTTTTGCTGTGTCCTCACATGGCAGAAATAACAAGGGTTCCCTTTTATAAGGGCACTAATTAGATTCATGTGGGCTTCACCTTCATGACCTGATCATCTCCCAAAGGCCCCACCTCCAGGTATCATTACATTTGAGATTAGATTTCAACGTACAAATTTTGAGGGACACAAACATTTAGTCTGTAGTAAGTACAATAAGGCAAACAAACTGAGGCAGTCATAAATAGTGGGAAGTTTACTTAAAAGTGGTCAGGAAAAGCCCTAAAGTAACATTGAAGTGGAGATATTACCAGCTACCCAGTTGCTCAAGCTTGACAGTTTCCCCAAGATCTTTGCTCTCACCCTAGCAAAAGTCCCTGTCAATTTTGTCTTCTGAATCTGTCAAATTGGGCCCCTTTTCTCTGTCACTGCCACCACATTCAGGTCTTTATCATCTCTTATAGTAATGATTAAAATAGTATTCTAGTTGGTTCCTGGTCATGCTACCCTTTCTTAGTGCATTCTTTCTGCTACCTCATTTCTTGCCACTTCTCCACCTCACCCAATACTTGGGGGAATTTAAAATCCTTCAAATATGAAATGCTGTCTTTAGCCCCTGTGCCTTTCACTGTTGGTTGTTTTTATCTCCTGCTGTTTCAGTCTAGCTGACTCCTGTTCCTTAGTTCAAGTGTCAAGTTCCCCAGGAGGCTGTCTGATGTCTTTCTCTCCCAGGTTGAGTTAGGCATAGCTTTCTCATAGCATGTATCACATTGCATGGGAATTGTTCTTTGTATTTGTACGTTTTGGGTGTAGCAAATTTTGTTCTTTATGTTCAAGTTAGAGTGATTAATAGAGCATTAGTACTTGGGTCTTGATCCCTGTGACCATTTGGTGAAAGTTCTGGACCTTTTCTTTGAGTGATGCATATATACATGCTCAGTTATGTTCCAGTTTCAGTCTATCCGTTGATTTGGGTGAGAATCCCTGATCTAGACTCTCCCTCTCATCCTTAGGCTTAGGCTGTCTATCACTACTGCTATGCCATCCATTTTTCTTCCTGTTTTGATGCCTGTGTTTCCTTCCTGCCTCTGCTTTTTTTTTTTTTTAATACAAATTCAGCTGTGGCATTTTTAAAATGGGCTTAATTCCCACCTCTCTGCCTTTCCAATTGCTGAGTTCCCTAGCTTAAGTAATCAGTGCCCATCCACTCAGATTAATGTTGTTACTTAGTTCCCATATGATGGAAAGATTGTTTTCTCCCTGCTTTTGAGGGGTGCAGGCGGCAAATTAAAAATGTTCTTCTTTAACATCTTATGCAGCTGCCTTGCTGTGATCTGTTGAAAGTCAGCCCTCAACATGAAGGTTTATGAGAAAAAGAAAAAAAAAAAATCTCACACATACTTACAATTGTGTTATTAATGTTTTTGTTGAGGAGCAACATAGTTCTTACGAAAAATATCAAACTTGCGTATCTAAGGAGATTTAAGCTGTGCTTTATGAAAAAATTACAATAAAACTTCATATGGGCTATTTCCCAAGTCCCCAGTATACCAAAAATGTAAATTGACATAGCAGTTTGTCAGCTTTGTCTACAGATGTCAGTTTTTATCAGACCAGACGAAACTTTCAGACATTGGTAAAAAAAATGCTCAATATTATGTTTATCTCTCATGCAGAAAAATGTATATTTTCTGATTAAAGTACATTGAGAAAATATAGCAGAGTAATCAGTTAAATAGAATTGGGGATACTTCTTCCTTGTGAGAGAGAGAGAGAGAGTGCGTGTGTATGAGTGCTTTAGTTGAATTAAAATTGACTATTGTCTCATACAGATAATGCTTAGTAATGTTGAATGATTACTATGGACTCAGCTCATTTTAATTAAATTCATTTGCTTCTAGGAAACTAAAGCAGTGAGAAAGTGCTTCTTGATTTCCATCTGGAAGAATTTTAAGATAACATTAACTTTAGTGCAGTGGCTTCTGCCTTCATAGGGTTTGATGATAAAGCTTGTGTCACTGTTTTTGACATCAGCTGGCTAATAAATCTAGTTTGTCTAGAGAGGAACTCACAATCTGATAATATGCTTAATGAAGCACATGCTGAATTTTTTATGCTACATTAAGGCAAGTTCTGTACATGATACCAGTTAACTTTTTAGTAATTTATTAAATACAGACACAGTATTTGGTCTCCCTATTTTTACATTTTGACAAAGTGAGTTAGTATATTGAATAATTTTCAGATTATATAGTTGTAAAATAACAGCAAAGTAAATCATTCCTTTTTTGTAGAATTTATCCTTATAGCATTGTATTCCTTTCTTTGAATAGAAAGACATAAATTATTTTTCAGTGCTGCTTTGTTCATATGGAAATCTAATTTGATAGCAAAGTATCTAATAGCTGCTGTGACTTAAGGAGAAAAAGAAGTGTTTAATTATAAAATTAAGAAAAAACTACAAAAGTATTAGGAAAGTTATATTCTTAATGTATTCTAGAACTACGCATGTTACACATTGACTAATCTTTTCTTTTAAGCTAATTTTTAGAGAACGAGACCATGTTGGTTCAGTCATGTGTAAGAACTTGGACCTCATTGTCTATGTGATTGTATAAACAGTATTACTCTGTTCCATAGGATCAAGAGAAATATGGATTATTAAATGTAACAAAAATTGCTGAAAATGGGAAAAAGGTTCGGTAAGTACACAAGTCTTTAATGTTCTTACATGATTCATCTGAAATAAATTAAAAATTCTCAATATAATTATTTTAGTATAAACAATAGGTGCTGAAGAATCTCTCACCATTTGTTTTCTATGTAATCATATATGTAAGATTGTCATGAGATTTATGAAAATTTTCCTTTGTCTTGACATATTTCCTAAGTAATATTAAGTTAAGAGGTAATGAGGCAGAGGGTTCTGAGGATGCATTTGCTTTAATATTTTTTTTTTCAGTAAGCAGTAAATGCACATGGTAAAAAACAAAGGTAGACTAAGTATTGAGTGAAAAGTCAATCCCCCAGCCGGCATTACTTCCCCTCCCCAGAGGCAATCAGTGTTAAGTCTCCTGAATTCTAGTGCTTTCCTCCAGAGATAGGATATATATGTATATGTTTGTATGTATAGAGATTAATTTTCTAAACATAATCTTTTCACAGTTTATCTTGGAGATGGTTTCACTTCTTGCTTGTAGAGCTGCCACATTGTTTTTAATCTACTGCATAGTTGTATATTGTTTGGCTGTACTATATAGTTTATTTCCCCATTATTTATTTGCACGTTTTAAACTACACTTGTCTATTGGTAGACATGTCAGTTGTTTATCATTTTTGCTAGTACATGTAATATTACATTTAGCATCTTGCATGACTCATTTTGCAAGTATGCAAATCTGCCCATAAAATAAATTTTACAAAAAGTGGAATTGCTGGGCCACTTGCAAAGTCATTTCGACAGTGTTCCAAATTGCACTGTAAGATATTGAATCCGTTTCTGCCTCCAGGAGCCGTGCATTCCTGCACACCTTTCGCCAGTTTAGTATGTTGTTAAATTCTTTGATTTTGCCAGGAGAGAGAAGAGAGAAAATGATATTTTTATTTGCATTCCTTTTTAATAGGTTACAGTATCATAAATTGTTGGTATTTCCTTTTTGTTGAATTGTTTCTTTATACCCTTTGTCTGTTTTTCTATTGGATTGTTGGATTTTTTGGTTAATGTGTAGTACCTCCTAGTGATTTAAGGAAATTAACTCTGTGCAGTATAAGTTGCATTTAAAGAGTTTTAAATTTACATGTAATTGAGTTTTTTGGGTTTGCTTTCATGGAACTATTTTTTGTCAGACTTTGGTAGTTAGATTTTTTTTTTAAGTGCTCTGAAATAGCTTTATAAATACTACAATTATGTATCCCTTAAACTGTTCTTTGGTAGAATTCAGTTGTGAATTGAGTCTTTATTTTTCTTTCTCCATTTTGGGAATATGTAGTGCAGATAGCTCTTCGGCTACTTTCTTTGCTTTTGTTTTTTTTCCTATGATAGTAGCCTTTTAGATTTTCTGCTTCTTTTGGAATACTTTTTTCAATTTATATTTACCTAAGGAAATCATCTATTCCATCATCTTCAAATTTATTTACATTGAGTTGAGCAAAATCTTTAGTTTCCTATGTATTAGTGGTTCTTAAACTTTTTGGTCTGAAGACTCCTTTAAATGCTTAAAAATTACTGAATATTCTAAAGAGCCTTGGTCTACTCTCTATAACCTTATAGGTTATATCTACAGATACTGTGAGAAATTAAAACAAATTTTAAGGATAATTTTTTTAAAAATACCTATTACAAATTGACACAAATATTTTTTTGAAGAAAAACTATGTTTTCTAAGACAAAAAATTTCCATGAGAAGAGAGGCATTGTTTTACATTTTTTTGTAAATCTTTAGTGTTTGGCTTAATGGAAAACAGATGAATTTTCATCTCTGCTTGCAGTCTGTTGTGACATATTATTTTGTTTGAAGTATGTGAAAAAAATCCTTTTCACAACTAAAGGTGGAAAATGGAGGAATGTTTTAAGATATGTTCAGATAATTGTGCATTTTCCTGCTGCTCCGAAACTCTACAAATGGTAGTTTGTTGAGGGTTAGTTGTAGTGAAGACTCTGAAAAACTGCCGGTGAACGGTTCATACTCAGTTACATTAAAAGCCGTTGGTCTTTGTTGCACCTGAGTGAATCTTTGCCCATGCTTAATTTTATAATATCTTGTAGGTCATTTGTAAAATACTAGTTCACTAACTTTGCTCATTTCTCAAATGTTTACACATTTTATTTATAATATCAAAGAATCATACATCAGTACTGTCAGAAAAGTATTGGGACGTTGTCAAATCCATTGTAGCAGATGCCAGGTGTTCCAAAGTTCTACTTTCTGTTTGAAAGCTTCAATTTTTTTTATGGTGGTAAAAAAATACATAAGTTTGCTATCTTAACCATTTTTAAGTGTACATCTCAGTGGTGTTAAGTATATTCACATTGTTGTGCAACAGATCTCTAAAACCTTTTCATCTCATAACGCTGAAACTCTATACCTACTAATTCCCTCTTCCTCCATCCCCCAGCCCTTGGTAACCTTTCTGCTGTTTCTGTGATTTTGACTACCTTAGATATTTTGTATTGGTGGAATGATATGTTATATGTATAACTTTTGTGACTGGTTTATTTTGCTTGGCATAATGTCCTTGAGGTTCATTCATGTTGAAAGTTTTGTTGTTGTTGTTGTTGTTGTTGTTTTTGAGACAGAGTCTTGCTCTCTCGCCCAGGCTGGAGTGCAGTGGTGCGATCTTGGGTCACTGCAACCTCCGCCTCCCAGATTCAAGCAATTCTCCTGCCTCAGCCTCCCAAGTAGCTGGGATTACAGGCATGTGCCACTACGCGTGGCTAATTTTTGTATTTTTAGTAGAGACGGGGTTTCACCATTTTGACCAGGCTGGTCTTGAACTCCTGACCTCAGGTGATCCGCCCGTCTTGGCCTCCCAAAGTGCTAGGATTGCAGGCGTGAGCTACCATGCCCAGCCTCATGTTGAAAGTTTTAATTTTTTGTTGTCTATAAATAATATTATTTGTTTTCTTTGAAAACTTCATTTATTTTTAAGATAATGTTTGTGTGCCACATATCCAGGTCTGAATAACTATAGTATGTACATCAGTTGTTTTTTCAGGAGAAAAAATGGGGTTCCAGGAAAAAAAAATGTGACTAATTCACCTTGCAACTAAGTCACGCAAGTGCTTAGTCCTTGAGGCAATAATCGTTATTTTACTATTTATGTATTCAATATTTGTTCTCAGATATATATCTACTAGTTCTACAGTTTTTCTCATTTTGAAAATTGAACTAAAAAAGCTTACTTAAAGTGGAAATAGGCTAATTTAAGTATTTTTCATAGTAGGGAGTCAGTAGATGATATCTAAAGAAATAGAAGACTGAGAATATAAAATGAATTTACAAAAAATTAAAATACTTCCAAAATATCTTCAGATCCAGAAAATGAAATAATGATGACAGAAAAAGCACCATCTATAATATCAATATCAGTAAATGTAAATGGACTACTCATCTATTGAAAGAAAAAGGTGCTCAGACTGAAGCATAAAAAAGCAAAACTTAACTAAATTCTATATGTAAAAGAAACACCTAAAGATGATTCAGAAAAGTTGAAAAAAAAAAGCAATAAGGTGTGTCAAAGGTATAGAAAGTAAAGCAAGACTAGGGATATCAGTAGCAAAGTTCATCCTAGGGAGAGAGCATAAAGCATTATGAAAGTAGTATTTAAAATGGTAAAGCATGTGCAGAAGTCCACAGTGAAGATGTAATTATTAGGAATCACCATTTACCAAATAAAGTAGCATTAACAAACATAAGCAAAAAAATACAGGAAATAAATGGAAACATAGAAACTTAGTAGTAATTAACTTTATTTCACTAGTAGTAATTAACTTTATTTCACTTATCTTAATCCATAAAGTTCAACTAGACATAAAAAGTAATTTAAAAAAAGGTAAGTCTTATTGATAGATATTAAATTCTACATTCTGAAAACAGAAAATAAACCTCCTTTAGAGGTGGTTTTTTTTTTGTTTTTGTTTTTTTTTCTGGGTGACGGAGTCTCACTCTGTCACCCAGGCTGGAGTGCAGTGGTGCAATCTCGGCTCACTGCAAGCTCTGCCTCCCGGGTTCACGCCATTCTCCTGCCTCAGCCTCCCGAGTAGCTGGGACTGCAGGTGCCCGCCACCACGCCTGGCTAATTTTTTGTATTTTTAGTAGAGACGAGGTTTCACCATGTTAGCCAGGATGGTCTCGATCTCCTGACCTCATGATCCACCCGTCTCGGCCTCCCAAAGTGCTGGGATTACAGGCGTGAGCCACCGCACCCGGCCTAGAGGTTTTTATAAAATTGGCCATATGTTTGGCTATAAGGATAGCTTTAATAAATCCCTGCAGTAGACAGATTTGACATTCATTTATCTTCCTAGCAACTGTGTCCTTATATAGGGTAATTTTAATTTATTTTCCTACTTGTAAACACTGATTCATACCTGCTGTTTGAAAAGTACTGTGCTAGGCCTGAGGCAGATAAAAAATAAAAATAAAAACTGTTTTGTTTTTTCAAATAATTTACAATTCCTATGAGAGAGAAACATTTACATAAAAATCTCTAATATGATAAGGGAGAAGTTGAGGGGAATCTGGCTGGGGTGTAATATTCAAAAGCTTTAAAGTTCTAAATGGGTGAACTGATAATACATATGCTGTGTGAGGCGTACCTCTGTATCTGGAGATAGGATAGTAGATAAGTGGACAGTTTCTTTAAAAGCCCCATATTATACCAAAGTCTTAACATTGGTTACCTCTAGAGTATGGATTGAAGAAGAAATGGGATTCCCTTTCCTTTACACATTTTTGTTTTCAGAGTTTTTGCATACCGTATATGTGTTGCTTTTGTGATGGAGGAAACATTTTGTTTTTAAATGTCGTGTGGTCTATCAGTGTACAATTCATTGTATGCCTGTAATGCACCTAGTACCTACTACCTGAGTACTCCAGCCCAATTAGGGGAAGGCAGATCACCAAGAAATGTAACACAGTCTGTATAAAGAATTAGGTGAGTGAGGGAAGCGTGTTTGTCTAATTTTTACTTCTAAGTAAGAATTCTTGATAAATACAATATTCCACTTGTGTGACTTTAAAATAAATTAGTGTCTTTGATCACAAAGTGCTGTATTAATTTCACGTGAACATAATTACATGCGTCATTCATTCATAGTTATTTCTGATAACTTCTCTGATTAACTTCATTTGTTTTGGGGCCTTCATGATCAGGTTTGAACCATAAAATGACTGTAAATTGCATTAGTATCTATCCCCAATAAAAACAATTAAAATGTCAACAAGGCTGTAAATTGTAGATAACATTGATAAGAGCTAAGTAGGTCTTAATTTTTTGAATTTGGCTGAAAGAACTCGAGATTGGAGCTTTAATCGGTCATCTTTATAATTACAGAAAGAACTGGTTGTCTTCTTGGGCGGTGTTGCAGGGTTCATCTTTACTTTTTACCAAAACTCAAGGAAGTAGCACAAGTTGGGTAAGTATTTCTTCTCTTTGGAGATTTTATACATTTAAATTATGTGAATAGTATCGTACCTGAATTTCAGGAGGTAATTTCCAGAGTCCTTATAGTTATAGCTAGTGTGCAAATAAAAATGAATAAAATCTTCTTAAAGATTCATTTTAACTTATGAGAGAAAAAGAGGACTAAGTAGGACAGTCTAATTAGTGGTGTTATTAAAATCAACAGATTCTGTTTTATCCATTCAACTGAAAAGTGGGCTTATTACTTGGGCATTATAGAGAAAATACATTTCTTGATTCATTTTCAGGATGTTAAAGCTTTGCTGTGTTTGTGACTCTGCTATTTCAGATATTTAGTCAGAAAATAAGCAGTAATGTGGCAAGCTGTATCTTGAATTGTGATCTGACCATTGGTTACAAATCAGTGATTGAGGTGTCAGTGTCTGGATTGTCAGCCAGCTTTCAAAAGAAAAAGAAATGTCACATTACTTGTGGGATTTTGAAGCTTTTTATATATTTGAGTGCTTACTATCATTACTCTACTCTTCAGTTATTTGTAATGCAAACATTAAAAATTATAATTTGTGACATATAATAGCTACATTTTTTGAATGCTCATTCTGTATCCCACATATGTTGTCAGTGCAGAGGATTGTGTATATATTGTCTCCTTAACGCTGGGATAGCTATTGCTCTGATTTCGCCCTTCCCCCGTCATAGATGAGAAAATGAGGTATAAAACACTTAAGTATAATAATTTGTTCAAGGTCTTACAGCTACCAAGTGGCAGGTCTGGGTTTAGAACTTTGGCTTTTTGGCTCTAGAATCCATGCTCTGGCTATTTCTAAAAGTTTTTGGTAATTGAGTTTGAAGTGCTAATGCTCAAGTAAAATTTAAAATGAAATTATTCTAAATGTATTTGGTCTACCTCATATTCTACCGTAACCAATATTTTATTACAATTAATGAGTTTCTTTAAAATTAATACAAAACCTATGGATCTTATGTTTGATGAAAGAAAAGTCCATTTATAAAATTTAAGCAAATTTTAGTCATCCACATTTATAATGCAGCCATGCAACATGGTTCTGAACCCCAAATGCCACAGAACACATTATTCCTCAGCTTCTCTGATGAGGAAACCTAAAAATCCACATGAATTGAGCACGGATGTGAACATTCTAGATCGTTTCTTCTGTTTTGTTTTACTAATCTTTTAATTTGCTCCCTGTTCAGCCATTCCAGTGGAAATGACCTGTGAAAGGGTTGAAATTTTGGTTTGATATATCTTAAAGTAAATGGATAATTATGTCTTTCTCCTTTTCCTCGAGGTGAAACATGTGGGGCTCTTTTGTGTTAATGCATTTCTAGAGGACTGTGTAATTGTTTCTTTCTTCCTATTTACGGCTCAACTTTTATTTCAAATTGAGTGAAGAAAATGGATGAAAGAAAAGGAATGGAGAAGCAATAAGAGATTAATAAGTCACTTTTAAAAGTATCTGAAGAAAGCTGGATAGTGGTCACTTATTTGATAATTACTGATACTTAAAGATTGAAGGTTGTAGCAGGAACAGATGAAGCCATTAGACAGAGCATCCTGTAGGTAGGCAGGTTTGTATGTGATTTAGATGAAATGAAAACTTATTTTGAATTTAAAGATGTTAAATGAGTACCTTCCAGTACATAATCATTAGTACAGGATGGTTACATTTTTTAAAATTTATTTAAAGTTTTCACTGTAGAAGATCTTACACACGATTCAGAACTCATGATTAAAACTAATACTGACAAAGGAGGTGAGGTATTTCTGTTTATCAGCCAAGGTTGTATTACTTTGTTACCATGTGGCAATAGCCGAAACATAGTTTAAAATTTACTGAGCAAGCCAATTTGAAATTTTAGAATTCTCAATGAATTTTTAATTACAGGGAATCACTATTTTAATTTTTACCTTTCAAATGACATCTTATTACTATTGATATAGTATTAATATAATCAGTTCAGACAGGTATAATTTTAAAAAACATAACCACACCATTTTATAGTCTCAGTAAAGACTAAACAAGATTAAAGATGTGGTGAAATGCTTGGTTGTACAGTCAATTCTTAATTTGTATTTTATGGCTAATTTTAAAACCTCAGACTGTTTTGTTTTCCCCATTGCTACATATTTAAGGGAGCGAGAACTAATTTGAATGGCCTAAGTAAAAGGAAGTAAGAGTATTTAAAAATCATGTAAGTGCGTATAATGTATTATGACCCAAGAACATTCATAAATACCAAAATTTAGAGAAACATACAAGATGCTCTTTAACTCTGGAATTGGGATTATTGAAAGGAATGTTAAAGAATTCTAGCTTTGTTGATCTGCTCAGTCACCAACTAGATCTGTTATAGGTAAAATATATTCTCTTTATACAGCAGAATCACATCTTACCTGAGAATAAGATTCTAAGGCTAAAATGTAAGCCAAAAAACCAACAGTCACCTCAAGTGAAAACTGCTCTTGAATATTCGTTAGGAAGATGCTATACAGAAGCTGATCTCTAGCAGAGCCCATATTTCCTTTGGTGTTAGAAGGAATAGCTTTTCCTTCAGTTGAGTTTGAATGGCTTATGTTAAGGGGCCACATTATAGGAGAAATCTATATAGTTCTTTAAAAATTAGATTCACACTTAGTACAAAAACTTGAGATCCACTTGAGGAAATAGCAGGTTCAAATCTTCTACTCACTCCAGGGCAGGTACTCATGAATGGAACGCTGAGCACAGTCACCCACGCTATTCAAAGTTCTATTTTTAAAAAATTATTCATGGTTCGTATTGATTTTTTTTTTTTTTGGCAGAGAGTGGATGGTTAAAATTGAGTAAATGAAATGCACGTAGGCTGCATGCAATTCCACTTTATAAGAAATATTTTACATTGGTGCTGTCTCATCCAAAAATCTAGTGAGCCTTTTCTTCTCTAGGACAGATACCTTCCACTGGTTTTCTGGAAAACGGTTATCCACTGGATTGCTATATCACTTAACATAAACTTGTATTTGTTTTTTTCTCACTTCAGAAATGTATGTTTGTATGTTTGTTTGTTTGTTCAACAGACCTAAAAGCCTGCTGTGTTCTGGGCATTGTTAAGCTTTGGGTTTAGAAAGAAATAACATGGTCCCTGGCTTCAAAGCTTACGTAGTAGTGGGGAAGACTGACAAGTGAACAGGTTCAGTGTGACATGACATATGTTGTGCTTCTTTTCAGTTATTATTCATCATATTCCTTGAGCATTTAAAAAATCAACCCATAAATATTGGTAGTTATTCAAACATTCATTTGTACATGCTTTCAAATTTCTAAAAATAGTCACTCTTTTGGGCTAGATAATTATTTGTTGTCGGTGGGGCTGTCCTTTGCGTGGTAGGGTGTTTAGCAGATGACTGGCACTCCGCCTCTAGTTGTGACAACTAAAAATATCTCCAAACGTTACCAGATGTCCCCCAGAGGACAAAATTCCCTGTCTCCTAGAGGAAGTATCAGTGTCCTAGAGGAAGGGAAAGGCAGGCTAGATGGTAGGGCTACTCCCAACAGATGACTTGGAAAGGGACACCAGAAGATACTACTCAGCAGGTCACGAGGAGGAAGCTAGGGGATTTTGGACAGGGTCTAATCAAGATCGTAAAGGGCCTGACATGATTCCTCCCAATGGCTAACACAAGTCTGTTTAAGATAAATTCTATAAAGCATTCATCTTAAAAATGAAACATAAATTTATGTAATAATCATCAGGATAAATTCTAGGACCTTTGCAAAGTTATTTGGAAGTTGAGCTTTGCTTATGTTGTATGTCTGCATATAGAATTGTATCTTTGTCTTGTCTGGTTCCATTATGCTTTTCTCTTGTGTGTCATTTTGCTGTTGTGCATTGTTATGACATCATCATTTTCTTCCCTTTTCCATCAAGTCCTTCTGCCAACAAGGCTCAGTCTCTGAGCTCTTGCTTTCGCTGCTTTCTTCTTGGAAACACTCTGTCCGTCGTCGGCCTGCTGTTGCATATGTAAAGTCTGATCCTGTTTCAGCTGTCACTGTATGTGTTCCTGTTGCATGCCCTTTGCCACAATAATTCTGTTTTCTTTGTGATGAATACATTGGTGGGGAGGTTGATTACAGTAGAGAAAAGTGGGACTAGATTTTGGAAAATAATAACTAACGAAATGTTGCCAGCTATACTGATTGCATTTTTTTTTTTTAGCATTCCATGTCATGTCATTGTATTTATATTTAATTGCTATATCTTATTTGGTTGCTTATTTGTATCTTAGCTTAGAGCTACCCATCTACAGCGTGTATGATGACAATAAATTAAATAATTGATTTTTGTCATTTTGTTAAATGTATGTTCAAGTTTGGTAACATTTGCAATACATCATTTCTGCTCAGAAAGTTATGCCCAACATATAGCTTTATGTTTAATTTGTCTTTCGATTGACAATGGTACTTCAGGCAAAGACTTTGTAGAATACAGTTACAATTTCTATTGTGATTTTTATTATGATTCCACAAATAAATTCCATGTAATATCTCAAAATTTTCATTGACTCCACTAATAAATTTTATGTAATCCTAACTTTTGTTTAAGTTCACACTGATAGCTAAAAAGATGTAAACGGGAACAGGTTGAGGCAAACTGTATTTTAAATGTGAAGCTCCTGAATAGAGTTACTGAGATTACAAATAGTGAATAAGTTATCACAAAGTTGGGTAAGATAATTTCTAATGACAAATTAATTTGATTTGAAAATATTTTTAGCAAATGAAATTCTCTGTAGGAAATATTTATAACAGATTTTTATGATCTTTAGATTACAATTCAGTAGACTTTAGGGTTTTAAAACCTTTAAACTTTTCAATACCATAGGAATGTTACTTTTTATACTTAACAGACTAAACAAATTTAAAGATGTCAAGGTACAGAGTAAGTGTATATTTAACATAAATTTTCTACTACTTTTGCTAATCTTTTCCTTATCTAGTTAACAAAATATAATAGCTAGCTAAGTACTTCTGAACCCACCCGTAACAACTGTCTTCCCATTCTTTTCATAGTTCCTCATTAAATTGCTGATGCTTTATAGCATCTGTCTCTAGTTACAGTTTCTGACAAAGATAAAAGAACATGGGACTTAGTGTTTTCTGTTTCCACAAGTTGTTGTTAACAGCGTAACTACTCAATAAGGAAATACTTCTGAAAGCACAAAATCAGGTTTAGAGAATGTTTATTAGGTAGAAAATGCGCTTGTTATCTACCTGATACTGTTTATTACATATATAAGAGTATTGCCTTTGTGTACATAGCATTTTACATAGTCATGTGTAGTCTAGGATAAATTCCAAGATACAGAACTGCCAAGCCAAAGTATACATGCATTTGTAAATTTGC
This sequence comes from Homo sapiens, assembly GCF_000001405.40. NCBI lineage: Eukaryota > Metazoa > Chordata > Mammalia > Primates > Hominidae > Homo > Homo sapiens. The sequence goes on along the minus strand of NC_000010.11, from coordinate 31,820,889 downwards.
AAATATAGCATTACCAATTTTTCTTTTCTAGGAGTAGTTCCAGTTTATATCCCACTTGCATATGAGGCCTTTTTAGTCTATAGCCTCACCAACATAGTTTTGAAAAAATTTTTTCCCACTCTGGTGGGTAAAAAAAATTTCAGTTTGGCTTTATATATATATATATATATATATATAATATGATGGAAGTTGAGTCATTTTGTTTTCTGTGAATTGTGTATTCATATATTCTAGATATTTTTCAATTTTAAAGTAGAAATTGTTACTTTATAATAGAGAAAAAGAAGAATTTGAGAAAATCTATTTGATTTATTGTTAATATAAAATTGTTCTTAATTATTTTTGAATACACATATATGTGAGTATCACATGAAGGTTTTTTTTCTTTTTCAAAAATGAAGTTTGGCAGTAATCAGTCCAAACCAGAGTTCACAGTGGACCTCAAGGGGGCAACAATTGAGATGGCTTCAAAGGATAAATCCAGCAAAAAGAATGTATTTGAGGTAATACATTTTTTTCTAAGTATAACACATTCTAAACTGTAGTAATTGGATGTTCTGTTTTTTGAGCTATTTTGGGAAATAGTCTTTCATTGTGACTAGTTAAGGCAAAGTTGGTGATTAAGTTAGATGGTATTGTAATTTAAGAAAAAACTGGTGTAAAAACTGGCTTTATTTGCATAAGTTGTTTGAACTCAGACTGTATATTACAAGCCTTTGTTTCACAAATCCTATCTTTTGCCAGCAATAATAAAAAGGATGTGGTTCCCTTTACTTACCAAATCTAATATTAAAAAGTAAATTAAGGGGAATGTTGATAATGGGGAGGCTGTGTGTGGGGGTGGGCAGGGGGTGTATGGGATATCTCTATATCTTCTTCTCAATTTTGCTGGAACCAAAAACTGGTCTAAAAAATAAAGGCCTTTTTTTTTTTTAAACCTTTCCATTTTATCTTTTAAAACCCTCCCCAGTAATATATGATCTGTATTAGTTACTTATTGCTGCATAAGAGACCACCTCAAAACTTAGTGGTTTAACAAAAGAACCATTTTGTTTGCTCAGCCTGGCCTGGGCTGAGCTGGGTGATTTTTCTTCTAATCTCACTTAGGACTATTCATGAGGCTTCAGTCGTCTAGTGGCTTGATTGGAACTGGATGGTCTCAAGTGACCTCATGGCTAGTATTGGTGCCAGCTGTTGGCTAGGCCTCCTTGTCCGCAAGATCTTTCATTCTCAAGGGAGCTACCCCAGGCTGCATCAAGTGACGGCCTCAGGATTCCAAGAGGGTGAGGGTGGAACCTGCAGGGCTTCTCAGGGCCTAGATTTGGAAGTCACACATTACTTTCAGAGTATTCATTGGTTAAGACTGTTCAGGAGACTAGCCAAGTATTCAGAGTTGTGGGAAGAGAGGCAGCCTATTGACAGAAGAGCAGCATTATCTGTCCCATTCCAGAAGGGTGTGGTTACAGAGATCCAAGACTGATTTTGTGGACAGCCTTCCAGATCCCAACCTCTTTTTGTAGTCTCATGTCTCAGGGCTTTCCTGTTGTGTTGTGTAGACAGATTGGTTTAATTGCTGTTTTCCAAGTGGAGCCCAGGTTTTCTGGTTTGTCTGATTTTTACTCTTTATTGTTCTGCCTCGAGCACCAACCCATGCCAATCTCTCCGTGCCAAATGCTCCCTTTCTTCCAAGACTCATGACAAGCATCACCATAACAATGAGGCTACTTCTTTATTTATAATAATAAATATTTATTTAAAAATAATATTTAGTGTACTTGGGTTATCATTTGTCAATTATTTCTCTCATTAGATAATTACAATTTTTTTGTTTTTCCCTTAAGTAAAGAGACTATGTTTTTCCTTTAAATAAGAACCTATAACAGAGCAGAGTATCTTATGTGCAGTAAACATTCAATATTGGTAAACTGGCTTGACCAACACTAGAAAAGTGCATGAAAGAAGTCACTGTTTCCTGAATTAGCCTTGTAGTTTCAAAAGGTAAATCAAGAATAAAAATGGTTTCATGGTCAAATAAATTTGGGAAGCAGTGTATATTTTATTCCTATCTTAGAAAATCACAGTGCACCCTAGAATATCAAAAGCCTGTGACATCTTGAAGGAGAGAATCTAGTTATATTTTCTTCAATCCAGTATTTTCCAAGTTAATATTATATACCTTTTTCAAAAATTTATTTTTTGAGGGTACCTTTTTAAAACATTATTTGTGAAACTATGTTTGAGGACTATGTTTTTCAGAATGTTTGGGAAGCATTGCCATATCTTCCTCTAGGAAAAAAAATCAGTTTTTAATCGGAAAATGGGAGGAGTGCTTTCCACAAATGTGTCAAAATTCTTCCTCACTTAAGTTTAAGAAACTGCAAAACAGAGATTGTACATAAATTAGTTATTGCCTTCATATAGAATAAACATAGTATTCTTACTTCAGCTCATGATCTGACACTTAATTTAGTAATACTTCCGCCCAAAAGGGGTGTGACATTTATGCCTGCTCTTTGTACTAAGCCATTATATTTACCTACAAAGTAGGAAATATTGAAAGTCTTTATGTATTCTTTCTTCTGTATTTTTTAGCCAGAGAGACAGAAAAAAATTTCTCAGGTTGTGTAAAAATGTCATAGATTTTATTTCTTTATCCTAATTTAGAATGCACCACTTTGATACTTGAACAGATTTTTAAGTGATAAACGTACTAGTTTCAGCAGGTTTTATGGCATTTGTGTGATGGTGTTTGGGATCCTAAATTATTAGATTTTTGTGAGAATTTATTATGAGAAACAACTTTATGTTTTTTTATTCAACTGATATTATTGTAAACCAAAAAGGTATTCCATAGCCGTGTAGTCCTTTAACCTTGCATCATTGTTACATAATATATGGCAGCTACTCTTGGTGGTTTTGTTAACTTTGAATTAAAGGTATTCATGTATTTTGCTGAAAGCACAAACTGACCATACTCTTTTTTCTCCCTGCTTTTCTCTAAAGCTGAAAACTCGTCAAGGAACAGAACTGCTAATTCAGTCTGACAATGACACTGTTATTAATGATTGGTTTAAAGTTCTTAGTAGTACAATCAATAATCAGGTATGTCGTTGACTTAGGTAAAATTTTTACTTCAGAGCTGTTTTTCTTTTTTTTTTTTAATTGCTTATTGGATATCCGGATTGCAATCTATATGTGAAAAGGCACTTTATATATGTTTGACAGAGATGGAAAAAACAATGGTCAATTTAGCAGCCCCCCAGGGCTGGTGAATGATTTAACATTCTCACTTATGTGATGTTTGCTACCAGTGGATTTGAAATAATGTTCACATCAGGCATTGGCTGAAAAGAAATAGTTCAAAAAGAAGGGGTAAATGGTGCTTACTACATAGTATTTATTCAATAACTGAATGAGTTGGAAATAATACTATTTGGTGGAAGAAGTCTGAGGCGAGCTTATGAAATGAAAGAAGCTGTAGTCTCTTCATTAGCACTTTTTCTTTTCTAGTGACAGTTCTCTAGTTTTTCCGCCTCTCCCCTCCAAGCTGTTCAGTACCCTTGTGTTCCTAGTATATTTCTTCTTCTTTATATACAACAACCAAAAATAATCCTGGGTTTATATTCTGCAGGTATGTTAGTAAGAACGTTAGTAAGCAGCTGGGAGCTGTACTTTTTTTTTTTGAAACAGAGTCTCGCCATCACCCAGGCTGGAGCAGTGGCACAGTCATAGCTCACTGCAGCCTTGAACTCCTGGGCTCCAGCAATCCTCCCATTCAGCCTCCCAAGTAGCTGGGACTACAAGTGTGCTCCACTGTGCCTGGCTTGCACTTTTTTATACTCTGTATTCTCCTTTTCACCTTTCACCATATGGGGACATGGCTCTTCATTGAGGATCATATTATATTAATGACAGAAATGAAAGATACTACTGATAGGAAATAAAAGAGAACTTTGCCTCTTCTAGCAAATTAGTTATGAAGCTATATATAAATTCTTCCTTTGTAGTTTGTAATATTGCATGATATTTCTGAATCTTGTCCTTTCTTTTCCGTTTATTCCTGAAACCATGAGGGCAGGCCTTTATATCTTAATACCAAAATAAGAGTAACCTCCTAAACAGTTTTTTCCTTATTTAATCTTACCTATCACTGATTCATCCTTAATGCCATTGCCATATGAAACTTCCTAATGTCAATTTTCTAATCCCCTACTGCTCAGAAACTTGCTGTGATTCATTAAAATTCAGCGGTGTAGGCCCAATCTGTCTTTTCAAAATGCACCTTCTATTTTACCCAATATGGACTTTCAGCTCTAGTCACAGTAGTCTGTTCACTGTCTCTTGAAAGCAAGTATGCATGCATTCATTTAACAAATATGTGAATGCCTTATGCATTGGGGACATAGCAGCACACAGTCAGATACTGCACTTTCCTAGACTGAGATTATAGCCACAGACAGATGATTATTCAAGACAGATAACAGTTAATAAAATGAAATGTGATGAGTGTTACGATGGTAGGGGGGTACAGCATTCTGTAAAAACACCAATTAAGTAGGGGCAAACCTAGTGTATTAGTTAGGGAAGGCCTTGCAGAAAAAGTGGATTTTTGTTTTGTTTTGTTTTTTAATTGAGACCTACAGGCTCAGGGAATAAGCCAAGTGAAGAGAGATGATTTTACACACACACACACACACACACACACACACACACACACACACGTTTCTTTCTTTCTTTTTTTGAGACAGTCTTGCTCTGTTACCCAGGCTGGAGTGCAATGGCATGATCTTAGCTCACGGCAACCTCCGTCTCCTGGGTTCAAGTGATTCTCCTGTCTCAGCCTCCCAAGTAGCTGGGATAACAGGCACCCACCACCACACCTGCCTAAGTTTTTGTATTTTTAGTAGAGATGAGGTTTCACCATGTTGTCCCGGCTGGTCTCGAATTCCTCACCTCAAGTGATCTGCCAGCCTTGGCCTCCCAAAGTGCTGGGATTACAGGTGTGGAGCCACTGCACCTGGCCTATATTTTTGATTAAGAAATTTTAAAATACATACTGTTTCCAAAGTGTCAGAAGATAACCAAGGACTAAATGTAGCAAGAGGTGCAAGAACTTTGCAGGGAAAATTACAACTCTTTATTGAGAGACACTGAATAAAACCTAATTAAATGAGAAGTATATTCTGTTAATGCATTTAAAGATTCAATAATGTAAAGATATAATTTTCTTCCAATGACTTACAGATTCGAGATTTTTGAATCTCATTTAAAATCCCAGTAGTTTTTCTGGTAGAACTTGACAAGCTTATTCTAAAATTTATATAGAAATGCAAAAAACTAAGAATACCTAAGACACTCTTGAAGAAGAAAGTAAAAGGACTTGCACCATCATATGTCAAGTCTTTAAAAAGTCATATTCATTAATAAAGTATGGTATCTGTGCAGGGATAAGCATACATACCTGTGAAACAGAATAAAGAACCTAGAAACAGACTCACGTACCTGTGGACACTTTGTGCCAGATAGAGCACTGTAGAGGAAGCAGATGGTGCTGGTGCAGCTGGGAATCCAAGAAAAAACTGGAACCCTTCCTTAAACCATCCACAAAAATAAATTCCAGGTGGAGTAAAGATCTCCATGTGAAGGCAGAGCAAAGGTTTTTAGCTTTGAGAACTCAGTCATTCTTTAATCTGTACAAGCGACCTTAGTTATAGATGAGCTCTAGGATTTCTTTTCTTTTTTTTCTTTCTTTCTTTTTTTTTTTTTTTTGAGACAGAGTCTTACTTTCTCACCCAGGCTAGACTGCAATGGCGCGATCTTGGCTCACTGCAACCTCTGCCTCCCAGGTTCACGCCGATTCTCCTGCCTCAGCCTCCCAAGTAGCTGGGACTACAGGCGTGTGCCACCATGCCCGGCTAATTTTTGTATTTTTAGTAGAGGCAGGGGGTTTCATGATGTTGGCCAGGCTGGTCTCAATCTCATAACCTCAGGTGATTCGCCTGCCTTGGCCTCCCAAAGTCTTTGCTGGGATTACAGGTGTGAGCCACCACGCCTGGCCGCTCTAGGATTTCTTTCCGTTGACAACCGTGAATCTGAAGTATGAGTCTTGTCCTGTTGTTACAGGGTAATACTCTTGTCAGGTCCATGTGTAGAAGTCTTATACTGTTGTCAGAGAATGTAGCTCTATTGTGTTTTTCACCATAGATTATAGCCTTAACCTTTTAACTGTTAGTGTCACTAATATACAGTTGATTAAAATGAGGCAAGATAGCCTCATCATCAGTGTAAACTAACCCATTATCCTGTGAATTTTCAGCAACAATTTCTTTTTTAAAAAAATCAAAATTGATGCCATCTAGGGAGAAAAAAAGTATTTATCAAATATCTAAGTCATACATACTGTATACTAATTGGTTTCCTAAAATTGTTTGGAAGAGTCATTTACAATAGTCATTGTGAGAATTATGCCATTCCAACTATAGTAATACTAGAAGTGTAATATGTGTTTGGGAAATATCTAACCAATAGGCAGTAGAAACTGATGAAGGAATTGAAGAGGAGATACCGGATTCACCAGGAATAGAAAAGCATGATAAAGAAAAGGAACAAAAGGATCCCAAAAAGCTTCGTTGTAAGTTGTCCTTTCCCTATTTTGCTAAGGATTTGTGCTTGTTCTCTTAGCTTTTTGAAGGTTTTAAATACATATATAAAAGCTGAATGGAATGTCCAATGTTACAAAAGGGCTGTGCAGTTAACCAAGTGCAGTCTCAGTGTGTCAGCGCTCTTTCTTCTTGTTAACTCATTATTGTCGTTTTTCAGCCTCATAGTATGCATCCTGTGGCATCACATTAATTTTAAGGTATTGTGCTACTTTCAGAGAAGAAGTATAGTGCATTTCTGTTGAGGCCTCTAGGAAGCTGAACTTCATTGATTTAAAAATATATACTTACTGTTTAAGATTCTACATAGAATCTTATACTTTTTAAGAAGTCAAAAGTCATGGAATATGTACCATAATTTCCTACTGGACACCAGGCATCCATCTCTGGACTAGGATGTGTCTGTGCATGTAAACAGATGCAAGCGTTTCTATCTCCAGATCTTACTACAGAAAGGAGCATAGCAAAAGCCAGCAGCTTTAAGAAAAGCATTTTCTAATGTTGGCCCCTTATGAATTACATTGCTTAAATAGGCCGTTAGCTTTGTGACTTGGTACTTTGTTCAGTCTATTTTAACAAATCCACGTTTAACTGAGAACTTTTTGGCCTTCATATTAACTGAATGATTAGAAAATCAGTACTACTTTTCTGTATTTCTAATGAACTTTAGGCCTATTACTGACATTGTCAACAGGTAGCAATTTAACATAAAAAGTGATTATTTTTTATTCTATATTATAGATTCTTCATGCTCTCAACTTCCCCCAAATAGAATTATTTTCAAGAAATATACCTTTTGAATTTTTGTTACTATAACAGAAAAATCAAGACTAAAGGCAATGGAGGACATTTTCCATGTAGTCCCATTTGTAGCTTAGAGTACAAATAATTATGATGAAAGTTAGCTTAAAATACAAGTATAATAGTTATGATGGTTATATGTCTATATTTATATCTCTATATATTTGTGTGTATATCCAGTTTTCTTATTCAATGAAGATAGGGATTGTTTTGTTGTGTATTTTATGTATTTTTACTTTTTGGTGGTCATTTTACCTTCTAAAACTGATGGAGAATCAATAAAGATAAGTAGTTAATCATTTATGAAATAAAGAATATGTTAGAGTAAATTAGGGATGTCTTGGCAGATATACCATAGAAGGTACAGTTGTCATCTGTTTTTAGTGATAAAAATGAAATGTTTTGTTTGGTTTATAACTTTGAAATGGGGTCTGTGTTAATGTAATTCTTCACATCTTGTCCTTAAACCACATTAAAGTTAAAATAACTGAATTGTACTATGATCTTGACATATGAGGTTAATGTGTTTTGCATGCTAGCTGGAAAAACTTGTATCAAAAAAACTTTATTTTTACAAATGCTCATTACCTGTCTTTTTGTCTTAAGCCTTTAAAGTATCTAGCATAGATTCTTCAGAACAGAAAAAAACCAAGAAAAACTTAAAGAAGTTTCTTACACGACGCCCCACTTTGCAAGCTGTTCGTGAAAAAGGTTATATTAAAGGTTGGTAGGAGAAGTATTGTTGATAATAATGAATGTTGGCCTACGTCATAAATAAAATGTTTCAAATTAAAAACAAACATTTTCAAACAGTAAGAATATTATTCTTTATTCATGTATTCAAGTACAGTGATTAAAAGACATTAAGTAATTAAAATAGTTTTTTTGAAAGTTTATTTTAACTAAAGTAGTGGACAGACATAAATAACACACTAAACTTTTAGAAAGCCTGTTTCAGAGGAACTACATGGATGTGATGGGTGGCAGACTTTTAGAAATTGTGACAATGAAAAGTTTAGTTTTGAGATGCAAAGATCACAATAAATAAGAAATTTTGAATATCACTAACAATAGAAAGAAAAATGAACAAATAATTTTTACCCTTGGCTGTCATTTAAGGTAACTGAAAAATTAGCATAAGGTGTTTTTTTCTAACTAATTTATTTGCCTGTTATTTCATTTATAAGCACTATAATGGACTAACAATCTTTTTTTTATAGGAAAATATTCTTTAAAAAAATCACATTACTTGTGTATGTAGTTCTTACGAGCGTGTTTAATTCCAAAGGTAAAATTTTCTAATACCTGACTTAAAACAATGGCATTTATTTGTAAATAAAAATAAAAGTAAAGATAATATAGTCTATAATGTATATCTCTGTCTCTGATTATTATGAAATTTCTAACAAAGACCATCTATTTGTGAAGCATCTGCATTAAAACACGCAAGCCAGTTTTATTAAGAAGGTATTTAAGGCCAGGTGCAGTGGCTCACATCTGTAAACCCCCCACTTTGGGAGGCAGGAGGATTGCTTGAGTCCAGAAACTCAAGACCAGATTGGGTAACATAGAGAGACCCTCTCTCTACAAAGAATTAGTTGGGTGTGGTGGCACACACCTGTAGTCCTAGCTACTTAGGAGGCTGAGTGGGAGGATCGATTGAACACAGGAATTAGAGGCTGCAGTGCAGCTATGATTGCACCACTGTCCTCCAGCCTGGGTGACAGAGAAAGACTGTCTTAAAAAAAATAAAATAAAATAAAAAAGGTATTTAAGACTTCTAGGAAGAGACTAGCTGATTAATTCAAATTAGGTACTCTCCAATAAAGCATTTGAATTTGTATGATGAGTTCAGAGTCTTTAAAAACTTAAAAAAAAAAAAAAAAAGCCTGGCAAATAAGTGAATAGAAACTGTTGCTAATTTGTTCACCAGGCCTTTTCCCTGAGAAATATAAACTGTTGTCACTTTATGTCCTTATTCATCACTTCAAATTGTTTGTTTTCCTGAACATTTACCACTAATATGGAATTTCAAAACTGTTGGGTTGAAAGATCAATAGAAGAGTATTTGAAATGTATTTTGTGAAATCAAATGTTGGTACGTGATGGACGGACATATGCTTATTTTAATAGTTTTTAAAATAATCAAGTATTTACTAAGTGCCAGGCACAAGCCTAGGTGCTATGAATACCTGTTGGTGTTCAGGAACTACATGGTCCTTGGTCCTCTCCCTCATGAAACTTATACTCAAGTAGGAAGTAGACAAGATAATGTGAAATAGTAACAAATGCTGTGAATCTAACACAGTAATAAAATAGAATGTGTCTAGAACTGGGTTCTCTTAGGTAAGGATGGTCAGAGGGGTTATTAAAGTAGGTGACATTTTAGCTGAGACCAGGAGTGATAAGAAGGAGCCAAATTGGGTAGAAAATTGCTTTCTGCAAAAGCAGTAGAAAGTACAAAGAATTTTCAGGCAAGAGTGAGTAAGGGTTTGTATGAGTTTGGAAACGAATTGTTTGAAGTGAAAAGAAGTAGGCAAGATGCATATTGCATAAGGCATAGGGCCATGTTAAACAATATTTGGTTACGCTGGATGTTTCTGTTGCACTCTGAATGGTTAGCCATTTCATGAACTGAATTTCAGCAAGGTGATTGACTTTTTAAAAATAAATCTTTTTCAGATCAGGTATTTGGATCCAATCTCGCTAATCTGTGTCAGAGAGAGAATGGCACAGTACCAAAGTTTGTGAAGTTATGTATTGAACATGTTGAAGAACATGGTAAGAGAAGGATTTTGATTTTTTTTTTTAACATTAAGCAAACCAGCTTCTTGTTTTGCCATCAAAATTCCTAGAATTTTTATGATTTTGAGTGATGCAAACAGAAGTTCCTTATAGTCCTAAGATGTTAAGAAAATAATTTTGTTTACAAATACTTACATGTTTACACCTGTTTCAAATTAAGATCTCTCCAGGCATCTGCTGAATGTTTGGTACTCACAGTTAATTAAGTATATGCTATTCTTTGATGCCATTTCATTTAAGCATTTGCTTAAAATGAAGAAGGTAGTGATTGTGAAATTGAGCTTGTTTTTAAGAAATAATTTGACAATGTATAAGATCCGAGGAGATTGTGTTTACTTACTAAGTTTCTTCTGTCCTAAAAATCAGATGACATTTTAAATGGTTAAGTCAACCACAAATGTCTCACGAGATAAAAATTTTTATGTCATTTTCTGTAAAATAGGACAAACTAATTTCTATTGTGATTAATTTAAACATAGCTATAATATTTATACTAGTTTTATATACATTAGTATATTGTAATCACATTAACTTATCTCTGTATATCATGAAAGAGATTTTGTACAATTAAAACACATAATTCAATTTGTAATTTCTGCCAGTTACAGATCTCTTGTCCCACTGACTCTTCTTGTCAACATGGCAATAGGGATACTACACTATTGTCTTAATTTGAAGCTAAATGAATAGTACATTCAATAATGTGCTTTAGTAAATTTGTACATTATTATCATTTAATGAATACCTGAAATTTCGGGGCTTAATTGTATGAATTTCAGATGATTCTGTTTCACATATAAAAGAAAATAATAAATTATAGCAAATTATGTATTGTTTTTATAGAACCATTAATTTAGTGGTTATATTAAGTTTACTTATTACAAACACTTAATATGACAGATGCCTTCAATAAAGTTTTTACAATATGTGCATTTACATTATAAAATGGTATGCAAAATATGCATGGGCTGATTTTACCTGCTGACTTCCTTTAATTTTGAATTATCCCCAGATGTTTTCAGAAATTTGAAATTGTTAGTGTTTTAAGATTAATGAAACCATTTCCTTGAGCTGATTCACAGTCTATATGATGAGCAGAGTAGAATTACTGCTGTTTATTAAACAGAATTCAGAGCGAATCTCCATCTCTCTCCCCTGCCAAGCATCTACCAGAAGCCATTTAGAGAAAAAGAATATTTGCCCATTTGATTTTAGGCTAATGCAAATGAGTGGGAATTCTGACACATGCAAACGTGTTCAGAAGAGGCAAAGAAGTACTTTAAACACACACACACACAAATTATTATTGTCTCTTAGGTTTGGATATTGATGGGATATACAGAGTAAGTGGCAACCTCGCAGTGATCCAGAAACTAAGGTTTGCAGTCAATCATGGTAAGATTATATTTACTGTTGTTATTCAGATGCATCACTCATAACTTTTTGAACTGGCTTAAAGTAATTTTTTAAAATGTCCAATTCCTGCTGTTTTTCAGATGAGAAATTGGACTTGAATGACAGTAAATGGGAAGATATTCATGTCATTACTGGAGCCCTCAAAATGTTTTTTCGAGAATTACCAGAACCTCTTTTTACATTTAATCATTTTAATGATTTTGTTAATGCAATTAGTAAGTATGTAATTCTACTCAGTTTTTTCTAGATATTGAAAATTCTTTGCACAGATTAAGCCACCCAATTTTTTTTATCTTACTTTAAGCAAGTATTTTCAACAGATTGTTTTACTCCAAACATTTTAAATGTGACCACCAGATGTCACTGTGTATTACCAAATATCAGCTTCCAAACTGTGACATTGCTTTCAGTTTCATAAGAATTTGCTGTAAAATATCTGGTTATTATCTTTTTTCAGAGCAAGAACCAAGACAGCGAGTCGCTGCTGTTAAGGACCTAATCAGACAGTTGCCAAAGCCAAACCAAGACACAATGCAGATTCTTTTCCGACATCTCAGAAGGTAGGAGGACTGCCCAGTCATGGGATGTGGTATAGCACAAGGGGAAGCGGGAAGGCCTGTGGGGCCAGGGTCACTCAGACTCAGATTTGGATCCCAGCTATGCTACTTGCTGTCTTTGTAACTTGAAAAAGTTACTCAACTCCTTTTAGTATCAGTCTGTCATGGGTAAATGATTTGCTATGAAGAATACAGTAAAGTAGGTATTATATGTGAAGTATTTATGTAATGCTTAGCACATAGTAGGTGTTCAGAAATTGTTGCTAAGGTTAATATGAAGATGAGATTGGATATTAATTGAGGTGTATTAAGTTACCGTCATGGTTCTAGGTTACTACATAGCCACTTTAATAACCAAGTTCTTTCATCTGATAGAAAGTACACTAGAATACTAAAACAAAAAATCCCAGCTAGAGAGAGTTTTTTTTTTTTAAAGAAATTACATAAAATGAGTAAAATGGAAAGTTTAATCTCCACACCCTAATGAGATTTTTTTCCCATCAACTTAATGGAGCAGTCACTGTTACCTGAATTGTAACTCATACTTAAATGTTCTATTTTAAAAACTAAGCTAAAATATCACACATTTTAAGTTTGTTAGAGTATGCTTAATTGTATCTTTCAGCTGTGTTTATCAAAAAGAAAGCTTCACATGGCATTTAGACAGAATTCTACTTGGTTAAATAGTTTATGCATCACCTTAGGAAAATAAGTATTACTTCTCTTTTTAAAATGCAAACTGTTAGGTTTATAATACCATTTGAAGAATTTTCCCTCTCTCTTATTTTCTCTTTTAACAACTTCTTTTTTTCCCTTCAGAGTTATAGAAAATGGAGAGAAAAATCGAATGACCTATCAGAGTATAGCAATTGTTTTTGGTCCCACTCTATTAAAACCAGAAAAAGAGACTGGTAATATAGCAGTTCATACTGTGTACCAGAATCAGATTGTAGAATTAATTCTTCTGGAACTGAGTTCCATCTTCGGACGTTGATTCTTACTGAAGACAACCTGTGGAATAGAAGCTGGATTCCATCAGATTTCAAATGTTTATACACAATGTATTTTATTTTTTGGACCAAGCAGTGACTCTTTGATTTTGCACTTTTTTTTTGAGGGATCAGAAGGGAAGGGGAGAGTCGAGATGTGTGTTAGGCCCTCATATTTGCTGCTTTGTTGCAAGTTGATATAACTGCGTGTAATTATGAATTCATTTTATCCTGAATGTTTGCATTTCATACTCTGAATTTCAGTAAAAATCAAAACTTAAAATTCTAACCAGTCATATACACTGGATAATTTGGTAAGAAAACTGTATTTTTTTTCCCTGAAATTGGATAATGTACTTTCTTCTCAAGATTCATGACTTGATAGAACAATACTTTCAGTTATGTTGCAAAGGCTCTTGGGCATTTTAAACAAAATGAAGTATATCCATTTTGAAACCTGTGTATTTCTTTTTCGGGGTTTCTGCATGCAGTGGCAGTCTTAAGTGCCAAAATTCATTATAACCCCAAAATAACCCCTTGATGAAGGCTTGCTGTCTTTTACTGTGTTACACAGCATCCTTACTGGATATCTTAGTTGCTTGTTTGGGCAGCACACTAATATTACTTAAAACACTGTGATATACTGGAGTTTTAGTTAGCGGAAGTCAGTTCAGGGCATTTTAGGGCTGTCTTGCTATACTGAATTGTAGCTAACAATCCTAATTATATCTAGTACCATACTGAGTTATTGGTATGACCCTGTGGAAACACACATTATTTTATGTAAATATAGGCTAAAGACTTAATGTCCTTTAGCTTGTGTATATAATTGTGTTGTATAGTCTCAGAGTACATTCTAACCCTACATTTCTAATCATTGTTATTGGTAATCTTTTCTGTGAATATTAGGTTTCCTCCAGAAATAGTCCGTTATTTGGGAAAGTTAACTGTGTGCACTTTTAGATATTAACTACATTTACAGGCAAATCACTGTAATGAGAATGGTACTGGAAAAATACTGAATAGACTTGCTAAATGGCACATGCACTACAAGAGGAACCTTTTGGGTTATTTAATATGTACAGAAAACATTAGAAAAAATTTATTACAGAATTCTAATTCCAGTATGAATAGTGGAAACCCATCTGTAAATTAGATGGATGTTGGATGGAAAATGACATTGCTAAATTTGAGAATTTCTTTTTACCTACTAATGTAGATTGCTTTGTATAATAAAACACAGGGTTTGGAAGGTTTTGTTACAGGGAGCATGGTCTGTTGAAGATTTTTAAAATGTATTTTTCTAGATTAACTTCTGTACATGAAATGTCTAATAAAACTATAAGAGGTTTAGAGATTTTTCCATTGGAAATGTGCATTTTGGTTTCTAATTTTTTTGTTTTTTCATTTACTGGCATACTGTTATACCTCATTTTTAAAAATCAACTGAATCCAATATTTCCTGTGGCAAATAACACTTTCCTCATTTCATACCTTTTCTCCTCTCTTCCATGCCAACATTTCTCCACCCACAACGTACACTTTTTATTTCTCCATCAATATTTGAAAGCGAGTGATTTGTGACCAGGATTTTTTTTTCTTAGGGTTGCATTTATAATTTACAGATTGCCTTCCTTGGGAACAAGTATTTTTTTGTATGATCTGTCTAAAAACCTCTCACCTGAATTTTGTGGTAGAAAGTCTGTATTTGTTGTTGTGAGCGTGTTAAATTGATAACAAACCAAACTACTTGATAGCTAAAGCAGATTGTTTCGGGTGGGGAGAAAAAGCCCTAAATCAGAATGTTTATATTTGCCTAAAGATGTCCTTAATAATACAATATGCTTTAGATCTTGCTTATTTAGTGATTGTATACCAGGAAAACAATTAGACTCAAATCAGTGATGTTCTTGTTCTTGGTGTTCATGAACATATATCAAAGATTAAAATTGTCCTGTGTTTCTTGTTTCAAGGTACGTGTGTGTGTGTGTGTGTGTGTGTGTGTGTGTGTGTGAAGTCTTAAATGTTTTATTAGTCTACAGCTAATCAGTTTATTGTAATATTGTATGTACAGTGAGATTAATGTCTTGCGTTTTCATCCTTTGTGAATTAAAAATTCTCACTTGTTTTGTAATAACAAAGCTAGTAATATTTTCCTGTCTTGACAGCTTGGTTTTATAGTAGAAAATATATTAAAAGCTGAAATAAATTATCAGTGGAATTTTATTTGTTAGTAAGTCTTCCTTCATAATGTCATTGAAAAAGGTAGTTGCAGATTTAGAAAAGAAAGTATATTTAAATACATTGTCACATTCCAATTAGAAGAAAAACACTTATTTAAATTTTATAGAAATAAGAAATTTTACCCTTTACTCTGGAGAAAGTACGTTAATTATTAAATAATCTCCAAAAAATGATGTTTATATTTTAGATAGAGACAAATCTATAAATTGTTTTTATGTGAAAAGCACAAATGAAATAATTTGGTGAAACTTTGGACTTAGTGGTAGATGGGTTGTGCGTTTATAACATACACACAAACGTGTGTGTGTGCTAAGTGTTTGTGCACGCCGTTGCTTACATACAAGTGAAAACTCACCAATAATGCAGATACATGGAGACCTTTTTACTATTTCAGTTTCATTCCACGCTTCTTTGCAAGCCCACAATATTGAACATTAAGATAGCAGTGGGCTGGGCGCAGTGGCTCACGCCTGTAATCCCAGCACTTTGGGAGGCCAAGGCAGGTGAATCATTTGAGGTCAAGGGTTCGAGACCAGGCTGGCCAACATGGTGAAACCCTGTCTCTACTAAAAATTCAAAAAAATTAGCCGGGCATGGTGGCAGGCGCCTGTAATCCCAGCTACTCGGAGGCTGAGTCAGGAGAATCACTTGAACCCAGGAGGTGGAGGTTGCAGTCAGCCGAGATCGCACCACTGCACTGCAGCCTGGGTAACTGTGAGACTCCGTCTCAAAAAAAAAAAAAAAAGACAGCAGTGAAGGGAAAATAGTTATTCCATAATTGTGCCAAGAGATTTTTTCCAGCTCATGGGAGAGGCTTCTAATTAAATACTTAAACATGTAGTTTCCCATGACTCGAATTCCTCAAAGATCTTTAGGCATTTTTAAAGAAATACACAGAGGAGTCCACAACACATCTTTTTAGTAAAGAAGAAAATAAAAATAGTCAAGTGGGCGCCACGCTCTCACTAGTCTAATAAAAGTCAAATGTTCAAATATTGCATCTCTATAGAGAATTGAAAATGGGTAGAAAATAAGATTTTATGGAGTTTACTATTCTCCCTGAACTCCAGCCATGAGCTCTAATGATCTTCTTTTATAGAAAGCAATTCTCTGGGTAAGACTACAGAAAGTGTTTAATAGGGCCTTTAGCCTGCATGTTACAGTCTTGGAGGCGGAGCATAGTTTTTGTTGTTATTTTTTTTAAACAGTATTCCAGTGCAGCTAACATAGTACTATTAATTGCAACTTTAGTTTGAGACAAACAAAAACAAAAATCAAATGGGTGCAAAACAAAATCAACTGTCTTACAATGATGGTGTATTAGAATCTGTTGGGAATTCACAGGCTGTGTCCTCAGGCCGGGCAGAGTCAGACTTAGTATTCTAGAGAAGGGGGAGGTACAGAATGCCTAATGAGACATCTGTAACTACCAAAGACAAGGGAGTTCTCCTGAAGAATCTCAATTAGTCTGCTCAACTGAAGTTTTGTGGTCCAGTGGTGGCTGCAAGTATATTCAGCTGGATTGAGCTTTTACAAATTAGCCTTATGTGAATATAGCACTTAAATGAACTCTTTCATTTCCTTCATTGCTTCCCTTCTCCCACAGGGCCGGGGGGGCGGGGGGCGGGAAACGAAAGAAAGAAACCACTTTTATGGTGCTCTCATAAACAGAGCACTTGTACAACAAGGTAACTGTTTAACAAATTACTACAATACGTATTTACAATACATGTTTTTTCTCATCGACCCTCTTCTCCCTTTATTTTATTTCCTCTCTTTTAAGGTTTTCAGAAAAGCAGTCTTTGGTAAAGATTTTTAATTATTAATGCTGGTAGCCAGATCTTTCAAGTACTTATGATAGTTGTGGCTCATACTGCAAGTAGCTTAGAAACTTGTAACACTGTCATAAATTTATATTGATGAAATCCATAGTGACATGAGAGTGACAAATGATGCTGTAGAGGTCTTCCTAAACAGAACATTTGCAGAGGTAGAAATCAAAACCACTGTCAAGTCATGGTGGAGTAACCAGTGAAAATTCAGCACAGACTTCAAGGCCACCTTTTCCTCCTCGGCATTTTGAGAAATTGTTTATACAGTCATGTGACTGTTAGTGATGAGGATATGTTCTAAGAAATGTATTGGTATATGCAAACATCGTAGATTATACTTACACAAACCTAGATGTATACCAGATGCTACACCTAGGCTATATGGTATAAACTATTGCCCCTAGGCTGCAAACCTGTACAGCAGGTGACTACTGGGTACTGTAGATGATTGGAACACATTGGTAAGTATTTGTGTATCTAAACATATCTAAACAGAAAAGTTACAGTAAAAATACAGTACTATAATCTTATGGGATGACCATTGTATAAAGCAGTTTGTCATTGACTAGAACATCATTATGCAGTACATGACTGTATTTAGACAAGAAAAATGGGAATCTTGGATGCCAGAGTAATACTCTTAATGATTCATAAAGCAGGAAAGGACCTGTAGGGACCCTCACATTCACTGTTTGTTTTATAGATGAAATAACTGAGGCCCAGATTGATGTGAATGCCTAAAGTCATATGCTTAGTGACAGTATGATAAGCCTAAGGCTGAAGAGAAGTAATATTTTGATTAGCTATGTTATTTCTATTTAAAGTTTGTGATCAATTTAAAGCATATTCTGGCATGTTCAATAATACTTGAGGAACAAGTAACTTGCTTTCTGTTTCACGCTAAGCTAGTTGTTATTTATGTGGCATATTGAAACATATTTTCCTTCTATTATGTACATCTGTTATGAATATAGAAGTGGCAGGGGGTAGGTACTGCTTTTACTGGTCTCTTCTGGTTCTGGTTGCATAGGAAGTAAACTAGCATCCCTCTCTGTCCCCTGGCAAATAATCAGAATTCAGCGATTCTTTTTCTACCCACTGATATTCCTGGATAGGCCATTGTGTGTATTAATCTCTTTAATATGGATTTCTGTTTTCACTTATGTTCTAGAATGGTGCTATCCAATTACTGTAGCCACCAGCCATATGTGGCATTTTAAAAAATTGTGGCAAAGTATGCATAACCTAAAATTTACCTTAGAAACCATTTTTAAGTGTACAGTTCAGTTGTATGAAGTACATTTATATTGTTATGCGACCATCATCACCATCCATCTCTAGAACTTTTTTCGTCTTGCAAAACTGAAACTCTATATCCACTAAACAATCAATCCCCATTCCCCTAGCCCCTGAGAAAACCACCATTCTACCCTGTCTGTGATTTTAACTACCTCAATCATGCAGCATATGCCTTTTTGTGACTGGCTTATTGCACTTAGCATAATGTCGTCAAGGTTCATCTATGTAGTAGCAGGATTTCATTGTTAAGGCTTGATAATATTCCACTGTGTGTATACACCACATTTTGCTTATCCATTCGTCAATGGACAGTGTTGCTTCCATGTTTGAGCTACTGGGAATAATTCTGCTATGAACATGGATGTATAAATATGTTAGAGACACTGGATTTGGCACTAATTTTTTGGATATGACACTAAAGGCAAGGCAACTAAAGAAAAAGACAAACGACTTTATAAAAATTTTAAAAATTGGTGCATCTAAAGACATTATCCTATTGATAATAACATTATCCTATTGATAATAAACAGGCAACCAGCAGAATAGGAGAAAATATTTGCAAATTGTATATATGATGAAGGATTGATATCCTTGATACAGAGAGAACTCCTAAAACCCAACAACGAGAAACCTGATTCAAAAATGGGCAAAGGACTTGAATAGACATTCTCCAAAGAAGATACACAAGGACATGAAAAGATGCCCAGCATCACTAATTATTAGAGAAATGCATATCAAAACTGAGATATCACCTTACACCCAGCAGGATGGCTGCTATCAAGAAAGCAGAAAACAAGTGTTGGCAAGGATGTTGAGAAATTGGAATCCTTTTCCTCTATTGATGGGTGGGAATGTAAAATGGTACAGCCACTGTGGAAAATAGTATGGCAATTCCTCAAAAAATTAAAAATAGAGTTACCATACGATGCAGCCATTCCACTTCTGGGTACACACCCAAAAGAGTTTAAATTTACTTACAATTATGTAGTACTTTAAAATTTAGTTACTCTTTGGGAGGCTGAGGTGGGCGGATCACGAGGTCAGGAGATCGAGACCATCCTCGCTAACATGGTGAAACCCTGTCTCTACTAAAAAAATAAAAAAAAAAAATTAGCCGGGCGTGGTGGCAGATGCCTGTAGTCCCAGCTACTCTGGAGGCTGAGGCAGGAGAATGGCGTGAACCCTGGAGGCGGAGCTTGCGGTGAGCCAAGATGGCGCCACTGCACTCCAGCCTGGGCAACAGAGCGAGACTCCTGTCTCAAAAAAAAATTTAGTTACTCTGTCAACAATAGCTACATTTCGAATGGTCAGTGGGGACTTGGAGTTAATGGCCGCCATCCTGAACAATGCAAATATGGAACAATTTCATCCTCAAAAGAAATTTCTACTGGATGGTGCTATTCTAGAAGGTTGGGATGTGGGGAATAAGCAGTTGCAAAATGCGCATTCTGCAAAATCACTTAAAAAATTAAAATATGTAATATTTTATCCATCTCCCTCATGCTTATCTCTTAAGTCCATGACACTAGGAAAGTTTAAGGAGAGAAATATATTTTTATTATAGGTGTGCTAAACTTGAATATTTGTCCCATTATATGCTCTCATATTGGGGCTGGAAGGGAGGTAAATGTGATTTAACTTCCAATACAACACCATCAAAATGCTTGCAATTTGGGCAAAAGCGGTCTGAGACCATGGCTTAATAGAAGCCTCAGTTCACATTGTTCTCTTTGGAAAATCTAGGAATGCTGTACTGTGAGATAATTAATGTTTCAGAAGTTTGTGTCACAATAGTCTTACATTTAAATTTTAGAAGTTTTTACATTGGTGAGAAAGGTCTTCTAAAATTTTATTTTAGAAACTAAACAATGAAAGAAATGGTTCTAATTGGAACTTTCCCTTGGGATCTAAGCTACTTCACATTATATTTACTTCTGATTTTTAATAATACCCTGTATGAAGTAGTGAAAAACTTGAAAAACATACATAACACAACTTTTTAAATGGAAGCTGACGTCTAACCATGGATACAAGGAAATTATTGGTAATCTCAAAGCAACTCAGTAGGTCTGCACGTGATTTCTCCAGATGCATTCTAAAGTATGGAAGATGGCAGGGTATGTAGGTCTCATAGAGTAGATGATAATCAGCATTTTTTGTTTTTATTTAAATGACTATCAGATTTACTTCAAGGGTCCCAGGCCACATTCTTCCAGAGCTGGTACTCATGCATAGTTGGCTCTAGTTGAACGATGCTCTAGTTGAAGAAGCTGCTACTGATATGTTTTCAATCCTGTTATAAAAGGACTTCTATTAATAAGCACTTTAAAATTTCTAGGTAGGGAGTATAATAAGTTGTTAGTTACCCACACTGATCCAACCCATTGACAGAATGACTTAGTTCAGACTTAGGCAAATCGTAGGGTGTAGAAGCTTTGCCCTCTAGTAAACCTGACTCACCAAACACTCCTCCCATCTTCTCATTAAGCACGTTGATACAGAAAACGCTTCTCTCTGTATCCTTTCTTCTTCCTCCTTTCTCTCAGCCACCATCTCAGCAACTGTGTCTTAGACAATCAGTTGAGTGGCTACTCACAGAAGCTGTGCTAGGCCTTATTGAGGCCCCTGTGTCCAGAGTGTTCAGTTTCCTTGGAGAAGATGGACTTAAAGAGGAATCAAAGGCTTCTAGGGAAGACAGCACCACTGTGTTGAAAAGGAAACTCAACCTTTTCTGTCATAAGGGAAACTGCAATATCCTTGGATGACATCGTTCTGACTGCAGGGGTAACCTGAATTCAACCTGCTTGTTAGGGAACCAGATCTGATGTGACATTTCTGACATCTAGCTACATGTAATGACTGCTGTCTCTGGTCATGCCCTTGTCTCCTGACCTGTTAATATTAGCCAAATTGATTGCCTGAACATTGCCAGTAACAGTGACTGGACCTCCCTGTCGATCTTACCACTCTTGCCAATGCCTGTAGCATATTCAGTTGGCATTAGGTTCCATGAAAGCAGTATCACACAATGTGAGATTGCTGTTTTAAATAATGGGTAGTACTGAAATATCTCCCACTGAATAAGAGGTTGGGAAGAGAGCCCTTCTTTAAGAATCTACTGCAGAATGAGTTTCAGAGTACCAAAATGTCTTAGAGATAGCAACATGAGACTTGATGTTGCGCATTAAATATTTAATTGCTTACAGAAATAAGATGAAGTGAGGGCCAGCAAGGAGAAAATAGAGTCCTTAATGACTATAAACACTGACAAATGAAGACTTAGTACCATTTACAATGGAATAATGAGGAAAACATAGGCGAAAATTTAATGTTTTCAACAGTCATATTGGTGGTATTCTGCCTGGTGTGTATGTAGCATATGATTAAACAAATGAGTACATATTGGATATTTTAATTCTATCGTCTCGAGTCCTTGGCAATCAGGTTTCTAAGAATGGAACAAGGTGGTAAGTTAAAGTAAAAACTTTGTGGTCTTTAATTTGAATTGGGAGTATCAATATGATGTCATGAGATATTTAATCTATGTGTCTATGTGTTCATGTATGTAACTGATCACTGAAAAGGTGTAACAAGAATGACCAACTGGGGGAGCATCCTTAGCACCTGGGTTTTGACCTTGAAATAGAATTTCTCATTAAAAGAAACCAAGGCATTTTGGAGATATGGCTGATTCCAGGTGTGGAGCGGGAAACGTGGGAGATGATCCTGAAAGAATTGTCATAGCAAGGAAGTGATCAAATGTTAGCAGGATCTTGTCAAAAGAATTCTGGAGGCGACTTGAAGTTCCCACTGGCCAAAAATGGACAGTTGGAGCTTCAATAATAATAGTTGGCAATGAATTGAAACTCACTGATATGTTTACACCCATGAATTAATAATATCAAAAGAGGAGGATGAGAGGGAATAAATTCATATCTTCTTGAAAACTGATGATAAAGAGAAAGAATCAAACATTTATTTGGCCTATCCTGTATGCACTTGACCACTAAGTATCCATATGGCAGATGAGGGGAAGTACCTCTATATAAAAGTTTCCGGCCGGGCGTGGTGGCTCACGCCTGTAATCCCAGCACTTTGGGAGGCCCAGGCGGTCGGATCACGAGGTCAGGAGATTGAGACCATCCTGGCTAACACGGTGAAACCCTGTCTCTACTAAAAATACAAAAAATTAGCTGGGCCTGGTGGTGGGCGCCTGTAGTCCCAGCTACTCGGGAGACTGAGGCAGGAGAATGGCGTGAACCCGGGAGGCCGGAGCTTGCAGTGAGCCGAGATCGCGCCACTGCACTCCAGTCTGGGTGACAGAGCGAGACTCCGCCTCAAAATAAATAAATAAATAAAAAGTTTCCAACTAATAATTGAAATTATTATCATCCACTTTATACTCCCCATTGATTTAATAAATCTGTGTATTAAGCATCAATGGCTGCTAGCATCATCAAAAGAGAACTAGATATTACATGCTTCCTGATGGAAGAAAACAAGACCTCTTATGGTCTTGTCAAAGCAATTGAACCTTAAATCTGAATCAGGCTTTGAATGTAGCTTCCAGAAAATATAAAGGATGGAGAGCTACATCCTGCCTATGAAATCAAGAAGACTCAGACCGAGAAACAACTTGTCAAAGGGTCTGGCTTTCTCAACAAATAACACTGTAAGGAAAAGAAAGGATTGGAGAGGAGCTCCATAAACTTGCCTATTATTTTATTTCAGCTGAGACTTGGGCATCATTTAAAACCAATGAAATAGTCAAAACTTAATTCTTTATTATTTTATCATATTTTACTATTATCTCTGCTTTTAAGGTTATTTCACAGATATTAAGGTACCTGTGTGGTGGAAATACTATACAATGGTGTACTTTACACTTTTTCCCAGTTCTACGTTAGTGACATCAAGGTGGTTTGAAATTGGCAGTTTGGTAGTGGCAGTATTTAGACCAAATCAGGGATGGTTTACTGTTTGGTCAATTTGTCTAGACTTAAAAAGGTGATGGGGAAAATGTTAATGCAGATTAAAATTTAAAATGTGTCTGTAGCTGTTACATGGTGAACAACACAAGAAATTGAGGAAATATTCTTCCAGTGTTCAAAAACTATGATCTGATTCAGCAAAGAAGCCAGATATATCATGGACAAATCAGTGAAGTTCTGACATGTGTTGATTGTCTTTTGTCTTATTTGTTAATGTAAATAAAAATATCAACCAACATTCATGCCAGATTACACTTGTGAACCAATTGCAATCACAGGATGGCTA
The DNA here is from genome assembly GCF_000001405.40 of Homo sapiens. NCBI lineage: Eukaryota > Metazoa > Chordata > Mammalia > Primates > Hominidae > Homo > Homo sapiens. The sequence continues at coordinate 31,797,010 of NC_000010.11, read as the reverse complement.
GAGATAGAAGAATTTGGGAAAAATAAAAAGATACTTTGTGAATAAATTGGTTATGTGGAATTAGCAATAAGGAGTATTATCTATTTTATTTATATTAGCTACATTTATTATACACTTATGTATGTGTGTGGATTTTGTGCCAGTTGTTAAACATTTACCAGCTCACCCCTGGAAACATGGCATGTAATAAATGTTAGTTGTTTTTATTAGTAGTATGGCAATAACACGATGCTGGTCCCTGCGAAGGGATAATGTTTCTAAAGACCAAATGTTTGGCAGGAAAGTAAACTGATCAAGATGACTTAAATTTTAAAGATGAGTTAAATTATATATGCCAAGAAAGGCCATCACTGAACTGAAAGAACTTATGTAACAGAAGCACTATGCAATACACAGAAGTCATCTTTACAATAAAGGCTGTTTGGGCCCAATATTTTACTTCCAGGTATCTATGAAAGGCAGAGCATTGAAAAAATAGAATGAACATCATGTCTTGTTAGAAATTAAATATCCCATAGATGCAGCAGAGGTTACAAAACGAACATGCAGAATTTATAACCATAAAATGGCCATCGATCCATTAGGTCCAAATGAAGTAGATTGAATAGGAAAGACAAGTTGTGTGATACCTAAATAAGACATTCATCTATAAAGAAATCCATAAATCTATGGATTAGGAGAATGATGAGCGTTTAAGTGTTGCTAAAAGGAAATATGTGACACTTAGGATAATTATATGATAACACTCACCTATTTGGAAAGATTTGGATGATGTTTGCTTAGTACGGATTATATTATAACAACAACATACACAGAAATGACCTGTAGGGTTAAGGGCCTTCAACCATCCTGACATCTGCTAAAAGTTGAGTCCTGGAATTGAGTCCCACCTTGTTTATGTTTTCAGAGGGGGAGTAGCTGTGTGCATTATTTTAATAAATAAAGAGCTAGTTGGTGGTCTGGGAATGACAGGATGCCTGGGAGACAGTGATTCCTGTATCTTACAGTTCATAATGGCAAGGAAATGAAATATGGGATTTAGTCAACCATGCATGGAGTCTGATTTCAGCAAACTCAGTGAAAATTCTTATGGCTCAAGAGGTTAAACTGAATTATTTGGAAAAAGTGAGATTTCAAGTACAGACGACCCTCCTTAGATTACACATTGGCAGTTTCAACCAACCAAGGATGGAAAATATTTTTTAAATAGCAAAAATAACCATACAACCATAAAAATGACACAAATAAGAATATGCTATAACAACTATATAACATTTACTTGTATTAAGTATTATAAGCAATCTAGAGATGATTTAACATATACAGATGTACAGAGGATGTGACTAGGTTATAGGCAGATACATTATTTTATATAAGGGACTTGGGCATCTGCAGATTGGGTCCTGGAACCAATCTCCAACAAATGTTGAGGGACAACTGTATACAAATAATGAAAGGCCAAGTGGGAAGAGACAGAAACTGAAATAACTGGTATGCTTGCATAGGAAGACCTCTGGTGAACACAGATTCCAAGGGATGAACTAAAGTTGACTGTGTGGAGCACATAAACTGATCATAAAAGAGTAAAAGTTTATAAAAATATTAGGAAGGTTAAAATTCCTAGTGAACTTTCAGAAAATGCTAGTCAACAAAGAATGCCATTAAATTATATTCAGATCCAGAAGTATGAGAAATGCTACATCTCCAATGAGCAGAATTTTATTTTATTTTATTTTATATTTTATTTTATTTTATTTTTTAAGACAGAGTCTCACTCTGTTGCCCAGGCTGGAGTGCAGTGGCATGATATCTGCTCACTGCAACCTCTGCCTCCGGGGTTCAAGTGATTCTCCTGCCTCAGCCTCCCAAGTAGCTGGGATTATAGGAGCCAGCCATCACACCCGGCTAATTTTTCTATTTTTAGTAGAGACAACGTTTCACCATGTTGCCCAGTCTGGTCTCGAACTCCTGGCCTCAAATTTTCCACCCACCTCATCCTCCCAAAGTGCTGGGATTACAGGCGTGAGCCACTGTCCCCAGCCAGAATTATCTTAAAACAGGGAAGGATAAAATAAATAATGTAGAGATGGGATAAAAAAGCAAAGAACAGCTATGGAAAGAAATGAAAAGTTTTCAATGCATCTGTCTCCAGGGCGAGGCCAACTACATTTTAGTATGTTTCTGCTTCTTGAAGAAATTGCAGATGGAATCCCAGAGCATGTGTCAATGATGTTTGGTAAATAATAGAGGAAATATTCAGAAGCATCAAGGTGAATACTTTTTTTCCAGTATAGAAAAAAGGTTTGCTCAATGGAAAGTATGCTACATATCCAATCTTAGATTCAGCAAAGCCTGTGGCAAAATTGCACATAATATCTTACGGATAAGGAGATAAAAACTTCAGCTTCTGGTACTTTTAAAGAAATACACAGCTGTCAAATAACTGTTGAGAGTGTTGATAAGTGGCTTGGTGGTATACTATGAGAATAATTGAGTGGTCCAAGACTTTGTCTTAATACCATGGTATTAAAACTTTATTAATGACTTAAAGCATAAAAATCTGCAGATGACAGAACTGGGACGATTAAGCAATGTGGCTCACAATCAATATGCAAAATTATATTAATCGACTTATGCTCCTGCAGTGGTTGATTAACTGATATCAGGTGATTCCTCCAACTGAGAACTAGAAAAGCTGATAATATTTTATTTATTTATTTATTTATTTATTGTTAATTTATTTAGAGACAGAGTCTCGCTCTGTCACCCAGGCTGTAGTGCAATGGCACGATCTCGGCTCACTGCAGCCTCCACCTCCTGGGTTCAAGCGATTCTTCTGCCTCAGCCTCCCAGGTAGCTGGGATTACAGGCACACACCACCATGCCCGGCTAATTTTTTTAGTAGATATGGGTTTTCCCCATGTTGCCCAGGCTGGTCTCGAACTACTTGCCTCAAGTGATCCGCCCAGCTCGGCCTCCCAAAGTGTTGGGGTTACAGGCATGAGCCACCGCTCCCTGGCCAGCTTACACTGCTTCTGTTCAGCTTCTTGACTCAGGATAACATTTTGTGATTCATCCAGATATTCGTATGTATCACAGTCTTTTCCTTTTTACTGCTGGTAGCATTACATTGTATGCCTACACTACAATTTATGTATACTTTCATCTGTTGGTATTTATGTTGTCAGGGGAGAAAACTTACTGAGAATGAGGCACAAGAATGGTAAGATGTGTCATATTTTGATAGGGATATGGGATATGCATTTGTTGAAACTCATCAAATTATACACTTCAGATCTGTGCATTTATCTGCATGAAAATTAGGCCACAATTAAAACAAGGGAAAATATATTGAAAATTTTAAAAAGTTACCTTCTCTGGAAGACTATAACATCATCCAGAATACTGCAGTGTTTGGCGTTCAATAATAAGCGCAGGCATGTAATAAAGCAATAATTGACCAAAATCAAGAGGAAAAGCAGACCATAGAAACAGTTATACATGAGATCCAAATATTGGACTTAATCCAAAGCTATGATTAATATGTTCAAGAAATTATATGAAAATATTAAGAATTTCAGCAGGAAACTAAAAATTACAATAAGATTTAAGTGGAAATTCTGAGACTGAAAAATAGAGTAATTGAAATTAAGAATTTAATAGATGAGTTTGCAGATAGATTAGACAAAACTAAAGAGGCAAGCCAGAAGATATGTCAAAGAAATAGCCAGACTGAAACTCAAAGGCAAAAAAGGATTAAGAAAAAAAAAAAAAAGAAAGAAATGACTGTAAGGGTTATATGCGACATGGCAAAAAAATAATAATAATAATAATAACATACATACAGTGATAGTTCCAGGAAAGGTGGGACAGAATATGAGAAAAGCACTATTTGAAGAGATAATGGCTGAGAATTTTCCAAAATAGATTTAAAAATTATTAAGCATAGATTGAGGAAGTTCTACAAACCAAAGCAGGATAAAGACAAAACCACATCTTAGGCACATCATAGGGGAACTCCCCAAAAATATAGCCAAAAGAAAAAAGGACATATTACTTTTAAATGAGCAACAATAAGATTGACAGCTGACTTTTAAACAAAAACTATAGAATGCTGAAATTAAACTGCCAATCTGGAATCTATACTTAACAGTAATATCCTTCACAGAGGAAGAATAAAAAAGATAATTTTCAGAAGAATAAAAATGGAGAGAATTCGCCACTAGCAATTTTTTCCCTGGCATACAATTTAAATGCCAGTTAGAAGTTTCTTGATAAATGAAAGAGTAAATGCAGTTCCCTAGGCAAAAGAAACATGATCCCAGGTGGAAGCATGGAGATTAAGGGAAAAAAAATGAAAAGTATGAAAGGGTCAATATATGAATTGTGGGGCATTTGTGTGTGTGTGTGTGTGTGTGTGTACTCTCACATGGCTATGATACATTACAATAATACAAGTGATGAGAGACAAGTAAATAAAGTCAAAATGTTCTGAGGTATTAGCATTGTTTAGGAAGTCATATTTATAAGGAATTAAATGCCCATCAATGACAGACTGGCTAAAGAAAATGTGTCATATATACACCATGGAATACTATGCAGCCATAAAAACAATGAGATCATTTCTTTTGCAGGAACATAGTTGGAGCTGGGGACCATTATCCTTAGCAAACTAACACAGGAACAGAAAACCAAATACCGCATGTTCTTACTTACAAGTGGGAGCTAAATGATGAGAACTCATGGACAAAAAGAGGGGAACAACACACACTGGGGCCTGAGGGTAGAGGGTGGGAAGAGGTAGAGGATCAGAAACAATAACTACTGGGCTAGGCTTAGTACCTGGGTAACAAAATAATCTGTACAACAAACCCCCATGACAGGAGTTTACCTGTGTAAGAAACCTGCACAGGTACCCCTGAACCTAAAAGTTTAAAAAAGAAAAAAAGGAAAATACTAGTTTATATTAGATTTACTAAGTCAAGAGTCATTTAATTTCTAGGGTAATTATAAAAGCCAAGAAACTGTAGTAAAGGAAAGTGAAACGTTGAAAAGCCACAAATTTGAAAGAAGGCGAAATAAATAGTGGGGAGAGAAAGAATAATGTAGGTTAGGTGGGAAAAATGGAAAATAAATAGTAAGATGCTAAGTTCAAAGATAAAAATATGTACATGAAATTTAAATAAGCTAAATGCTTTACTTAAAAGTTTATGATACTGGCCAGAACACAAAACTTACATATATACTGCTTATAAGAGTCATGCCTTAAATATTAAAATACAGAAAGGTTTAATGGAAAAGAAATATCACGTAAACTTTTTTTTTTGTTTTTTGTTTGTTTGTTTGTTTTTAGGTGGAGTCCTGCTGTGTCACCCAGGCTGGAGTGCAGTGACACAATCTCAGCTCACTGCAAACTCCACCTCCCAGGTTCAAGTGATTCCCCTGCCTCAGCCTCCCAAGTAGCTGGGACTACAGGCACGTGCCAACATACCTGGCTAATTTTTGTATTTTTAGTAGAGACGAGGTTACATCATGTTGGCCAGGCTGGTCTTGAACTCCTAACCTCAGGTGATCCATCACCTCGGCCTCCCAAAGTGCTGGGATTACAGGCATCAGCCGCCGCACCCGGCCTGTCATGTAAACTTTAACAAAAGGAATCTATTGCTTCAAGGCAAAAAGCATTCCTAGAGATAAAGAGAGATATTTTATATTGATAAAAGGGCCAGTCTTCCAGGAAGATACAAAAATTCTAACTTGTATGCACCTAGTTACATAGCCTCAAAACATGGAAAGCTAAAACTGACAAAACTAAAAAAAAAAAAAAAAAAAAAGAAAGACAAATCTACAATCACGGTAGGAAATTTTAACACATCATTCTCAATAAATGATAGAACACACTGACAAAAATCAGCAAAGATATAAAAAATTTGAAAGCACCAGTAATTAGTATGCCCTAATTGATGTGTAGAACGCTGCATGCAACAATATTAGAATGCACCTTCACTTAAAATGCATATGAGACATTTACCCAAACTGATTGTATGTTGGATAATGAAGTGTCAACACATTTCCGTGAATGCGGTATGCTGTCTGACTATGGTGAAATTAAGCAAGAAATCGGTATCAAAAAGATAACTATACAAGTCACATGGGCTTGGAAATTAGGCAACATACTTTTAAATAACCCATGGGTCTAAGAATAAATAGTGATGGAAATTAGAAAATACTTTAACTGATTTATATTGAATATATGACAGTTTACCTCATGAAAATAAGCGAAGAACAGCAAATTAAACAGAAAGAAGTAGGAGGAAAATAATGAAGTTAAAAGTAAGAAAAACAACTGAATAGAAAATAGATATACAATATAAAGGATGGCTGAAGACAAAAGATAATTATTTGAAAAAAAAATAAAATTGATAAATCCATGGCCAGAGAGAGATGGAGACAGAGATAACATATAACAAATATTAAGAATAAAAAACAAGAGTGAACATCATTACAAACTCTAGAGACATCTAAAAGGTACTAAGAGGACTTTATGGAAATAGTTATGCCAATAAATATGAAAATTTAAATAAAATGAAAAAATTCCAGGAAAAAAATACTAAGATTGACAAAGGAAATAGAAAATCTGAATGATATCTATCACAAAAATCAGCTTCATAATTAAACAACTTTCTGCAAAGAAAAGTCCAGACCCAGGTGGCTTCACTGGTGAATTCTTCCAAACATTGAGGGAAGAAATAACAATTATATACATATTTTTGCAGAGAATTAAAAAAGAGGGGACAGTCCTTGCCCATTTTTTGAGGCCAGCAAAACCTCATACCTAACAAGAACACGACAAGAAAGGAAAATTATAGTCTAATCTCTCTCATAAACATTGCTGCAATTCTAAACAAAATATTAGCAAATCAAATCTTATTATTTATAAGAAACATAGTGCACCATGACTAAGCTAGATTTATTTCAGAAATATGTTTTGGTTTAATAGTTGAAAACCAATCAATATAACTTACCACATTAACATAACTAAAGAGAAAAATCATCAGATCATCTTAGTAGATACAAAAATAACAGTGAATATAATTAAACACCATACATAATAAAAACTCTTAGCAGCCTAACAGAATGGAACTTCCTAATCTGATATAGAATATTTTAAAAATTTACAGCAAACATCATACTTAATGTTTAAATTTTGAAAGCTATTCCTAAGATTGAGAATGAGACAAGGATGTCAGTCACCATGACAACTCAACACTTTACAGGAAGTCCTAGACAGTGCAACACGCAAGAACAAAATTAAAGGTGTAATGATCCAAAACCAAGATATGAAACTGTCATTTTTTTTTTTTTACAAAAAAACAACATATAATAAACTAATAGAATTAATGAATTTAGTAAGGTCAAGTGAGTACAAAAGCAATATAAAAATCAATTGTACTTTTTATGTCAGCAATAAACTGTTAGAAAATAAGACTTAAAAGTGATCTATTACCATAGCCTCAAAACACATCACATATGTAGAATTAAATGTAACGAAGATGTGCAAGGCCTTACACAGCAAACTACAAAACATTCTAGGGACAAGTTAAAGAAAACCGAAAGAAATGGAAAGGTATACCTTGCTCATATATTAGAAGTCTCCGTTCTCCACAACATTAATTTATAAATTCAATGCAATCCCAATTAAAACCCTGGTAGAGGCCGGGCACGGTGGCTCACGCCTGTAATCCCAGCACTTTGGGAGGCCGAGGCGGGCGGATCACGAGGTCAGGGGATGGAGACCATCTTGGCTAACACGGTGAAACCTCGTCTCTACTAAAAATACAAAAAATTAGCCGGGCAAGGTGGCGGGGGCCTGTAGTCCCAGCAACTCGGGAGGTTGAGGCAGGAGAATGGTGTGAACCCGGGAGGCACAGCTTGCAGTGAGCTGAGATAGCCCCACTGCACTGCCTGGGTGACAGAGCAAGACTCTGTCTCAAAAAAAAAAAAAAAAAAAAAACAAAACCCTGGCAGATTCGTTTCTGGAAATGGTCAAGGCTGATCCTAAAATGTGTATGGCATCAAAAAGAACTTAGAACAGTCAAAAGTATGTTGAAGGAGGGTAAAGTTTGAAAACTTCTATCAGATATCAAAACAGATATCAAAACTTACCCTAAAGAATGCTTGTCCAACCCACAGTCTACCAACTCCAAGCGGCCCAGGACGGCTTTGAATGCAGCCCGACAGAAATTTGCAAACTTTCTTAAAACATTATGAGATTTTTTGCTGTGATTTTTATTATTATTATTTTTTAGCTCATCAGCTATTGTTAGTGTTAGTGTATTTTATGTGTGGCCCAAGACAATTGTTCTTTCAATGTAGCCCAGGGAAGCCAAAAGATTGGATGCCCTGCTGTACAGCTACAGTAATTTAATATTAATATAAAGATACAGACAGAACAATTGAACAGAATAAAGACTAGAAAAACATCTAAACATATTACTAATTATCTAAACATATTACTGATTTTCAGTAATGAAAACCAGTTAACTACTGACACGTATTACCTATATGAATCTCACAAACAATGTTGAATGACAGACTGAAGACAGAGGTTATACATTCCATTTCAAAATTTCAAAAACAGCAATCAAGACCAGTGTCAAAAGTTAGCATAGTGATTACTTCTGAATACTGTTAGAAGATAAACTCAGATAACCAGGAGATTAATGAGAAAAACAATAAAAAATGGCAGTAAGCATTGAATCAAATTACTTATAGGAGGCCAAGACTAATATAGGGATTATGATTTGAAAATTGAATGTTGGAGTTGTAGACCTTGATAATAGAATAGATACATAACTATCTATATAGAGAGAGGCTGAGGTATGAGAATCGCTTGAACCTGGGAGGCGGAGGTTGCAGTGAGCCGAGATTGTGCCACTGCACTCCAGCCTGGGTGCCTCCAGCTAGAGTCTGTCTCAAAAAAAAAAAAAGTTATGAATAACTGTGCACCAGATAACAGAGCATCAGCATTCACAGAGAAGAGCTATAGGGGAAACAAGAAAAAATATAGAAAACACTGCATCTTAATTATTTAATTCATGTGTTTTAGTTCATTAAACATCGAGGACCAAAATTAAGTAAGACTAAAAAATACCTAAATATCATAATTGATAAGGTAGAAATATGTGTGTGTATGTCTGAACATAACAACTCATTGTTTTTTAAGTGGCAATGAAACATTCATACAATTTTTCCATAAGGCCTCAAAGAAGACTTCAGTGAATTCTCAATGGTAGTGAATATAGACATTCTCTGATCACAGTACACTAAAGTACAAAGCAGAAACCAGATCAGGAACAAAAATTCTACTGCTTTGATGTTAAAAACCTCTCAACTCAGCTCTTGAGTCAAAAAGGAAAATTTGGCCAGGCACGGTGGCTCACACCTGTAATCCTAGCACATTGGGAGGTGAGGAGAGAGGACCACTAGAGCCCAGGAGTTCAAGATCAGCCTGGGCAACATGGTGAGACCTAATCTCTGCAAGAAATTTAAAAATTAGCGAGAAGTGGTGGCATGCACTACAGTAGTCCCAGCTACTCCAGAGGCTGAAGCAGGAGGATCACTTGAGCCCAAGAATTTGAGGCTGCAGTGAGCTATGATCACACCATTGTACTGCAGCCTGGGTGACAGAGCAAGAGCCTCTCTTGAAAAAAAAAAAAAAAAGAAAAGAAAAGAAAGAAAAAAAAGAAAAGCTTGGCTGACATTACTGAATATATAAAAAAACAAATGATAAGAAAACTCTATCAGAACTTATGGGTGCTCAGAAGAAAAGGTATAGCCTTATTTATTAATAAATACATGACCTAACTTAAGAATATACTAAAAGAACATTAAAAATAAACCCAAGGTAAGTAAAATAAAATAATTTGTAAACATAAATTTGAACTTAATTAATTAGAACACAGAAAAATGGTCTAACTAATAAGTTGACTGGAGAGCTGGCTCTTTGAAGGAAAAAATTAACGAAATAGAAGGGATAAACTGTTACCTAACTTGTCTGGGTCAATGCAAAATGTAAATATTTTAGTGCTTCCTTATTATTATTTAATAAAATCTGTGATGTAATTATATAAACAGGCTTGAAAAGTTGCCTCTTGGGGTTATTTAATGTTCACTTTCTTATCTCTAGCAAAATTAACCAAAGTTGTGTAGCTAGATGGCATATTGTTTTAATGGTCTCTGGAAAAGTGGATACACATTCAGAGCCAATTCTAGTGGGCAAAAACACATATTCAAAAATTAAACTTTTAACTTTTAGGGTGGCTCATTGGCTGTAATCCCAGCATTTTGGGAGGTTGAGGCAGGAGGATCGCTTGAGGACAGCAGATTGAGACAAGCCTGGGCACCACAGTGAGACCCCTTCTCTACAGAAAATACAAAAATTAGCCAGGTGTGGTGCTGCATGCCTGTAATCCCAGCTATTCCAGAGTCTGAGGTGGGAGGATCGCTTGAGCCCAGGAGTTCAAGGCTGCAGTGAGCTATGATCACACCATGGGACTCCAGCCTGGGTGATAGAGCGAGACCCTGTCTCTAAAAAATAATAATAACGAACTTTTAAGATTTAATTTAGACTGGACATGGTGGCTAATGCCTGTATTCGCAGCTCTTTGGGAGGCCAAGGCGGAAGAATCACTTGAGACCAGGAGTTGAAGACTAGCCTGGGCAACACATTAAGACCCCTATTGCAGTGGCCTGTGCCTGTGGTCCCAGCTACACAAGAGGCTGAGGTTGAGGTTGAAGGATGGTTTGAGCCCAGGAACTCACAGCTGCAGTGATTGCATGACTGCACTCCAGCCTGGATGACACAGTGAGACCCAGTCTCAAAAAAAAGAAAAAAAAAGAAATTTAGTTATACTAGGTTTAAAAGTCAAAATGATATTAAAAGATATATAATACATGAGAAATTTCACTCCCACCCTGTTCTCATTCACTCCATGTCCCACTCCAGGTCACTATTTTATTCTTGTTATCACTTCAGTATTTATACAAATATAAGCAAACTGGTATTTTATTCCCGTCTTTTCTTTAAAAAATTTTATTTTGAAATGATTTCAAACTTATAGAAAAATTTCAAGAATAGTGCAAAGAACTCCCATATATCTTTCACCCTGTTCCAGCTGACCACTTAGTCATTCTCTCACTTCTCTCTTATATGTGCTATATGTTTTATGTTTCAGAATGTATTTCTTTCAAAAACATACTCAGTTGCATATCTGCAGACAATGATCAAAATCAGAAAACTTAACTTGATACACTACAATACTACTATGTAGAGTCTGAATTCAAACCAAATATTTCCAGAATTTCCCTTTTACTAATTTAATTTTTTAAGGCTCCAATTCAGGATCATGCATTGCGTTTTCGTGTCTTTTCAGTCTCTTTGAATATGTACAGTTTCTTTAGTCTTTTTTCTTCCCACTTTTTGGTCTTTCATGACTTGACTTTCTTGAAGAGTTCAGGTCATTTCTTTTGCAGAATATCCCGCAACCCAAGTTAGGCCTATCTGATAAGATTCAGGTGAAATGCAGATTGTATCTTCTCAGCCTAGCACATCAGAAGGTATATGATGTGAGATTTTCCCTTATTAGTGATATTAACCTCATGAATCAAGGAAATGGCATCAAACTAATACCATTGTATTCTTCACGTACTTGAAGAAAAAAAAAGGCAATTTCATTTAAAAATGTCAATAATGAAGCAATACATTTTTAGTTTTCTCAAATTTTTACTTGTGTGTTGAAATATGAAGTGCACATAAAACATTTCTTTTCTTTTCTTTTTTCTTTTTTTTTTTTTTTGAGACAGAGTCTTGCTCTGTCGCCCAGACTGGATGGAGTGCAGTGGCACAATCTCGGCTCACCATAACCTTTGCTTCCCGGGTTCAAGCGATTTTCCTGCCTCAGCCTCCCGAGTAGCTGGGATTACAGGCGTGTGCCACCATGCCTGGCTAATTTTTGTATTTTTAGTAGACACGGGGTTTCATGGTATTGGTCAGGCTGGTCTCGAACTCCTGACCTCGTGATCCACCCACCTTAGCCTCCCAAAGTGCTAGGATTACAGGCATGAGCCACCATGCCTGGCCACATAAAACATTTTTACCGTAGTATGATGATTATCTCGAGGAAGTTACTTTTTTTTTGAGAGGGAGTCTTGCTCTGTCACCCAGGCTGGAATGCAGTGGTGTGATCTCAGCTCACTGCAGCCTCTGTCTCCCTGGCTCACACGATCCTCCTGCCTCAGCCTCCTGAATAGCTGGGACTACAGGAGTGTGCCACCATGCTCAGCTAATTTTTGTATTTTTTGTAGAGGCAGGGCTTGGCCATGTTGTCCAGACAGGTGTCGAACTCCTAAGCTCAAGCCATCCTCCTGCCTCGGCCTCCCAAAGTGCTGGGATTACAGGTGTGAGCCACCACACCTGGCCAGAAGTCACTTTTTGAGTCACAAACTGAACTAGCTACTTTTTCATGGAGGATCATTTTTTATTTGAAAGAATTACGGACAATCTCTGGTTACTCAGACTCCGATAACTGGCAGATGCTTTCTCAAAAACAAATGAAGTGATCCTGTCACCTTAAGGGAAAGGACCAGGAGTATTTGTTAATGGCAAAATTCAGGCTTTCAAGAGAAAACTAGAATTTTAAAAACTTGTATTCACCACAATGAGCTGACAGCTTCTCAGTATTCAAGGCTGGTTGGGATGAGATTACTGGAAATATTAACAAATCTGATTTTTAAAATGTTGTATAATGAGATATGTCAACCTTTGGAAGGTCAACACAATGTGGTGAACCAGTTCGTATTAAAGGAGAGCAATGCGCGCGTGATAGTATACATGATGGATAAAAAAGCCATTCAAATTGCAAGATAGAATGGTGGGTTATAATTTAATAAAGCATGAAAAGTTCATTGATATGGTTTCAGATTCCACTTGTCACATTTTATTGTTATGAAAAATATCTATAATTATCTAAAAAGGTTATTAAAATACTCCTCCCTTTTCCAGTTACATATATGTGTGAAGCTGGATTTTCCCCCGTATTCTTCAATCAAAGCAACAGCTTGAATGTGGAAACAGCTACGAGAATCTTGCTGTCTTCTATTAATGCAGATATTAAAGAAATTTACAAAGTGTATAAAGTAATATCTATATTTTGTTTTAAAAAACTAGTTTTCATAAAATATTTATATTAATGTGAAATAGGCTTATTTTCAATTAATACATTAAAAATATGTAAAAAACTTTAAAAATAGTTTTTCCATTTTAATTTCAAATATGGTAAATAGCAATAGATAAAATCTGCATAAACACAACTTTTGAAACCCTTCATAATTTTTAAGAGGGCAAAGTGTTCCTGAGACCAAAAAGTTTGAGTACTATTGGTCCATGATGTAAGTTGTTGATTTTTTTGCCAGTTTGTCATTTTTCTCTCGATTTTTTCTTTTTGTCATATAGTCATTTTTTATTTTTATATAGTTGAATTTATTATTCTTTTCTTTAAAAAAAGTGTCTGGATCTTGACCTGTGGTTAGATCTTCCCTCACTCCATGGATAAAAAGGAATTTACCTGTGTTTTCTTATGATTCCATGTTTCACTTTCTATGTTTCTAAATATATAAAATATCTGTCCTACCCAGTTATCCCAACTTAAAAGTCATCTTTGCCCCACCGGCTTGTGATGACACCTTTATCACATATTGAATTTCCATATGTTGGTTCATCTTAGTACTTCCTGTTTATACTATTGGTCTATAATTCATATGCTCATGTTATACCATTTATTGAGACTTCATGGAATATTTTGCTAGCTTGTAGAACTTGTCTTTCTCCCTCCCCCATTACTTATCCTTTCAATAACTTTCTTGACTTATTTGTTCATTTTTTCATGTGAATTTTGGATCACCTACAGATCAGTTTCTCCTACAGGTTTTAGTTCTCATCCAGGGTCATTGGTGCCTTAGCCCAGGCTTTGCTGCTGGCAATACAACCAATAGATAAGGCTTGTTACTTATGCTCAGGGCTACGGGAAGCTGTGGCATATACAGGGACATGCCCTGTTGGCTCCTGCCCAAGTGCTATGAGAAGCAGGATAGTGAACATTCTGCTTGTGTTTGATTTGTTTATATTCGGCAGCAGAGGGTCAACTGAGTGGAATACAGCATTGATTATTATCTGAATTCAATGCAACTAAATGTAAAAATTCCACAAGCCTGAATTCACAGCAATGGAACACTTATCAATTTCAACTTTTATTTTAGATTCAGGGTGTACACGTGCAGTTTTGTTACCTGCGTATATTGTGTAATGCTCAGGTTTGGGGTATGGATGATCCCATCACTCAGGTAGTGAGCATGGTACCTGATAGTTTTACCACCTTTTCGCTCCTCCTTCTTCCCGCCCTCCTCTTCTAGTCACCAGGGAAGCTACTTCTTGACATGGTTCCATGTTCTCTGACTTGACTGATGGTCTGACCATCAGACAGCTGCTCTCAGATCTGAGAGATACTTTGTCTCTGAGATGCCCCGGGGATGAATATGATATATAAATGCATAGTTATACTTTTTGAGAACTTGGAATAGTTAGGCGTTAGGTTCAGCTAAATTGTTTCCCTGACTCTGAGTGTGATGAGAAATGAAATATTGTTTAGTGAGTGTTATTGACAATAGCATAGAATGAAAAGGTAGAAAAATTCAGCAAGTGCTTTGTTTTCTGTGGACTGTATCCCTCACTACAGCTTTATTATTATTGATACTTCTATTATTATTACTGATTTTTCTCTGTGGTGGAATGAGCTAGGATTAAACTTATAAGGCCTTAGAAACTGCATTTTAGCCACTGCTGGCATTGATGTTGTTTTAATTATTATCTTTTTGCTTCTAAGGAACACCATCTTAAAACCGAAGCAACTGGACTCAGTGGTTCACACCTGTAATCCCAGCACTTTGGGAAACAGATGCGTGAGGATCGCTTGAGCCAAGGAGTTCAAGGCCATCCTGGGTGACACAGCATGACCCTGTCTCTATAAAAAACAAAAAATAAGCTAGGCGTGGTGTCACACACCTGGAGTCCCAGCTATTAGGGAGCCCAGGAGTTCGAGGCTGCAGTGAGCAGAGATTGCACCACTACACTCCAGCCTGGGCAACAGATCAAGATGCTGTCTCAAAAACAAAACAAAACAAACAAACAAACAGACTAAGAAACCTTCACTCCCCATCACCCAAAACCATGAAGCTGATTTCTTTGGTAGCTGGTTACAGGGGAGACAGTGGTAAAAGTAGAAACATTTAAATCACATTTGAAGAATAAGAAATCTAACATTTTTTTTTCAGGGTTGTATTGCCCTATTCTTCTAGAACAGATCATTGCGAAGAAATTTTCCCCATATGAAATAAATATTTGCATTTGAGACCTATCTCAAACAACTTGCCTGTGTTCAAAAACTCCATTTCTGAAAAGTTCAACAGGCAATGGGATCTATTAACACTCTTGTCCCAGTCACCTTTGGATGAACATATACCTGGGTTTCGGGCATCAGCTTATGTGTAACACTGACTGACACATCCCATATTGACATGAGATTTTTAGTGACTTTGTCCTACATTGTTTTGGGTTGGAATCACCAATACAGAACTGTCAACTCAGTTTAAAATGACTACATTTTGCATGACATTCTCAAGGGAAGGAGAAAAACATCTTTCATTTAGTGAAGATAGAAGTTGTTTGTCCAGAGAATGCCCTGTTTCCCTTCAATTCACCTGAATGCCGTGATAAATCTGCCGAGAGTTCTGATTGTCACACCAATCATCAATAAAAGACACACGGTCTCTTTCTCCAAGTTGCCGAGTCTGCTTTAAACTTTAATAGTACTATTTTTATTAGCTCCACTGCTTAAAGCTTTTCTCTAAGAGAATAGATATATTTTATTGAGAATAATTGTGCTGCCAGGTAATGGAAAATAAACATTAAACACTGATAGTATCATCCTCTTGACTCGTCTAATTTTCCTGGTTCATAATGCATTGTGGCTAGACTGATGAAATCAAACTGCAGTGGTAAATTACCTGTCAGATTGATTTGTCTGCTCTGTTCATTATCTTTGGTGAAAGTATGCTGAGATGGTTGTGTGTGTGTCTATGTGTGTGTGAATTTTGATTTCCTTGAACTTCAGATAGGAGTTAAAAGTGCTTCTTGGCAAAAAGTAAACTTAGTATGTGCATGTTCAAAATAAAATAGCTACCCACTCATAACCTAGTCAGATGTTCAAAAAATAATCTTCATGCTCCTTCTGTTTTGATTTTTCTTGCTTATGATGATGAATCTTAGGGTTATAGAAACAGTAGTGAAAACCCTTGTAATTGTCACTCTTCTCTACCATCCAAAGGAATGTTGAGGGCATGCCTGCACAACACATCACTAGGCTAGGCACTGAACACAGAGGGCTTTCCTGCTCCATGGGTGATTGAAATTGAAAACTGCTTTGCTCTGAACATATGAAGACCTTCCAAGAGCAAAATGGTAATTGTAAACTGAGTCCATAGTAGACTGAAATAGTTCTATTCAAAACTAGAAGTGTAGTCAAAGTGTAGCTCTATACAAAAACTTCGGAAACAATACATTTGGATCTGGAGGCAGTGAAAAAACTTTAAAGTTAAAAGAGTGTTATTTATTTATTTATCCTTTATTATAAAAATAGAGACAGAGCCTTGCTGTGTTGCCCAGGCTGGTCTCAAACTCCTGGGCTCAAGTGCTCCTTCTGCCTTGACCTCCCAAAGTGCTGGGATCACAGACGTAAGCCACTGTGCCTGTGCCTGGCCAAAAGATCATTATTTATTTATTTATTATTTTTTATTGAGACAAGGTCTCTCTCTGTCACCCAGGTTGGAGTGCAGTGGTGCCATCATAGCTTGTTGCAACCTTGACCTCCTGGGCCCAAGCAATCCTCCCACCTCAGCCCCCTGAGTAGCTAGGACTACAGGTGCATGCCCCCATGCCTAGCTAATTTTTAATTTTTTTTTGTAGAGATGAGGTCTCACTATGTTGCCCAGGCTGGTCTTGAACTCCTGGCTTCAAGTGATCCTCCTGCCTTGGTCTCCCAAAGTGCTGGGATTCCAGGCGAGAGCCATGATGCCTGGCCCCAAATTTCTTCATTGGAGTCAAAGCAAGTTTCCTGAGCTTTTAGGGCTTCAGTTTCTTCCTGTGTAGAATGCAGACAAAAACATCTTCTTCACAGTTTTTAAAATAAGGATTAAATGAGATAACGCATTTGAAGCACTTTGCAAAGTGCCTGGCTTATAGTAAGTATGCAATAAGGGTTTGCCATATGGCACAATTTGATATCAATTCAGCTACCAACCTATCATAAAATTCCTTACATTTTTAATATATTGGGTTTCAGTTGTTTTTTTTTAAGACAGTCTTGCTCTGTCACCTAGGCTGGAGTACAGTGGTGTGATTTCAGCTCACTACAACCTTTCCCTTCCAGATTCAAGCGATTCTTGTGCCTCAGCCTCCCAAGTAGTAACTGGGATTACAGGCATGCACCACCATGCCCGGCTAATTTTTGCATTTTTAGTAGAGAAGGGGTTTGGCTATGTTGGCCAGGCTGGTCTCAAACTCCTGGCCTCAAGAGTTCTGCCTGCCTCGGCCTCCCAAAGTGCTGAGATTACAGGCATGAGCCACTGCACCCAGCCAGGTTTCAGTTGGTTCTTATAAGAACCTTGCTAGGTACTTGGGGTAGGTCTCACCATTCCTTTACACAAGAGGGATAACTAAAATGCAGAAAGCTCAGTGCCTGGCAAGGGGCACAAAGTAAGTGGCAAAGTTAGGAGACCCCATGTCTCCTGAGCCTTTGCAATTCATCCATTCAAAAATGATTTTGAGTACTTTCTATGCATTCTGCACTGGAATTTATGATGAATATTACCAAGTACATTTCTTGCTTTTAGAGAATTTATAGTCTCCTGAGTGAGGAACAGAGATGTTAATCAAATAATCCTACTTATAAATGTATAATTCAGAACTGATTTAAGCACTCTAAAAGCAAGGAACATAGGCTTATAGAGGTCTGTTGACAAAAGGACCTGGTTTAGACTTGAGTCAGAGGAAGCTTCTCTGGGAAAATTCTCCTGGAGCTGAGGTCAGGAGGGTGAGGAGGAGTTAGCTGGGCACAGAGAGAAAGTGGAGCCCATGGGAGAGGCCCAGGACAGGAGACCTGGTGGCCTCCAGGAACTGGGAGGAAACAGGGAGGATGGAGGAGAGAGCAGAGTGCGGGGTGGGGTGGGGGTGACGGTGGAGGGGGTAATGACAGTGACGGTGGTGGCAGCTGCTAATTTTTATTGACCTTGTTCTTGCCAAATGGGTTGGGCCCATCTGGGGTCGCCCTATACCAAATTCTTAGCTTGGGTTTCCCAGTGAATCTAGGTTGCCAATTCATTCTAGGGCCAGGGTCTAGGCATGAGGCGTTCCCTTTCCTTTTCTCCCTGCCTTTCTTGCTGTGGAGAGGACCTGTGCCTCCTGGGTGTGAGTGCATGCATGAGGAGTGTGGGTTTACTATGAGCCATCCTAACCCTGAGAATGCAGGCCTCAAGGTGGGGAGGGTTTTTTGATCAGTTCTCTGTATCTTGACTGGGCCCCAGTTCTGTTCCATTGTTGAAGAGGCTGGTAAAGCCTAAGGCCCAAGCTTGCCCACCATACCCTCAGTGTGCAGGGAAAAAGCAGCCCTGATGCTTCGAGGTTCTGCTACTTCTCTGGGTTCCTACGTCCCCTTAGGTTCTAGCCTAGTAGTTACTTTCCAGTCAGCTTATTGATGCTTTTAAAGAGTTTATTTCTATTTTATCCCGTATTTTCTTTTCAGAGGGCAGCTCAGTCTGGAAATCTGGCATGCTACCACAGAAATCAGAAGTCCAGGCTGGGCACGGTGGCTCACCCCTGTAATCCCAGCACTTTGGGAGGCCAAGGCGGGTGGATTACCTGAGGTCAAGAGTTCAAGACCAGCCTGACCAACATGGCAAAACTCCGTCTCTACTAAAAATTAAAAAAAAAAAAATAGCAGGGCATGGTGGCACACGCCTGTAATTCCAGCTACTCGGGAAGCAATTCTCCTGCCTCAGCTGGAATTACAGGCGTGCGCCACCACGCCCTGCTGAGGCAGAGAATTGATTGAACCTGGGAGGTGGAGGTCACAGTGAGCCAAGATTCCGTCACTGCACTCCATCCAGGCTGGGTGACAGTGTGATTCTGTCTCAAAAAAAAAAAAAAAAAAAAAGAGAGAGAGAGAGAGAGAGAGATAAATAAATAAATAAATAAATTAATTAATTAATCAGAAGTCCACCAGACTGCATTGCTTGCTTTTCTCTCAGCCTGTGGAATCCTTATTAACCTAGCAGTGAGGAAATAGACAGAAATATATGTATCTTCCCCCACTGAGGAGTTAAGTAACTGAAGAATTGTTCTATTGCAATAAAATATACATAACGTAGAATTTACTATTTTAGCCATTTTTAAGTGGACGTTAAGTGTACAGTGGCATTAGGTGCATTTGCAATGCTGTGCAGCCATCAGAACATCTACAGAACCTTTTCCAATCACCTAAACAGAAACTCTACCCAGTCCAGGCCTGGTGGCTCATGCCTGTAATCCCAGCACTTTGGGAGGCTAAGGAGGGCAGATCACTTGAGCTCAGAAGTTCAAGACCAGCCTGGGCAACATAATGAGACTCCTTCTCTATGAAAAATACAAGATTATCTGGGCATGGTGGTGCACGCCTGTAGTCCCAGCTATTCAGGAGGCTGAGGTGGGAGGATTGCTCGAGCTGGGGGGGCAGAGGTTGCAGTGAGCAGAGAGAGCCTCCCGAGTTCAAGTGATTCTCCTGACTCAGCCTCCTGAGTAGCTGGGATTATAGGTGCCCGCCACCATGCCTGGCTAATTTTTGTATTTTTTTTAGTAGAGACGGGTTTCACCATGTTGGCCAGGCTGGTCTTGAACTCCTGACCTCAGGCGATCCACCCCCCTCAGCCTCCCAAAGTGTTGGGATTAGAGGCATGAGCCACTGCGCCCAGCCTGATGGCTGTTTTATACTCTGCTCTTATGGAGGTTGTGGCCATGAAATGTGGCTTCTGAGAATCAGTGTCTCCTTCAATGGACTTGGTACAGAACAGTGCAGACTGAGTGCTTGGAGCTCAGCTAAGTCCTGATTCTGGCTCTGTGGAGGCCTCTGCTGAGGAGCTGCCCTGGGGTCCAAGGGTGAGGGCAGAGGATGGAGCATGGCACACCAGGACCGAGGTGAACCCATGGTAGGCTCTATTTGTTGGCAGGGCTGGACTCTCTGGGCTGAGTGCTTTCCCACACTCCTGTGGGCTTCAGGAGCTTGTGCAGTCTTTCCAGAGGCAACTTTGGAAACAACTGAACACTCTCCTCTTTATTCCCTTTAGTTTTTTTTTTTCTTTCACTTAAAAAAATTGTGGCTGCTGATAAAGACATACCCGAGACTGGGCAATTTACAAAGGAAAGAGGTTTAATGGACTTACAATTCCACGTGTCTGGGGAAGCCTCACAAACATGGTGGAAGCAAGTCATGTCTTACATGGATAGCAGCAGGAAAAAGAGAGCTTGTGCAGGGAAACTCCTCCTTATAAAGCCATCAAATCTCATGAGACATATTCACTATCACAAGAACAGCAAGGGAAATGCCCGCCCCCATGACTCAATTATCTCCCACTGGGTCCCTCCTACAACGTATGGGAATTCAAGATGAGATTTGGGTGGGGACACAGCCAAACCGTATCACCAGGCATGGTATGCCATGCCTGTAATCACAGCATTTTGGGAGTCTGAGGTGGGAGAATCACCTGAGTCTAGGAGTTTAAGAGCAGCCTGGGCAACATAGTGAGACCCCATCTCTACAAAAAATATTAAAGAAAGTATCTGGGTGTGGTGGCACACGCCTGTAGTTCCAGCTACTCAGGAGGTTGAGGTGAGCATACTGCTTTAGCTCAGGAGTTTGAGGCTACAGTGAGCTATGGATGCACCACTGCACTCCAGTCTGGGAAACAGAGTGAGACTCTGCCTCAAAAATAATTAATAAATAATAAAATAAATAAATAAAATTATAGTAAAATATACATAATCTCAAATTGACCATTTTTAAAGTGTACAGTTCACTGGCATTACTACCTTCACATTGCTGTGCAACTTTTCCATGAATTTTGAGAAGGTCTTTACGGCCAAAAGAGAAATGGCCTTTCTAAATACTAAAACGATTTTTACCTAAAGGAAGCAGACTTGCTCCACTTGGATGAGTTTCGTGAGTTTGCACCTCATTACAACCTGAACCTAAGGGTTCAGGGCAGATAAACAGGGCGAAGCATTCTCTGTGCTGTTGAAGAGAGGGTGTGAGCCACAAATTCGGAGCCCATCTCCCGCTGTGGAGTCGGATGCTCCTTCCTCTCCCCTGTTCTCCTCCCCTTGTTTCCATAGTGTTGGAAGTCAGTACTACGGGAGACTGTTCGCCTCCTCACTGAGGCAGCTCTGTGAATAATAGTGATTAATTCCTGCTTTTGTCTGCACTAGGTGATAGGGGTGGCAGCAGGGAGGCCAAAGAAAAAACTAAGAGCTGCAGCTGAAGGCTTGATTTTTTTTTTCACCAATCCCTGTTTTCAGCTATGAACCTGTTAGGTTCTATTTTTGTGTCATCGTTTCAGAGAGCAGCATTTCAGAAACTTGGCAGCCACCAAGCAGACACCTGACCTGGTCACCTTGTGGCACTGGGCACTGGGCTGGCCACCCAGTGACTTGGGTTCTGATTTCAGCTTCGTCATTAGGCATGACACACCAGTGGCTTCTCTGAAACTCGGTCTCCTCACTGGCGATGTCTCACTCAACGCCTGCAGAGCTCTCTCCTTGCTCCAGAGTGGGGACTGGGGGGCGTCTTCCTTCTATCATTCAGGGAGGGATTCAGGGAGGAATCTCACCTTGACACTGAACAGTTGTGGAATCAGAGCTGGAAGGACTGGAGGGGGCTTGCCCTGCACCCCTATTTTACAGTCGAGTCTAACGCCCTCCAGGGAGCTACCGCACCCATCTCCCTCCAGGCTGCAGGGACGGTGGGGGCTGATCTGCTCTGTGGCTGGGGCTGCCTGCTCCAGGCTGGGCAGCACTGGGCTCAAGTCAGGCAGCCCTAAGGGTTCAGAGCTTCTGGATTTTTCCAGGGGCTCTGGAGGAAGAGATGAGGGATTCCTGAGATTCCTGCCCCACCGCTGATGCTCAGAGCTTTGCTGTCAGTGTTGTCTTGCAGGATAACCACACACCCCTTTCTTCCTCCTTTTTCTTCCTTTATACCCAGACTGTGGGCCTGCTCGGGCCCTCAGGCTTGGAGAAGCCTTCCCAAAGATGTGGGCCTGTTGTTGATTTACAGGGGCCTGGCTCCTCTGTGCGCGCCTGGCTGCATAACTTAACGGGATCTGTCACCTTCAATAGGCCGCTGCGCAGCTGCGTGCAGGAGCAGCTGCCTTCACTGCCTTTGTTTGGTCTCAGTTCTCATCTTATCCAGCACAGCCAAGGGGCCCTCTTGCCTCCCGGCACTGTGATTAGTGCTGACTGTCCTCTGCCCACCAAGTGCTTTGGGTGGCCCACGAATATACAGGGTCTCACACACAGTTTATGATAGTGATGGCGACCAAAGGCTGTTCATAAACAGTGAGTCGTGGGTGGCGGCATTAGCTCTTAAAAATCATAATCAGCTCTCCAGGTGGCCTCTTAAATGTGCTTGGGGCTTTTCTTCTCATCCATAAAATAGGCTACCTTAGCCAGAGGCCCCAGAGCTGGCAGGAGGACAGAGCACATGTTTGGCCTTTGTGGCCTCAAACGAATGCGCGATCCCCAGCTCAGACTGATGAGAATCTGTGCTTCTTTAAAACATACATGCACGTGCACGCACACACACACTCATTCACACATGCATGCACACTCACACACTCACATATGCACTCACGTGAGTATACACACACTCACACGTGCACACTCAAACATGCATACTCACAGGCATCTGAGGCCCCACAACCACCGTGGGCTGAGCCTGGGGATTGAGGAAGCAGGTGCAGCGGGCACAACTGGGCGTTCAGAAATGTTTCTCCCCAGGCCCCTGGCTCCCCATTTCCCTCCGTCATGGCTCCCCCTCTACTTCCAAATCTCAATGCCATCGACCTCATCTCCTACCAAATCTTGGAGAAGATCGGATCTCATTTGCTCAGACGTGGTCTGGGGACATTTGGGTTTGAGGCCCTCCCTGGGCTGTGGGATGCAATACAAAAAGTAGGTGGGTGGGGCCCCCAGGTGCTTCCCTGAGCCTCTGCTGTCACCAGCTCCAGGTCAACATGAATTGCTGAGTACCGCCAGACATGTCTTGGCGGGCGCAAGGGGTGGGCCTTGGGACAAGAGTCCACGACATGGCCCTGCAATGGCCTGCTGACCGGCCAAAGCTTTAGCAGTGCAGCCTAGGGGGAGGCACACAGGATTGGCAGCCAGACACACCTGTGTTCGCTGGGCCTCTGCTTTCCGACTTCCTGGCTGTGAGACCTCAGGCAAGTTGCTTATTTAACCTCACTGAGACTCAGTTTCCTCACCTGTGAAAATGAAGAGGAAAGAATGTACCCCATAGGGGCTGTTGATAGGATTAAAAGAGAGAATGTGTGCAATTGTCTTATCTGAGAATCAAGACATGGCAGCTGAAATAAAGAATGTTGTAATTTTCTTATCTCCTTGGCTCAATATTTTTTTTTTGTTTAAAATTAGAGAAAAGGGCTCTCTTTGTCACCCAGGTGGGAGAGCAGTGGTGCAATTAGAGCTCACTGAGGTCTCAAACTCCTGGGCTCAGGTGATCCTCCCACCTCAGCCTCTTGAGTAGCTGGGACTATAGGCGTGTGCCACCATGCCTGGCTAATTTTTTTAAAAAATTACTTTTTGTAGAGTTGAGGCCTAACTCTGTTGCCCAGACTGGTCTCGAACTCCTGGCCTCAAATCCTCTTGCCGTCACCCAAAGTGTTGGGATTATAGCTGGGGGTCACTGCACCTGGCCTGGCCCAAGACTTTGATCTGAGAAAAAGAAGACACTCAGGGGCCACATAGGCTGAAAGAACCCATGGCCGGGCAAGGTGTCTCATGCCTATAATCCCAGCACCTTGGGAGGCTGAGGCAGGTGGATCACCTGAGGTCAGCAGTTTGAGATCAGCCTGGCCAACAAGGCAAAACCACGTCTCTACTAAAAATACAAAAATTAGCCATGTGGTGGCTCACGCCTATAATCCCAGCACTTTGGGAGGCTGAGGCAGGTGGATCACCTGAGGTCAGGAGTCCGAGACCATCCTGGCCAACATGGAGAAACCCCATCTCTACTAAAAATACAAAAATTAGCTGAGTGTGGTGGCCCATGCCTGTAACCCCAGTTACTTGGGAGGCTGAGGCAGGAGAATTGACTGAACGTGGGAGGTGGAGGTTGCAGTGAACCAAGGTCGTGCTACTGCACTCCAGTCTGGGTAACAGAGCAAGACTCTGTCTCAAAAAACAAACAAACAAACAACAACAACAACAAAAACCAAAAACAAACTCAGTGCTGGTCTTAGCAGTAGGGCCAGTAAAAACCTTACCTATGAGATGTGTGTCTAATGGGAAGGGAACCCCAGGGTGTGGTGGATGACAGACAGCTCAGGGATCCTAGTTGGTTCCCTAACTCTTCTAGGGTCTCCTCCTGCTCTCCCTTGGCACTGATGTGTCTCAATCTGGGAGGCAGGAGGAGGAGAGGAACATGGGATTCTGAATGGCCATAGTCAAGGTCAGGCAGTCTGTCCTGGCCACCTCAGGGATAGACCCTAGGCTCCTGTCAGGCCTCGTAAGACTTGTTGACATAGAAGAGAGAGGCCACGTGCACTAAACAGCATTGGCAAGAAACCAAAGAAAGCTCTACATTCAATGGAGGTATGGAGTGGAGGGGCTCAGGACCTGCAGGCTGAGCAGCACCAGGGAGAATACAAAGTCTGGGGTCTTGCTCTGTCGCCCAGGCTGGAGTGCAGTGGTGGAATCATAGCTCACTGCAGCCTCAAACTCCTGGCCTCAAGCAGTCCTCTTGCCTCAGTCCTCCCGAGTAGCTGGGACTACAGGTGCATGCCACCATGCCTGGCTAATGGCCTCCGGCCAATGGCTTCACGTTGCCCAGATGCTAGATGAGTCTATTTCTATTTAGCATGTGATTCTCCCCGCCTGACATGAGAACCCAAACCCCACCCTCTGGTATGTGAGGAGGACAGGACACAAAGTCTTGTGAGGTTCTCTTGGAGGTCATTGCTTAAGCCCAGGCTGTCAGAAAGTCTGCTCTGGGACAAAGTTGGAGGCTGGGAAATGTGCCTTCTGGCTTGGACTTTCTTATCCCCTCCCTGGCTTCTGGTGCCCAGCCAGTTTCCAGACAGCCTACAGCCCACCTGGACTGCTCTCAGGGAGCTGAGGCCTGACTCAGCCTCTTGTTCATTGCTCCCCTATCTGGACACAGTCATCTCTGCTGGCGCATTCACGCCGAGGGCCAGATGTGTTCTCTCGCTCTTCCGGGATGAAGTGTGTACCCTGACTTAGTCCATTTCATGTTGTTATAAAGGAATCCCAGAGACTGTGTAAGTTATGAAGGAAAAAGGCATAATTGGCTCACAGTGTAGATATCTGGAAAAGTTCAAGACTGGGCATCTGACGAGGGCCTCAGGCTGCTCCACTCACGGCAGAAAGTGAAGGGGAGCTGTTGCATGCAGAGATTGCATAGTGGGAGAAACCAGGGAGGCCAGGCTCTTTTAACAATCCACTCCCCAGGAACTACGGTGAGAACTCACTCACCCCCAAGGGGAGTGCACTCATCTATTTGAGGATCCACCCCGATGGCCCCAACACTTTCCACCAGTCCCCACCTCCACCATTGGGGATTGCATTTCAACATGAAGTTTGGAGGGGACAAACATTACAACCTTAGCAACCCCACACCCACTTAACCCAAAGGGGTGCTAAATTAGCACAGGTGATGACAGGCATGAAGTATTGTTAGATAAACATTTTGATTTGCCTCCTGTCATTTATATGAATAAATGTCACGTGCATGTACATGTGTGCGCACCCTACACTTTTTAGATAAAATAGCATTTCCTATATATCCTGGTTTCGAACCTGACTTTTTCCGTTTAATATATTGTAAATGTTTTCCCATGTGCTTATAGTCTTCCATAACACAATTTTAAATGACTCTAAAGGATTGCCTTGTGACCCTCAAAGTGAGGCACATGCCAGACAATCCACTGGGTGAGGGAAGGAAATATTACAACTTCCTTTCATCTTTATTTTTATCTAAAAACAAGGCAGAAATGAAGCTTTATTACTTTCTAATACCCGGCCTCCGTTCTGGTCGGCCTGCACATGTGGTGCCTGTGTGGTCCTGCAGGGGGCAGAGGGTTGACAGTGGCACCTGCACATTTCTGTTTGTTCTGCATATTGCAATTTACTGCAGCTTCTAAGTGTTTGGTTAAAGAGATTATATTAACTAATAACCTTCACAAAATAGACAGGTGGCTTAATTTCTAGCTAAGAAAATGCAGACTGTAGGCTGCAAAACGTGAGAGGTTGGGAGTGGGGTGAGGGTTGAAAAATTACCTATTGGGTACAATGTTCACTATTCAGGTGATGGGTTCACTAAAAGCCCAGACTCCACCACTACGCAATATATGCATGGAAGAAATCTACATTTTCATTTTGGGAGGTTGAGGCAGGTGGATCACTTGAGGTCAGGAGTTCCCGACTAGCCTGGTCAACATAGTGAAACCCTGTCTATACTAAAAATACAAAAATCAGCCAGGTGTGGTGGCACACACCTGTAATACCAGCTACTCGGGAGTCTGAGGCAGGAGAATCACTTAACCTGGGAGGAAGAGGTTTCAGTGAGCTGAGATTGCGCCACTGCACTCCAACCTGAGTGACAGAGTGAGACTCTGTCTCGAAAAAAAGAAAAAGAAATCTGCACTTGTATTGCCTAAATATATAAAAATAAAAAACTGCAGAGCACGAAAAGAGAACGAGAAAATGGCTGAGTGGATTCTTTTTCAGATTCCATTGTGAACTCATCATCATTCTTGTTAGATGAGAAAACAACAGTATAATCAGATTTGAAAAGGAGTCAGCCAGAAATATATTAACATTTGAGAAGATTATGTGAATCATAGGTATACAGTCATTTCATTCATGATGGCCTTACCCTAAGTGCATATTGTACCTTGAGGTATAAGCTAATGAGAGTATCGCCATAGGCAAGACAGTTAAACAATTAACAATGAAAATATAAAGACAAATCTCAACATCCTT
Organism: Homo sapiens; assembly: GCF_000001405.40. NCBI lineage: Eukaryota > Metazoa > Chordata > Mammalia > Primates > Hominidae > Homo > Homo sapiens. The sequence goes on along the minus strand of NC_000010.11, from coordinate 31,769,580 downwards.
TCACTGATGTTGAAAGTCATGCAATCTTTCAGCCCCTAAACATTTTTACTAAACTATTGATAATAAATGTTTAGAAGCTTAAAGGTCACATCACATGGTAAAACTGGCCAAAATAACACATGAAACAAATATGGGGAAGAATTTAAATACAGCATTTCATTGCAAAATACTATTGAAGGCCAGGCGAAGTGGCTTACACCTGTAATCCCAGCACTTTAGAAGGCTGCGGCAGGAGGATCGCTTGAGCCCAGGAGTTTGACACCAGCCGGGGCAACATAGTAAGACATTGTCTCTACAAAAAATAAAAAATTAGCTTTGTGTGGGGGCGCATGCCTGTGGTCCCAGCTACTCAGAAGGCTGAGGTGGGAGGATCCCTTGAGCCTGGGAGGCCAAGGCTGCAGTGAGCTGTGACTGCACCACTGCATTCCAGCCTGGGCAACAGAGTGAAACCCTGTCTCAAAAATGAAATGAGCCCAGGCGCGATGACTCATGCCTGTAATCCCAACACTTTGGGAGGCCAAGGCGGGTGGATCGCCTGAGGTCAGGAGTTCGAGATCAGCCTGGCCAACATGGTGAAACTCCTTCTGTACTAAAAATACAAAAAATTAGCTGGGCCTGGTGGCAGATGCCTGTAATCCCAGCTACTCGGGAGGCTGAGGCAGGGGAGAGAATCTCTTGAACCCAGGAGGCAGAGGTTGCAGTTAGGCGAGATTGCGCCACTGCACTCCAGCCTGGGTAACAAGAGTGAAACTCCATCTCAAAAATAATAATAATAAAAGAAATGAAATAAAATACTATGAAGATATGTGGAAAGCAGTTGCTGAATATCTGAAGAAATAAATACTAGAATACATAATATAGTCTGGGAGTTTCATCATGTAGTTGGATGGAAGTACACATATTTCCAACATGACTCAGTTATGACATTTGCTGAAATCTGTCTCAAAAATGAAATATACTTTTTATGTTTTCATAAGTCACTACAGGAAGGATAATTGAAGGACATATATTCTCAATAGTGAATGATGTCTTCACAATTTTTTTTAAAACATGTAAGTATAAGTGCAGCTAAGAGCCAACTTTGACTGCAGTAAGAAGGTTCTTGAACATTGTGGTGGAGCTGACTATGTAGCACCTTGGACAAAGTCACTGTCACCAGACCCGGGCTGTCCTGGTTCAAGTTCCAGTGCTGCTGCTTGCTAGCTATGTGACCTTGGGCAATTCACCACCTTCCCTGTGTCTCAGTTTCCTTGTCTGTGAAATGGGATAATAATTGTATCCATATGAGGGGTAGTTGTGAAAATTAAATGAATCAATATATGTAAAGCACTTAAACTCTGCCTGGCACACAGTAAGTGCTCAACAAATATTAGCTAATAATGTAAATCGCACTTGAAATTTATTCACAGGCAAACTACTGTAGCAGATTTGTTTGTTTGTTTGTTTGAGACGAAATTTCGAACTTGTTGCCCAGGCTGGAGTGCAATGGCACAATCTCCGCCCACTGCAACCTCTGCCTCCTGGGTTCAAGTGATTCTCCAGCCTCAGCCTCCTGAGTAGCTGGGATTATAGGTTCTTGCCACCATGCTTGGCTAATTTTTTTATTTTTAGTAGAGACGGGGTTTCACCATGTTGAATTACATAAATTACACACCCAACCTTTGTGTAGATAAATGATTTTTTTGCTTATTCCTTATGTCCTTAAAAATATGATAAATATTCTGCCATATATTAAAAGTTTTGTTTTCTAAACTGAACCACCTCACTGATAGTATAGAGCTATCACTTCCAGCTTCAAATTTTCTGCTATGGGCCAGGTGCAGTGGCTCACACCTGTAATCCCAGCACTTTGGAGATGGAGGCGGGTGGATCACCTGAGGTCAGGGGTTCAAGACCAGTCTGGCCAATATGGTGAAACCCTTCTCTACTAAAAATACAAAAAATTAGCCAGGCATGGTGGCGGGTGCCTGTAATCCTAGCTACTCGGGACGCTGACGCAAGAGGATCGCTTGAACCTGGGAGGCGGAGGTTGCAGTGAGCCAAGATCGTGCCATCACACTCCAGCCTGGGTGACAAAGTGACACTCCATCTCAAAAACAAAACAAAACAAAACAAAACAAAAAACCAACAAAACAAACAAGATTATGTCCTTTGCAGGGACATGGATGGAGCTGGAGGCTATTATCTTTAGTAAACTAACCCAGGAACAGAAAATCAAATACTGCATGTTCTCACTTATAAGTGGGAGCTAAATGACGAGAACACGTGCACACACAGAGGAGAACAACACACACTGGGGCCTATTGGAGAGTGAAGGGTGGGAAGAGGAAGAGGATCAGGAAAAATAACTAATGGACACTAGGCTTAACACCTGGGTAATGAAATAATCCGCACAACAAACCCTCATGACACAAGTTTACCTGCATAACAAAACTGCTCATGTGCCCCTGAACTTAAAATAAAAGTTAAATTTTTAAAAAGGAAAAAAATAAAATAAAATGTGTAAACAGAATTTTCTGACTAGTTTAAAGATCTTCTAATGAAAATTTTAGTATTTTGTATGCATTAAATATAAAAAATGTAAGACCTCTTGGTTGACATCATAGAAGTAGAAAATTTACTTAGCTTAATTTCAATAAAAATTTCTGTATACTTAGTAAATGAGAATGAGAAATTAATTTATTGATTTATTAACTGTGCCCAATTATGCCTTTCCTCTATTTGTATCTGTGTCTTTATAAAAGATTGTTTTGAATTATAACAACTATTATAACCAGGAATGGAAATATATTGAACTTTCAGTTGTATTATAATGTTAAACTAAGACTTTAAGAAATGATTGATTAAATCCAAAATCACACGGCTCTTTTTAAACCAAAATATTTCTGAAGTATTAATGAATAAAACAGAGCAAATTTAAAATATTGCTTAAAATTTCCATATCATGTGTTTTGTATTGCATCTGAAACTTTTAGTTTGATAGTACCTACATATCATTTATTAAAAGTAAATGACTATTTATTAGGGTGTAAGCAAACATTATTTTTGATGGGAGTATGTGACTATGGACTCAAAATACAAGAGACCACTTGATCCCCAATTAGTAGGCACTGAGGTTGTTTCCAATTTTTTAACTTTTTCAAATGATGTAGGGAGCATCTTATGTAGAAGTTATTTGCTGCATTACTGCTGATTTTCTGGGGACAGCTTCCTAGAAGTGAGCATGCTTAATCCAAGAGTATGCTCATTGTAAGGGAATATTTTATTTTTATTTATTTAGTTAGTTTACAAATTTCCTGCAGAGAGACTATAATAATGGACATGGCCACCAGCAGCGGTGACAGTGTTTTCCCCTAGCTGTTGGCTTTGTTTTCATGTAATTTCAGCTGCTAGTTACAGGGGGAGGACTCTGGTCTATCTGGGAGCAGTGAGGGACCCCAGGGCTCTGGGGAAGGTAGTTTTGGGCAGGGATCTGGTATGACCACAGACTGTGGATGTCCACCAACAGCAGTCTATGCATCAGGGCGGTCGTCTGTGCATCAGACCTTTCCTGGTGGTAAGGAGGAGCTCCCTGGGGACTCAGGGCATGATCCTGAGTTGTTGAGGGGTCAGGTACAGCACAGTGGGGAAAGGTGGTTATCCCACTCTGAGGTGGGGGTGGGCACGTCCCTGAGGTGCTCTGTTTCGGGAAGGCTGTCTGTGGGATGCTGACTATTGTCACGCAGCAGTGTCTGAGGATCAAAAGCGAGTGGAAGGAGGTCTCCTTCTCTTAGCCCATGTGGAAAGCATTTGTCTTCGGCTGGAAACCTTGCGTGAGAACAAAAGCCAGCCCTTGTGGAATGCTTGCAGGCCCTGCGGCCAGCTCTGTTCCTGGCTCTCTTGGCCTTTTGCTAAGATAGCAGAGTGGGGCTTCCCACCAGAATCAGCAGAAAAGCCAAAGTTTCCAAGCAGCAGGGACTCGCAGCAAAATGGTGGCCCTTTGTTCTCATTTTCTCAGTCCCTCTGAGCAGCACGTTGCTGCCTACCCAGGCCTTTTCTCTGTGTGGAGGCCCAGTCCCTCAGAGCCCTGCCAGGCGCTCGGCTAATCTGACCCAGGAGTTCAGGAGGAGACACTGAGAGGGGCTCGTGGTTGAAGGTGCCAACTTCACAGATGGTATTCGCAGGTTGCCCTGGGATTCCTCTCTCCAGGAGCAGATGGGGAGGGGAAAATGACTTGGTCACATGGGCCTTCTGGGGCTGCCGCCCCACCACCCTGGCACCTGACAGCCCCACCTTTGTGCAGGGTGGGGGTCTCGGGGGCCAGAGGTGAGAGCAGCAGGTGTTTCGCTTCCACCTTTGTCTCTGGCCCCACAGGGAACACTCACTGGGGGTCTCAGCAGCTCCATACCCCACTTCCTCCTGCCTGGGTCCTCCTAACCCTACCCAAGGCTGGAGGAGAACTTGGTATAAAGCCTGCAGGCTCAGAGAGGGATGAATGTGACTGTGGGGTCTGAAGACAGGGTGATTGGATCTGCCCTGAAGGAGCAAAGGACTTGGGGAGACGCAGGCCATTTACATAGGTGTTCAGGCAGTGAAAGAGCCTGGACGGCTGATGGAAAAAGTCTCCCAGGAGACATAGGGGGAGATTAAGCAGCAAGATCAACTCCTTCACTGGTGCCCTTGAGCCACCTTCTCCCTCTCCCTCTCCCCTAGGATATCTGTCTCCTCTCTCTCTCAATATATATAATATTGTTTTAGTCCGTTTTGTGTTCCTATAAAGGAATATCCGAGACTGGGTGATTCACAATGAAAAGAGGTTTATTTGGCTCACAGTTCTGCAGACTGTACAAGCATGGCTCCAGCATCTGCTTGGCCTCTAGTGAGGCCTCAGGAAGTTTTTACTCATGGCAGAAGGGGAAGGGGAGCAGGTGTGCCACATGGTGTGAAAGGGAGCAAGAGACACTGCCAGGCATTTTTTTTTAATTTACTTTAAGTTCTGGGATACATGTGCGGAACATGCAGGTTTGTTACATAGGTATACATGTGCCATGGTGGTTTGCTGCACCTATCAACCCATCACCTAGGTTTTAAGCCCACATGCATTAGGTATTTGTCCTAATGCTCTCCCTCCCCTTGCCCCCCACCCTACAACAGGCCACAACTCCCCTCCCTGTGTCCATGTGTTCTCATTGTTCAACTCCCATTTATGAGTGAGAACATGCAGTGTTTGGTTTTCTGTTCCTGTGTTAGTTTGCTGAGAATGATGGCTTCCAGCTTCATCCATGTCCCTGCAAAGGACATGAACTCATTCTTTTTTATGGCTGCATAGTATTCCATGGTGTATATGTGCTACATTTTCTTTATCCAGTCTGTTATTGATGGGCATTTGGGTTGGTTCCAAGTCTTTGCTACTGTAAATAGTGCTGCAATAAACATATGTGTGCATGTGTCTTTATAGCAGAATGATTTATAATCCTTTGGGTATATACCCAGTAATTGGATTGCTGGATCAAATAGTATTTCTAGTTCTAGATCCTTGAGGAATCACCACACTGTCTTCCACGATGGTTGAACTAATTTACACTCCCACCAACAATGTTTGGCCAGGCATTTTTAAACAACCAGCTCTTGTGTGAACAAATAGAGCAAGAACTCACTCATTACGACAGGGAGGCCACCAAGCCATTCATAAGGAGTCTGTCCCCATGACCCAAACACCACCCACCAGGCCCTACTGCCAACACTGGGGATCACATTTCAGCTTGAGATTTTCAGGGGACAAGTATTATATCAAATGGTTCTTTTCATCCTTCTGTTCATCTATTCAACTAGCCAACCAGCCAGTAATCTGTTTTTTCATTTGCTCATTCATTCATCCATGTGTTCATTCAACAAACATGAAAACCATTTGATGCATATGGCTGGCTATGGCTCAGAGGGGTTTGGGAAGACTCTGACCTACTGCTTGTAGGACCTCATAGGCAGGAATTTGGTCAGAATCTGATTCATAAGTTTGTAGGTCTAAAAACTAATTTTTTTTTTCACCTGCCCAGAGGTTCTGGGGGGACTCATTCAGTTTGTTTCTTTGTTTGTTTGTTTTGTCTTTTGTTTTTTCTTTTTGAGGCAAGGTCTTGCTCTGTCACCTAGGCTGGAGTACAGCGGCGTAATCTGGGCTCACTGTAGCCTCTACCTCTTGGGTTCAAGTGATTCTCCTGCCTCAGCCTCCTGAGTAGCTGGGATTACAGGCATGTGCCATGATGCCCAGCTAATTTTTATATTTTTTCAGTAGAGACAGGGTTTCGCCATGTTGGCCAGGCTGGTCTTGAACTCCTGACCTCAAACGATCCATCCATCTTGGCCTCCCAAAGTGCTAGGATTACAGGCATGAGCCACTGCACCTGGCCCTCATTCATTTTTTAATGAGGTCATAAGACTGATTTAGAAACCCAAAGACCAAAAATCAATTATACCCCAAGCTTGGCTGGGTGGGATAACCAATACCAGTGTCCCCTCCTGCACAAATTAAAGTCCAGAAGAGGGATGCCTACTCAAGACAATTCAATAGATTTTTTTCTCCTCATGCCAATGTGAAAGGCAAATAAATCTCAGGACCCCCAAATCACTAAGCCAAAGGGAAAAATCAAGCTGGGAACTGCATCAGGCACACCTGCCTCTCATTCTATTCCTAAATAAGACAGTTACAAAGATTTTTAAAAATCTTCATATCTCCCTCACAATTTGCCTACTAGGAAGTTCCTTGTGGGCCTCAAGATCTTTACACTAAAACAGTTCTGTTGAATTTCACTCTGGCAATGTAAATTGATAGCTTATCTTCACAGGTGCAGGACAAAGGACAGAACTCAAAGTCATCCCTCGGCTCATCTGAAACAAATGCACATCTGATTGCTTCCTCTGCCCTATTGTTTGTGTAAAAATGCAGATTCACCCAGCCAGACCAAGGCATAAGTGACTACTCCGCTACCCCACCTCTCCTTGAAGAAAGCTGCCTTTCATATGGCCACAATCTAAAGTTCTGAAGGATTCCAGTGATTTTGCAACCTGCAGGCTTTGACTCGGAAGGACTCAGATCTGATTTCACAAACTTTCTTTAAGGAGCGGTGCAATGAAGCAATAGGGCAGCATTCATAGGCTGGGCAAGATAGCGAGACCACCTCTTTACTAAATCATTAAAAATTATCCAAGTGTGGTAGTGCATGCCTGTTGCCCCAGCTGCTCAGGATCCTCTCTCCTTGGCCTCCCAAAGTGGTGCTGGGATTACAGGCAATGGGGAAGTGATGACTCTAAGTGGTTTTTCAGGCCCTGGACCACAGGTAGCTGCAGAGAAAGACTCTATTAGCACAAGGGAGTGAGCCCCTGAGCCCACTGCAGGGTGGGAGGCCCTCAAGGTCCTGCAGTTTTGTTGGTGGGGGCTGTGAGTCATCAAAACCTGGGTATTCATAACTGATGTGACTTCATTTGTACCTGCAGGTTAGTTTGGGTGTGGGAACCTTTCAGGTGGGCTAGTCTTGAGTTGCCCTTAAACACAGTTGCTCTGCCTCAACATCACATTGGAAGCTCTCCAAGATAGACTATTTTTTGTAAACCTGATAAGTGCCTGCATTTGATGAAATTATAGGAATCTGATAAATGCTTGATGCTAGGGTAGAGGAGGTTGCCCAAGAAAGAGGTAAAGGGAATGAGGTGGACTTCGTAAAATGAGGAAATCTATCCTTGGATGGAAGTCCTCTTCCTTCATTCCTTTCTTCCTCCCTCCTTCCCTCCCTCCCTCCTTCCTTCCTTCCTTCTTTCCTTCCTTCCTTCCTTCCTTCCTGATAGATAGGGTCTCAACTCTGTGGCCCAGGCTGCAGTGCAGTGCTGTGATTATAGCTCACTGCAGCCTCAAACTCCCGGGTTCAAGTAATCTTCTTGCCTCAGCCTCTGAAGTAGCTGGGGCTACAGGCATGCACCACCACACTTGGATAGTTTTTAATTTTTTTGTAGAGATAGGGTCTCATTATCTTGCCCAGGCTGCTCTTGAACTCCAGGCCTCCAGTGGTCCTCCCTCCTTGGCCTCCCAAAGTGCTGGGATTACAGGAATGAGGCACTGTGCCTGGCTGGTAAGTCTTTACAGACACCAAATCCAGCAGATTCTGTGCTGTGGGGTTAGGTCATTTGGAAAATAAGAGAATGTAGCGTCATTCACGAAACTGCTGACCAATGCTCCATCACTGCTCCTTAAGGCTTTGAAAGTTTGTGAAATCGGCTGTAAGTCCTTCCAAGCCAAAGCCTGCAGGTTGCAAAATCACTGGAATCCTTCAGAACTTTAGATTGAAAGGCAGCTTTCTTCAAGGAATCCACCTTTGCTAGGATCAGAAAAATTCAGCCTGGTCCTTGCCTCTGAAGTCCTGAGAGTCTGATTTGTACATTGCCAATTATTATTGAACATTGTAAGAGGAGAAGGAAGAAGAGAAAGGGAAGACAGAGCAAACTGGGATCCTTGAGGCAAGCAGGTGGCTGGAGCCGTTCAGAATGGTGTAGCAGAAAGGGCACTGATTTCTACCCGGGCTCTTGACAGCTGAGTGGCCTTGCTCAAGTCGCCTGGCGTCTCTGGGCCTGATTCATCTGTAAAGCCAGGGGGTTGGACTGGATTATTTATGGCCTGTGGCTGCTCTGACATCAGACAGTTCTATCAATCTTTACCCCGGAGCTGTCCCACATCTCCTTGGGTTAGATAGGAAATTCATCTCCCTTGCAGATTAAACACCTATTGCTTTTTTTTTTTTTCTCCAGCAAGAGGGAATGAGGCAGCTATTTCTCCCTCTGTAGACAGAAGCAAAGAAAAAAGCAAAGTCAAATCAACCTCCCATTCAGTGCTTAGCCGTTCAGGCCTGAATGAACAGTGTTGGCTTGCAGGCGTCGCTCAGACCCTGTGGCTCATGGAAATCTGGAGTTGGTAGGGTCCTGACAGACGAGCCCTCTCTTTAAATTGAGAAAACAGATACCCCTAGAAGGGAAGTGGCATAGAATTATGTAATGATGGAGCCTGAACTAGAGTCTAGATAGATACCCAGGATGAAGAACCTGCCGAGGGCCTGTTCTGCCCTGCCGAGGCTGCTCGCGCTCTCGTGGTACTCCCTTAAGCATATACGATTAGGTAATCCTGTCCGCGTTTTCCTCTCTGATTGGAGTTTATGTTAATCTCAATTAAGCCGTCAGCCGGGCTTCCTGGTGCGAGGCGTGGCTTCTGCCAGGCGGTGTCTTTCTACCCTTTGTAAGGAGATGCGGTCGGTGATTGGTAGGCTGGGAAGCGCCAGCGGCCAATGGGGAATGCGGGGGGCGGGGATACTGGGCCGGGGCTGGGCGGGGCCGCGCGGTCGCCGTGGTTACCGAGCCGGCCGGCCGCCAATGCGCAAACACTAATTAGGCGCCCCACCCCGAAGCCCGGGCTGCGAGGCGGAGTCAGGGCCCCCTCAGCTCCACCCCGAAGCTTGGCATGATTTGCCATTTTACTGCTCCTCTGGAATCTGTGCTTCCTCCCGAGCGCAGGAGGTTCCCCTGCCGCGGCTGCCGGCCCCAGGACCTGGATGGAGATCGCCCGAGGAGAATCCGTTCTCCTGGTCACACTACAGAGGCCTAGGGGGACGAGACCTGCGGGGCCTGTCCGGACCCGAGGCGGCGCTCGGGATGGTCTCCCGTGGAGCAGAAACGCCGTTTCCTGGGTGAGGACTCTTAGTCGCCCACCTGGACGGCGGCGGAGACATCCGCGCCACCTGCTCCCCAAATCCACCTGGACGCGCACTCAGCAGGGGTGCGGGGGAGGGGCTTCCTTCCTTGGGGGCCTCGCCTAGAGCCCCCGCCCCTGGGATGCCCAGACCCCTTTCCCCCTAGCATGCCCAGCCCCCCAGCACGCCCACCCCTCCGGCACACCTACCCCCACCCAGCACACTCAACCCCGCAGCACACTCACCCCCAGCATGCCCACCCCCCAAGCACACCCCTTTCCCCCAACACACCCATCCCCCAGCACGCCCACCACACCTCCCAGCACACCCACCCCCGCCCCTACCTGTCCTGCGGTGTGTGGGGCGGGGGGGGCGGGGGGACTCGGACGACGCCCACGGGGCACACGTGGGCCCTCCTGTGCTCTCCGCACTCCCTCCCGTGCTTCCGCAAGCCTGCGCACTCCACTGGGGATTACGGTCCAGCCCACCCGGAGGACCCTATTCAAGCCCGAAGCGCCCCCCTTCCCCTTCCCAGCGCCGCGTACTGCGGCGGCCTTGTTTGATTACCTGCCTTTCCATTTCTTCTGTATTTACAACCCTCCCGACTCCCGGGGAGAGGGCGGCATAGGCAGCCAATCAGGATGCAGTCGTCTCTAAAGGTCAGGGTGACACACATTTCCCAAGATCATTCACGGACTTCGCCCTTCGATGCCTTGTTCTCATGACAAAACCTGGCTGCCAGCACTTAATGTGATTTCCCCCCATCTCTGGCAACTGAGAGAATAAAAAACTGAACATAAAAATTAACTCTTTTATTATAGTGTAGTGGTCAGTCTTATGTGAATAAAATTCTTCTCATCTAGGACCTGTCTCTCACCTTAAGAAGGAACATGGCATGAAGTGAGTTGGTCTGCATCCTTTGTTTTCCAACCATTTTTTCCTTCATTATTTTATTTTTTATTTTTAAATTTATTTTTATTTAGAGACAGGGTCTCCTATGTTGGCCAGGCTAGTCTTGAACTTCTGGCCTCAAGCAATTCTCCTGCCTCAGCCACCAGAGTAGCTGGGATTACGGGCATGAGCCACAGTGCCTGGATTTCCTCATAATTTTGAATAATTGCATTTTTTCCTTTAGCTGTCATCATACAGACCAACTACCAATCGCACCCAGCAGAAAATGGACCCGTTTGGAATTCAATGATTTTGCAATCTTGAATTTCATGGAAGGCCAGAGGTGTGGCTCAGGGATAGGAAGGGGTAGGGAAGGACAGGAACACACATGCCTCGGCGGTCTCTTTCAGATAAGGTTTGTGAGCCTTGACATACACTGAAACTTCTCCCATTCCCATCCTTAAAAAAATCTGTGCTTTCATCAGTATTTCTTTTTAAAAATTAATTTTTATGGTCCGTAGTAGGTGTATCTATTTATGGGGTACATGAGATATTTTGATACAGGCACACAATGTGTAATAATCACATTAGGGTAAACAGGGTATCCATCACCTCAAGCATTTATCATTTCTTTGTGTTCTTTCATCGTTATCTCTATGCTCGAAACACAAGATGATTCTCAGTTTCACGCTAAAGTCCTAAAAACACAAACTCCCTGCCTCTGCCATGAGAAGCATGGAGTGCAGCTTGAGGGAAACCCGTCTGTCAATAGACGTGACGTGGCGTGTTATTCCCACATCCATGCTTAGTCTGTCCAGAATTCCTTCTTTTCATCCCTTGAACTCTTCTCCACCCTGCAAATTCCCCATTCTCCATTCACATCTGGTGGGTTCCATAGCCATGCACTTAACTGCTTTTGCCTCATTAAGTCCTAGAATAAAGGGCCTTTCAGATGGGAGGGTGAGTCCAGTCCTGGAGGAGAGGCCTCCAGTTCCCACAGGGCCTGACTGCCTGACAAACCCAGCCTGGCTCTGGCCTTCATGTAGGTGTTCGTTTGTGGGGCAGCCTGGAGAGTCCGATGAAAAATGAATTCATCTGTAATCAGCAAACCAGGATGAAGGTGAAGTTAAAGTGGAGAGGAGCTAGTTCAGGTCGGCATCTGCAGCAGCAGAGGCCGGTTTGGGATTTGTCCCAAGCTCAATAATAACCCTAGACAAGACACCAAAATCATTTGGAGAGCTGTTTTTCCCTGTCAGTTTATGACTGGCCACGTCTGGCCAAGAAAAAGAAGGTGGAGGAAGCCCGCCAGGAATGACTTCCAGGCGCGCAAGGCTGAGTCTGAACTGAAGCCGACCAGAAATTGCAATTAGTGTGGAAATAAAGATCTTTTCAGAAAAGAAAATGGCCCCGGCACTCATGTTTTATTGTCTCTCTCATCCCCTGGCACCTGCCCAGACAGCCCTGAGACAGCCTCTTGGCTCACAGACTTGTGAATACCCAGGCAGGCCAAGGGGGAGCAGTACCCATCCTCACCTGCTTCTAGAAGGTGTGAGCTGCCTGTGGTGAAGGGAAAGCCAGGCCCCCCGAGGCCGGAGACCACCGGAGCTCCTTAGCAGGGAGGAGGAAGATCTGCTCCCCTCAGAGGCTACATACATTTGCACAGTTTGTTGCAGACCCCCAGAGGCAAATTCTTAAGCCAAATCCTAGGGGGTTACAAGATGGTGTCCCTGGGACATCCCCCTTTTTGTGAGAATGCACTAATTACCTACAAAGTCAGTGTTCTCTGCAAGAAGGCTGAGAACCCTGAGCAAAGTCAGAGGACACAAACGCTTTTTTTTTTTTTTGGCAAAAAAGAGGATGGGGTGTTTTTCATTCTCATCCTAATTTTGTTTACAGAGTAGGGGTGGAAAGGCATGCTAACCTGCATTCCGTTTATTTTAAAGATACGGCAGCATTTGATAATTCAGCATCGGAGCATTACCAGAGAGTGGACTGGAGGCTAACCGCATTGCATGTGCGGTTTTATTTTCTCTCACAGCAGCTCCACACGGTGGGTATTAATACCACTCCAGTTCGCAGAAGAGGAACTGGAGGCTCAGAGAGGTTAAGTAACTTTCCCAAGGCTCATGAGTGGTAGCGTGGGATTCAAACCAGGTGATTCTGAGCTGCAACCCAGCAGTTCTTGGTTCGACCCCTTGCGAGGCCAGAGAAGCCTGAACGCAGGCAGGATGAAACCCAAGCCCCCAACAGGGTCAGAAGGGGGAAAATAATTCCCCCGAGGTCATCTGCTATTAAGTGTCTGAGTTGGATTTGACTTCCTGGGACAGGACAGGGAAGGTTTGGGAATTGGGAAGGAGTCAAAAAATTCTGGATAATTAGGGTCTGCCGGGAGGGTAGGAAGTGTGGGCAGCTGGGGGCCGATGTGTGTTTACGAGTGAGTGGGAGAGACGGGGTGGGCTGGCAGTGGAACAAAAAGTTCCATTCTTCCAGTCAGTCCACAGTTTATGTTGATGCTACCCTCAAGATATATCTTCAGCCACCTTTTATCACCTCCATGGATGTAGCCGGCGACCACCAAACCTACCTAGGGTGACTGCAGTCTCCTGGTGGCTCTGCCCACTTCCACCCTTGCCCTCCTTCCTTCTGGGCTGTCAGACCTTTGCGTTCCTCTGCCAAACCCTCCAGGATTCCCCACTACCCCCGACCCCGCCCCACTGCATGAACTGCCTCCTGCTCCCTCCCACACCTGCCTGACCTCACTCCTTGGCTCTGCTTCATTCTGCTCTTGCCCCAGGGCCCTTGCACTTGGTGATCTTTCTGCCCTCAATGCTTCTTGTCTTCACTCAGGCACAGGCTGGGCCCATGGCAGTGTGTTATCAGAACTTATTAACATTACTGTCACTAAAGTTGGTATACACTCCCCCGCTGCTAATTAGACTGGCTTTAAAATTTAAAAACAAAAAATAACTTCAGTAAGGCATTCCCTGGCCTCTTTATTGGAAATTTCAACCACCCCTGACACCTCCTATCTCCCTTCTGTTTTCTTTTTCCCCCTGGTGTGACCCCTAACTTACACTTAATTACTTATCTCATTCACCTTCTATTTCCCCCGCTAGAATGCGAGCCCCATGAGAGCAGGGGTTTTTGTCTGTGTGGTTTGGTTGGTTTCTTCCATCCCGGTACCTAGAACAGTGCCTGGGACACATCATGAACTTAATAAATATTTGTTGAACAAATGAATGAATGCAGGAAGCCCCACAATTTAGTTCATGTCATGGGAAAGAGCTAGAATCTTCTGATAGGACAGGAGGCGGGGAGCAGGAGGGTTGTGGAAGGTGAGATTAAGGAGGCTGCGCTGGTGATGAGGGCAGCGATCCAGGAGCTAATAGTAGACGTCCTGGAAGCTGTGGGTATGGGAGACCGCCCCCAGCATCTCTCATCTCCACCCCTCCATCACGCACTGGGGACGCTCACAGGATGCCTTCATGTAGGTCCAGGAACACAACGAGATGCCAGAGATGGCAGTGTTTAAAACGGACAGCTGGGATGAAATGGCCCAGTCTTAAGTAACAAGAGGCAGAGAGAAAGTCACAGAACCAGGGCAGGAGCTGTCCACTCCTCTGCTAGGTCTGCCCCAGTCCCTGGCACCCAGCAGGAGTGTCATCTGAGAGCTGCCAGGAGAGACCCAAGGGGCCATTGGCAGAGCCAGACCCTCTCCTGCTGGCCCGGCTCAGAGAGACAGCGAGGCCAGAAGCCCATGGGGTGGGGCAGGAAGGACACCTGACCAGGCCACAAAGCAAACGGCACAAATTCCCGGGATGCCAGCCCAGCAGGAGAGTCCCTGGTGCTCTTCCAGCTCTCCACAGCAGTTTGAAAAGCCCAGGCTTCTCATTTCCAGATTAGGGGCTGCTGGGACCTTGAGAGAGACAGACCTGGGGGGAGTCCAGACTCTGCCTTTACTGTCTGTGTGATTTCGAGCAGGTCTCTCTCCTATAAAATGTGAAACATGCAGTCAAATGTGACCGGGTGACTGTGAGGATTCAGTGAGATAATGCACAGTGAGGCTTGGCATGCAGATGCACAGTCAGCCCTGACACACTCTTATTTTCTTTGCTGTCAGGGTCATATTCGGGAACAGGAATGGGGTTTAATAGGGCTCTTGAGAAAGCAAGAATGAAACAGGAAATCTGGAAACCTGGGCCCAGGCTCCAGCGCTGGCTGATTAAGGGTCTGGGCAAGGTTATCCCATGTCTCACCCCTGTGGTCTCCATACAGGTAAACAGAGGGGCTTGAATTCCATGACCCCTAAAGTGCCTTCTGGCTCCAATATTCTGTGATTCGTGACTCTGAGCAAACATCATTTTTTTACTGGACTCCATTAAATGGAGGAACCAGGGCTGGCTCAAGCCTGTAATCCCAGACCAGCCTGGCCAACATGGCGAAACCCCGTCTCTACTAAAAATACAAAAATTAGCTGGGCGTGGTGGCGGATGTCTGTAATCCCAGCTATTTGGGAGGCTAAAGCAGGAGAATCGCTTGAACCCAGGAGGCGGAGTTTGCAATGAGCTAAGATTGCACCACTGCATTCCAGCCTGGGCAACAGAGCAAGACTCTGTCTCAAAAAAAAAAAAAAAAAAAAAAAAAGAGGAACCAGGAGGCCAGGGCCTATCAGACTTCACAAAGGAGATTCTCTCAGAGGTTTTCTGCATAGACTTGGTGGGTGCTTGTGAGTTAAGTAGGGATGTCCTCACACAGTGGCAAGCTGGTCAGTGATTCTGAAACCCAGCTGTGCCCCATGTCCCCAGGGGATCCAAGCACAGATTCTCAGACCACCTCATGCCTATTGGTTTAGAATCTCTAAGGGTGTGCTCAGGAGTCAGTATTTTTGTTGTTGTTTTAGAGACAGTGTCTTTCTCTGTCACCCAGGCTAGAGTGCAGTGCATAATCATGGTTCACTGCAGCCTTGAACTTCTGGGCTGAAGTGATCTTTCTGCCTCCGCCTTCCAAGTAGCTAGGACTACAGACACTGGCTACCATGCCAAGCTAATGTGTTTTTAGTTTTTGTAGAGATGAAATCTCACTATGTTTCTCAGGCTGGTCTGAAACTGGCCTCAGGCGATCCTCCTGCCTGGGCCTCCCAAAGCGCTGGGACTACAGGCGAGATCCACTGCACCTGGCTAGGAGTTAGCATTGTTATCAATCTCCCAGGTGATACCGTCAGCTGTAAGGATGTGCTTTTGGGACTCTCCAATAGCGCAGGTTCCACATGGACAGGGAGGATGCTCTGCTCTCCTGAGTGTCTTAGTAGCGTGGTAGAAATCACCCCTCAAAGGGGACATCTTTGAGTGAAAGCGTCCTCAGCTGCCATGCTCTGCCCTGTCAGGCGTGAGAGCGCTGTGAAGCAGGCATTGGGAATTTGCTTCTCAGGGGCTAGGGAAGTGGCACCTTGAAGGCCTGCAACACCCGATTGGGCCAAAGGAGGAGTAGAAAGAATGGGAGGGCCTGTATAGCAAAGCCCCACAGACAGAAATGTGTGTCCTCACAGTTCTAGAGGCTGGAAGTCCAAGATCAAGGCAGGCAGGGTTAGTTTCTCCCGAGGCCTCTCTCCGTGGCTCGTAGATGGCTGTCTTCATCTGATGTTTTCATGTGGTCTTCCATCTCTGTGTGTCTGTCCCTTAATCTGTTCTTCTAAGGATACCAGTCTTATTGCATTAGGGCCACCCTGGTGACCTCATTTAACCTTCCTTACCTCTTTAATGGCTCTGTCTCCCAACACAGTCACATCCTGAGGTCCTAGAGGTCAGGACTTCAACACATGAATTTTGGGGGGACCCAATGCAGCTCCTAGCAGGGGCACACAGGGCAGAGTGGAGAAGGGGAAGGGACGTGAGGCTGAAGGGAGAGGTGGGACAATGTCACACCTGCTCCTTCTGCTCCACGCTTTTCCCAGGCCGGCCTGGCCTCTCCGCTCTGCACCAGCCTCTGAGGAATCACCACCACCACCGCACTTGGGAGATGGAATGCGATTTTCCAAAGCCCTTTCCTAGTTCTTACTTTACTTATTCTTTACAACCATCCTATAAGACAGGCCAGCAGGGCAGGGGAGGGATCTAGTGTTATTTTGTGGAAAAACAAGAGTGTAAAGAAGTGAGCAGCACATCTGAGAACACCATGGTTGGCACCAGGTTTCATGACCCCCAGAATGGTGTTCTTTCCGTGGCCACACTGAGCACCTGCTACACATAAGATGTGCTTTTCCTTGGCTTCCAGCAACTGGGGGTGCAGTGTCCCAGGAGGGCTAAGAGGTCCAAGTGAGAGCTGCCGAGGGAGTGACAAGGGGTGAGGCAAAGAGATTCCATTGCTTTTTAAAAAAATTATCTCTCGCATTCTATCCTGAAATGGAACTCCTAGGAGACTAAAGCCCATTTTGTGTATTTAGCTAAGTGTTTCTCCTTTTTCTCCCTATTAAAAGCATGGGGCTTGCCTAAGTCATTAAAAATACATGTTCCATTTGCTTTGATGCAGAGGGTGAGAAGATGGAAGAGCCAAGGGGACCAGGCTAGTCATGTCTGGCTGCGCCCCTGGAGCCCCAGAGGCTGATGGCTGAGCTGATAATTAGCAGAAGATCTGGAGGATCCCATTCACTCCACACACACTTAACAAGTGCTCACTATCCTAGCCCCCAAACAAGATATAGCTCTGCTGCCACTTCCTGGAACCTGAGGGGGAGACAGTCAAATAAATGGATGATGACATGATGGTGTAGAAAGGCAAGAAGTGGAGAGATATACATTGAGGCCTTCAATAATGGCCCAATAAAGGGGCCAGGAGACAGGGAGGAGAGGAGGGAGTCGAGGTCTAAGGAAAGAGTGGGGCTGGAGATTAATGGTTGCACCTAGCTAGGTCACACCTCTGTGTGTGTGTGTGTGTGTGTGTGTGTGTGTGCGTGCACAAACATGCATGAGCACACATGAGCATGCACGAGCATGCACTAGCTCTTGTGACGCACAGCACCTGTCCGGGTCCGCATTCTCTGTGTTCCTTGGAGCCCGAGCCATGCAGGTGGAAGCTCTGTGAGATTCACAGAATTTGCAGCCAGGGCTGGCAGTTCTCAGGGGCCTGAATGCTGCAAGTGGCTGATGACCAGTGGGAGAAGATGCGAGGGAGAGAGGCTGCCGCCCTGAGGGAAGGCTGATCGGTGACCACCTATAAGACAAGCTCAACTGCCTAGGAGTTCTCCTGGTGAGTCTCTAGATCTCAGGAAGGGTGGGAAGGAAGGTTAAAGCCTAATCTGCAAAAAACCAGAAACGGGAAGCAAGTGGGCAGACAGTGAGTACAAACCGCAGGAAGACAGCCCATGCTGCTGACAGTGGGGAGGATGTAAGTCAGGGCCAATGACCCTCTTGTCACCCTGTGATTGTACTCTGACTTGGGGACTTCCCAAAGGAGCATCCTTGGACTGCTTAGGCCAGCAGTACGTTCTTATAGACATGACGCGGCTCCACTAGTCACCAGGGATAAAGTCCCCTCCATTACTGGGCCTAGAGGTCACTTTTGGTGCTGCCTGTCCCCCTGCCCAGCTTCCCTAAGATCACTGCTTTCATATCCTGGACACAATCAGCAGCGTTCCTGGAGAAAAGAAAATCCCAGATTGCCTGAGAGTCATGGGTGACATAAATGTTTGGACCCCCTCAGTCAGCTTATAAACTGTTCTGCAAGGCCAAGAGCCAGAACTGCTAGTTTATTTTTAAATCCTTATGCTAATCATGGGGTGATGACAGTTTCTTTTTTTCTTTTCATTCTAGAGACAAGATGTTGCTGTGCCATCCAGGCTGGAGTGCAGTGGTGCAATCACTGCTCACTGCAGTCTGGAACTCTTGGGCTCAACGGATCCTCCCACCTCAGCCTCCTGAGCTGGGACTACAGGTGTGCACCACCACATCTGGCTAATGTGTTTTTTGTTTTTTTTGTGTGTTTTTTTTTAATAGAGATAGAGTCTCCCTACGTTGTCCAGGCTGGTCTCTAGCTCCTGGCCTCGAGTGATCCTCCCACCTTAGCCTCCCAAAGTGCTGGGATTACAGGCATGAGCCACTGCACCCGCACCTGGCCTTACAGTTTCTTTCTTTCTTTCTTCTAACCAGGCTCCCAGAAATAGCGTTGGATCCTTGAGACAGCCCATCACCCTAACACCAATTTCCTTAGCTCATAGGATTGAAAGGAGCAATGGCCCAGAGAAGAGAAAAGCAGATGGGGCGGAAGGGCTGCTTCTACAGGAGCCGCCCGGGAGGCTCCAGGCTCATAATTTAGTGAGAAGGCGAGTCCCCTTGCTCATCAGTACCTCCCTCCCCGAGGCGGGCACTGGGCCTACAGAGCTTCAACCTTTCCATCCTCCCAGCATTGGATGGGGGCGTCAGAGGAGGCTGGAGAAGCAGGGAGGTGTCCTCCCCTGAGCTGGCCGGGGCCCAGCGGCTGCCCAGGGCCGGGGGTCCACATGTCAGGGAAGGGCCTGTAGGCCCGGAGTGGGGTTCAGTGGGGGAGCCTGGACTGGCTGCAGGGGCGGCAGTGCAAGCCTGGCTGGCGGCCAGCAGACAGCTTTGTTTTTCCGTGGCAGTTTGCTTGTGATACTTCTTTCCTGAGACGCCAGCTGACAGGGGGAGGGGAGAGGAGACAGGCGTTAAAAGGGACAGGCTATGGCCACCTCTGAGAGTGGGAGCCAGTGCTTGGCAAAGCTGCAGGGTAGGGGCTGTCCTGCCACCCCCGCTCTGTCTCTTCTTGCATCCGCCCTTCAGATCTCGTGGCCAGGGCAGCAGATGTCTTGCTGGAGTCTCCATTGAGACTCCCCTCCCCAGACCGGCCTCCCCTCTCCCCTGAAGCCCAGCCGGGCTGAGAGGTGGCCTGCCAGCTGTTAGGCTCCCGCGGGCACTGGCCCGGCCCTGCTGTGTGTGTGCCAGGCGCCAGGTGCCAGGCAGGGGGTGCCGGCCGTGGAGCTTGTGGTGGAGGGGCTGGGTGTGCAGGGCTGGGTGCCAGGGGTGTTAGGGAAAAGGGGCTGCTCAAGGAGCTGCAGGTTTTTGGGACAAAGAGCAGAAGCCGCTTCTAGATTCAGGTCTGGAGTGTCCAGATTTCCTATTGACAGCTCAAAAATGAACAAAACATCAGGCTGATGGGATAGAGTCTTGCCCTGAACCTGGGATTCACATAAATCAGTTTTCCCTTGGAAAAATGGTCTCCCACTGTGGTCTCTTTTCCAGGCATCACAGACTTTCCCAGGGCAAGGGGACGTCAGCAGAGGAGCATAAATGCCAGGAGACATTTCTCAGACTATTCTGGCAAAACCTCCCCTGAAGCGAGCCCCGACTTCTGCTGGGAGCCCTAGGAGAGGTGATGGGTTCAGCTAAATAAGTGGCCAGGACCTTCCCCAGCTTCGGGCCTTATCTGGGACTGCCCACCGCCCTTGGACCCGCCTCAGAAGCCATTCAGACACCTTCACCGCAGTGGGGAGAGCAGCTGCTGGCTATGAGGTCACCATGGTGACTGTTGACAGCCGGCATCCTCAGGCCTGGCCTGGCACGGCCCCGGGGAGCAGAGGGGCTGTAGGCCACAGCCCGCCCACCTGCTGCCTCGGGGCAGCCTGTGAGCATCGATCTCCCCCTGGCAGTACCAGTTCAAAAGCAGGGCTCCAAGCGGAGGCAAATGCTGTCAAAGTGCCCCTCCAGGAGAGCTCTAAGGCATTACAGACTTAAACTATTGTCATTATAAATAAAATCGAACTCATTACTCATGAGATAATAAAAATTATGATGTTAGAAAAATCCTGGCCTAGTCAAAATATCCTAATTCTCCACCT
Organism: Homo sapiens; assembly: GCF_000001405.40. Classification (NCBI taxonomy): domain Eukaryota; kingdom Metazoa; phylum Chordata; class Mammalia; order Primates; family Hominidae; genus Homo; species Homo sapiens. The sequence continues at coordinate 31,749,144 of NC_000010.11, read as the reverse complement.
GAATGTCCCCAGAACTTGTGACTCACACCTTTATCCAGTCTTTCTGATATCTTGCTGAAATCTGTTTTAAGATTATTTACTTCTATTTCTCTGAGGTGCAGGATGACCAATAACCTTGCTTCTCAAAAATCTTCAGCTATTTTAAGGCGAATTAAGCCTTCTCTTCTTTAAGCTACAGCAACTTCAATTACTTTAGCTAGTGCTTTTGTTTTTTTTCTTCTGAGACAGAGTTTTACTCTTTGTTGCCCAGGCTGGAGTGCAGTGGTGTGATCTCCACTCACTGCAACCTCTGCCTCTCGGGTTCAAGCAATTCACCTGTCTCAGCCTCCCGAGTAGCTGGAATTACAGGCGCACGCCACCACGCCCGGCTAATTTTTGTATTTTTAGTAGAGATGGGGTTTTACCATGTTGGCCAGGCTGGTCTCAAACTCCTGACCTCAGGTGATCCGCCTGTCTTGGCCTCCCAAAGTGCTGGGATTACAGGCACGAGCCACCATGCCCGGCCTAGCTAGTGCTTTTTAATGACCAAACATCTTTTTATTTTATGTTTTAATGACCGTGGTATATCTGCTCAATACATTAATTTCAATCGACTTATTCTGCTCTTAGAAGTCCACTTGCCAATAAAGACAAGGGAAAAGGAAAAAAGAATTTGAGGAAAGCATAGGAAAGTTATATGACCATTTATCAAGATGAGAGGACCAGCAGCCAATTTTTAAAAAAATGTGTTACTTTTAATGGTTTTTTTTTTAGAGCAATTTTTTATCTCTTTTAATCATCTCTATTGCCCATCTCTGAATCCCTTCCAGTTTTCAATGTTTTTAAGAACGATGTGGCTGGGCACAGTGGCTCACGCCTGTAAACCCAGTGCTTTGGGAGGCCAAGGCAGGTGGATCACCTGAGATCGGGAGTTCGAGACCAGCCTGACCAACATGGAGAAATCCCGTCTCTACTAAAAATACCAAATTAGCCGGGCATGGTGGTGCATGCCTGTAGTCCCAGCTACTTGGGAGGCTGAGGCAGGAGAATTGCTTGAACCTGGGATGCAGAGGTTGCAGTGAGCCGGGATCGCGCCAGCCTGGGCAACAAAAGCGAAACTCCGTTTCAAAAAAAAAAAAAAAAAAAAGGGATGTTAAGCAAAACGACCCATTATTCTAATCAGGGTTTGAGTTGCTACATTGTATCAGAGAAGAACTACTTTCCAATCTCTGTAAGTCACACAAGTATACTTTGTTATAGTCCAGTTATCAGCTCACTTTGTTTCTTTGCTTCTAACAACACTAACTTGATATTTCATATTGAGGTTGTGGTCAGCCAGGGCCCCTGAATTTTTGTTTTTGTTTTCTGTTTTCTATGCCAGTGCCTGACTATCAAGTATCTTGATATTAGTATGGGCTCCCTGCCATTTCATTTAGAACTTTGTAATTGAGGCATAATAAACATGTATATAAGATAACACGTAATTATACAACTTGATACGTTTTCACAAGAAGAAAATGTCTGTGTAACCACCATTCAGATTAAGCAACTTTATATTATCAACAGCCCAGAAGCCCCTCTGCTGTCCTCCTTTACCATCCTTGCCCCACCCTGAGGAGGTTAACCACTATCCCGATTGCTAACACCATAGATTAATTTTGCATATTTTTCTTCTTTAAAATAATTCAATCACATAGTGTGTACTATTTAGTGTCTGGTTCATTCACATTGCCATTCATTTCTACTTTCTTTTCTTATACTTAGCCTTTTCATAAGCAGGCCTAGAAGGATCTAGGGGTCTGAGAACCAAGGTGTTTCAACTCCAGACCCATCTGTTTTGACTATGGCTAAGTAGCACAGTACCTATGACATGCCAGATCTCTGAATTAGAATTTTACTTGAACCATTTACTGGTTATGTTGTTCCTTTCACCCTTTGAAATCAACTACCTCCATCCTAGGTCAATTCATATTCTTATATCAGGGTAACCTTAGAAGAGTGTGTGTGTGTGTGTGTGTGTGTGTGTGTGTGTGTGTCACTGCTTTAGCCCCATGGGAAATTATTTCTGCTATTATGAGGGAAATGATTGTTGAGAGTTGTGGTTATGTTAGGGAAGTCTTTATTTCAGGTGTTCAATTCAGCATTTAATTCCTAGTTGTCGTTGCTGCCAATACGTTATAGGAGTGGCAGGTCTCAGAGGCAGGGGAATTATGTGTGTGCAATGCCTCAGAGCAGTGTTTCCTGACCTTTTCCGTAAGTGCCACGGTAAAACATGATCATATTTATATGGCAAACTGGCATAAGTGGAAGAGATATTTTTGTAGTAGTAGCTGATAACACATAAGACAATGTTCTACAGCTACTCAAATCTTTATATTTATGTATTTACTTATAGATAAATATTATATGTAACATAATAGAAGTATATTATATGTAACATATATATGTATATTATATATACATATACATATAATATTATATGTAACATAATAGAAGTGTATTCAAATATATTTGCAAATATAGTTAACAGATATTTGTATTTAAGGAATGCAAGCTTTTTCTTTTCTTTGTGTCATATGCAATGTTGGACTTTTGTGTGCATGCCTACATGAATAGAATTTCAAATCCAAACTAATTTATTTTGCATCAATTATTTCAGAATAAAGAAGTTCTCGTTTTCAGAATACACACACATTGTTAGAGCGGTGCTTCAGCAACTATCTTGGATGTCACCAAAGGGGCACATCACTCAAAATCACAACAGAAATCTCCCATCTGTGTGAAGACAGAGGTAGAGCTGGGCCTGCCAGAAGCCCCTGCCTGCTCCTGACTGGTCTTTGGGCTGTGGGCCATGCTCCCTGGGCACGTGGAACACAAGGTCCTCTAGCTGCTTGTGGGCTTCTTGTCCATGTACAGCAGCTGCAGACTTTGTGGCTGGCTGCTGAAGCCCATGGCCAGGTGGCGGAGGCAGAGCAACAGGTGGGGGCGGCTGCACATGGTGCGTGCCGCCTGCAGGACCCTGGACCATGCCTGCAGACCCCATGCTCCCTGGCTGCCCTCCCAGGAGCATTAAGTGAGGCTCCCCCAGCTGCTCGAGGCCCTGCTCAGCTGCCCTGAAGGATGAGGGGATCATCTTGCATGGCATGCCTGCAACTCATTTGCAGCTTTCTAGTTTGCTCACCATTCAAAACTTTGCTCCTAAGATGCTTTAGTGACTGAGACCAAATGCTCTAGAACCTTCCATGAAGCAAGCTCATATGTGCGCCAGTTGAGACTAGGAGAGCTTTGTTGGATGACTTCCTGATTATCTAGTCAGAAGGCTGATGAAAAGGTGTCTGTATGAGTGTGGGGCTAAAGACATTTACACAGGATGCAGAAAGGTGACTCAGAGATCCAGGAAATATGAATCAGGCCTGCTGAGAACCCGTGAGGATTGGCAGTAGTCTGAGAGAAGAGTTTCATTCTAAATTCAGCTGGACCACGTCAGGCTGTATCAGAGAGGTTTGTCATAGGCAATTCAAATACAGCAACTGAGAAGAGTTTTTAAAACATTTAATTCTGTTTTTTAGAGACAAGGTCTTGCTCTGTTGCTCAGGCTGGAGTGCAGTGGTGTGATCATAGCTCATTGCACCCCTCAAACTCCTGGACTCAAGAGATCCTCCTGCCTCAGCCTCCCAAGTAGCTGGGACTCCAGGTGTGTACCACCATGCCCAGCTAATTTTTAAGTTTTTTGGTAGAGAAGGGGTCTTGCTGCATTGCCCAGGCTGGTCTTGAACTCCTTACCTCAAGTGATCCATCTAGCTCGGCCTCCCAAAGTGCTGGGATTACAGGCATGAACCACCATGCCTGGCCCAGCAGAGTTTAATAAAGAAATTATTGACAAGAGTTTACAGAGTTAAGAAAAGTCAAAAATAGTTAAGGAAACACCACAGGAGGAGGGAGCCATTATTCCCTCTAGGCTTGAAGAGAAGGAGCAAGGGGAGGGAGCAGGTATCAGAACCTGGGGAAAGAAACCCTGTGAGGTGGGAGCTGTAATCTTTGGTACAGTGTTGAGGCCACTGGCAACCTCCAATCCAGTGGGAAGGAGCAGGTGGAAAAAATGCTACAACTCACTCTCCTCCTGCCTCCAGTCTCCTGCCAGTGCCTTCCTCTGGCTAAACCCACGTAGCTGCTGAAGACCATGGCACCCATTGGTGCAGTCCACAAAGGCCTGCCTGTGGGACATAGAGTAGAGAGTGGAAAAAAGAGACACCCTGCACTTCACCATCCACAGAATGATGGCAGGTCGCTAACATCATGCTCTCATCTCAAATCTAAAGTGTTAGCCATGATGCTCTTCATGGGAGGTTTTGGGGTGAAAGTGAAGAAAGAACATCAAGTAATTAACATAGAAGCTGCTACATGCTATACCTGCTTCTGAGGCCCAAGTTAGTAATAGTGGCTTCGTCCCCTTACTGCCTATTACCTATTTTCCTATTCTCTGATAGTGCCTCAACCGAGCTGGGTTCGTTATCTTTATTCCTTCACGATCAGCATCCTTGGTGGTCCTGTTGTTATTGGGTTGCCTCGATTTTCCACTGAACAGTGAATTAAGAGAATACTAAGCACTGGCCTGTAAATTCCTGGACTCTGCATAAAGTCTTCCCTGCCCTCATTGTATAGTGAGTGGCAAGCAAATTCCTCCTTTGTAATCATATCAGATACCTTGGCCAGCAGTGCGAGCCCCATTTCTGCCTGTTGGATCAGTAGAAAGAGAGCCTGAAATGGTTAGAAGGCAGTCTCAGCTTCCCATTTAACAGAACCTTGGTTGTGTTCCCTTGTTCTTCCCTTGTGCACAAAGACCTGCAAACCCACTGAGCTCAAGTTTGCAAGGATCAGAAGCAAACACCTCCTAAGAGGATGCAACAGGTTTGGTGTAGTGGCTTATGCCTGTAATCCCAGCACTTTGGGAGGCTGAGGCAGGAGAATCACTTGATGCCAGGAGTTTGAGACCAGCCAGGGCAATGTGGCAAGACCTCCCATCTCTACAAAACATACAGAAAATTAGTCGGGTGTGGTGGTGTGTGCCTATAGTCCCAGGTACCTGGGAGGCTGAGGTGGGAGGATCACCTGGGCCTGGGAAGTTGAGGTTGCAGTGAGCTGTGATCGTGCCACTGCACCACTGCATTCCAGTCTGGGTGACACAGTGAGACTCTGTCTCAAAAAATAAAAAATAAAAATAAACCCTGTGCTGCACCTTTTTTTTTAATCTTAAGATGAGTTTTCTGATCACAGGCAATGTGATCTATAGTGATGAATAGGGCATTCTATAGGGACAGTGTTGGTAGAGTGTTATGAACAGGGAAACCAAAAACATGTAGAATATAGATCTATTCATATAAGGACCCATCACTGCCATACCATGTTGGATGGGATTTACTATTAGCAATCTGCCACCAGATTGATGGTGACTTCAGCTCAGCGAATAATACAGACCAACCCTGACTTAGGATGGTTCAACTTACTGACTTTTACAATGGTGCAAAAGTGACACACATTCAGTAGGATCTGTACTTCAATTTTTGAATTTTGATCTTTTCCTGGGCTAGCAATATGTGGTACAATACTCTCTTGTGATGTTGGGCAGAGGCAGCAGCAGCAGCTCCTGGTCAGCCAGGTGATCACAAGGGTCAACAACCAACACTCTACAGTGCCCTGTGTGGCCAGATGACTTTGCCCAATGACAAGCCAATGTAAGTGTTCTGAGCATGGTTAAGGTGGGCTAGCCTATACTATGATGTTTGGTAGGTTAGGTGTATTAAACACATTTTCAACTTAAGATATTTTCAACTTGCAATGGGCATATGGGGACACAACCAGGTCGTATGTCTAGGAGCATTGATGCCATATGGGGAACTCAGCACTGACTTCTGTTATTGGCTGCACATTGTTAAGACAATCACAGTCTTCATCCCAGAGAAGAGGTGGAACAAGCCACCTCGTACATGGTCTCAATGATTAAGTCCAGGGATGCCCTCTGGTAGGCACTCATGTAGGACACAAATGTCTTCACAATCTGTGTCTAGATAGTGAAGTCTACCCAGACACCCTTCCCCAGAACTCCTTGTCACCAATATTCCAGTCTTGTTCTTCAGTCCTTGACCAGTTGGCCATCCCATTAGCGTCTGCTCATGATTCTGTGTAAATCTGTACTCCAGACCATTTCTCATTCCATTTGAAGTGAATAATCTGATATCCTTCCCAGAATGCTGCCTACTGGGATGATTTTCCTTCACTACTCGCTTTCACAGCCACAGCTGAATAGGAATACAGTGACACTGGCCATCTGCTCCTGGCTGATGCTGTGTGTCTTTAAACTGGGCCTGGGGTTTCTCTTCATTAATTAGTCATAGGGGATTCCTACAAAGCCGAAAATATAAGTTGTGAGAGAGGCAAGTAGGTAATAGGGGCAGGTTCCAAGAGTCTGAGCTATCTGCTTGAATTAGGTTTTCCAAGAAATGAAAGCAACAGGACATGCATATATACAGAAGGATCTATTGTAAGGAATTGGCTCACTCAATTGTGAAGGCTTGGTGAGTCCAAAATGTGATGGTGGTAGGTCAGCGGACTCAGGAAAAGGTTGCAGTTTGAGTCCAAAGACAGTCTGCTGGTGAATCCCCACTTGCTTGGGAAAGGTCAGCCTTTTGTTCTATTCAGGCCTTCAACTGCTTGGATGAGGCCCACCCACATTATAGAGGGCAATCTGCTTTACTAAATCAATGGATTCAAACTTAATTCTCATCCAAAAACACCCTCACATAAACATCTGGAATAATATTTGACTAAATATCTAGGCACTGTGGCCCAGTCAAGTTGACATATAAAATTAGTCAGCATACTGCTTATGCAATTTATTTGGGGCTGATTTTGTAGGTGAGATAATACTCAGGTCATGATGGGTGGCCCTGGTCACATAGTCGCTTGCTGTCCTGTGACCAGGGAGGAATTCACTGTCTGCCAGAGCCTAGTGGCAAGCAAGAAGCTGCTTTGCAAATATCAGCAAAAGAGGCCTTACACCCATAGCCTTGGGATCTGCATGTTTATTTTGCTAGAGTCCTCCAGGGGATACTGATTATATTTTATATAGGTGTATTAGTCAGTTCTTACACTGCTGTAGAGACATATCTGAGACTGGGTAATTTATGAGGAAAAGAGGTTTAATTGACTCACAGTTCTACGAGCTGTATAAGAAGCATGGTTGGGGAAGCCTCAGGAAACTTACAATCATGGCAGAAGGGTGAAGGGGAAGAAAGCACCTTCTTCACATGGTGGCAGGCAAGAGAAAGAGCCCAGGGAAAAGTGCTACATACTTTAAATCAACCAGATATCATGAAAGCTCACTCACTATCATGAGAACAGCAAGGGGAAAATCCATCCCTATGATCTAATCACCTCCCAGCAGGTCCCTCCCACAACACTGAGAATTATAAATTGACATGAGATTTGGGTGGGGACACACAGCCAAACCATATCAATAGGCTGCATAAAAATGCTTCCTCTACCACTGGGTCTGCTTATTCATAGACATCAAGAGGCAGAGAAGCTTGCACCATAACCAGAGAATATTTTGGTCTCATGTCCCTCATAACTGGCAGCTTAAATGCTCAGAGATGCATACCCAAGAATGGCATATGTTATCTCTAAAACCCACAGGTCTACCAAAAGTTGTATCTTTTTTTTTTGTGGTAGGAAGAATAAGATGTAACAATTTGTCACTCACTCTTAACATCTGCCAGGCTCCAGAATCCCTAGTAACTTCACAATATGGAAACCCCTACACTTTAATGGGATTTATCTCCCATCTCCTGCATGCATGTATCTTACTAGGCCATCTAAAATACTTGCCACTTCTTGTTCACCAGGTCCAATTAACACAATGTCACCAGTGAAATAGTGATGTTCTGTAAGAGATCAAGATTTCAAGTTCTTGTGGACTATATCACAATAGAAAGCAGATCATTGATACAGCCCTGATATAAAGCCTAGGGTGAATGTGTACTCTTGTCCTTGCCATGTGAAGACAACCAGCTTCACTGGTGGAATTGGAAAAAAATCATTTTCTAGGACTATAGCTGTGTCCCAGGTGCCAGGGGCATTTTTGATTTGCTGTAGTAAAAATACTCATTTGAAACTGCAATTACAATTGGCATCACCAATGTGACTAAATTTTCTATAATCTACAGTAATTCTCTATGATCTAGCTGGCTTTTGTGCCAGCCAAACATATGAGTTAAATATTAATGTGGTAAGAATCACCACTCCTGCATCTTTTAAGCATTTGATGACTGCATTAATCTTTGTAATTCCACCATGGTTATGATATTTCTTTGGATTTACTGTCTTTGCAGTGTGGGAGGGGACAGTTCCACTTGGAAGTGAGCAGCTCCTACGTGGCCCCTCCTACCATTCCAGATAAAATTGTGCTTAATATATCTATTACTATCACACATTCTGGGCCTAGAAACATAGCTGCAGTGTACATCCTCAGTCCTATTGGACCCATTTTAAGACAGACTTGGGCCACTATTCCATTTATCACCTGGTCTCCATGAGCTCACTGTGACTTGTGGACTACAGTGGCAATTTGAGACTCTGGTGGTTAGCATGAGTTCAGAAACAGCGTATAATAGTCCCTGGAAGGTCTAGATATTTCCCCTTCTCACTCTGCTGAATGACCTCCAGTCTCTCTGGAGGATTGGAGAAAGATTCACAGTATATACCTACGGCCACATTGCAGGGCACTTGTCCAAAGACACTGTTCCTCTCTCTCCCAAAGTCAAGAGATTCTGGATCTCTGGGTTTTGGGGTCTGAACACTGGGTAAATTCCCACTATGATTCTGCCCACCAGACTCAGAATTTTTCTGCTAACATACGTCAAGCAGCACCCTAATGGTCTACATATGTATTGCAATCCTAGGGACCCCATGATTAGTTAGCCAGTGCCCCAGATCCCTATAGGATAAAATGCTCCAATTACCACATCAGTTCTGCAGCTCATTAGGGTAATTGTGTCCCATGTGCCTATGAGACATCTGGCCTCTACTACTCTGGGATTCCATTTTTTTTCCCATTATAATCAAGAAACCTAATTCCATTGCAGCCTCTCCCAGTGTCATTTCCTGCTTACAGAAAACAGCCAAGAAGTGCTTTTCCAGGATGCCTGTGAACATTTCACTAATGGAATTCTTATGGCCTTTGAAGGGAGTGTCCTCTGGCCCTCCTGGGGAGTGTGGTTAAGGCGTAGTTAAGAATGCTGCACAGAATAGATCCTCTCCAACATTCCCAACTTCCTAAGCCTTCAGTTTCCTTTTCTTCAGAATGCTAGAAAAGTCCTCATTAACTGCCAGCCACTGTTGAATGAGACTTCTGCTAGCCAACATAGCTATGAAGGCCACTTCCAGGTGCTCAAGCCAGCACAGTAAATCTTGAGTCTTGAGCGAATCCACCCATATCATTACATTCTCCTTGATCAAGTTTTGCATTTCATCCTTCTCCATGTAATACCCTTAGGACCCCCTTCCATACATGCTCTGCACACTCCTGCCAATTTTCCTGCAACTCTTCTGATGTACAGACTCAGCTTTGTCCTTCTCCATCTGGGATATACTGGGATGTAGCTCTCACTATGGGTCTGGAGGCAATGAGGGGTGTGGAAGTGGGTCCTGTGGTTACTTAGGAGTCACATCTGTGTCTGCTTAAATGTCTTGATCTGGGAATCAGCGTCCTAGCTGTAAACCAAAAATAAAATTTCAGACCTCCTGACCATCTAAATGGACCCCTCGTCTAGACCAAGGGCATTCCAAAGTTAACTTGAAAAACTAATTCAGGCCATGATACAAAGTGGGGGTCAGGCATGCCTGATTATACCCTCTCCCTTTGGAATTCAGGCACAGCTGACCAGCATTAATATTAAAATAGATACCTTAAGACAGACAGAATAGACTTTAAGTCTGATAAAAAACAAAAACAAAAACATTCTCTTCTATTGATTCTAGGTCTTTAAACAATGGCCTAACTCTTTCAACAAATTGCCAGTCAGAAAATCTTTGAATCTACCTATGACCTGGAAGCCCTCGCTTTGAGTTATCCTGCTTTTTCAGACTGAACCAATGTACATCTTACATGTGTTGATTGATGTCTTATGTCTTCCTAAAATGTATAAAACAAAGCTGTAGCTCTACCATCTTGGTTGGGCACATGTCCTCAGGATCCCCTGAGGGCTGTGTCATAGCCATTGGTCACTCATACTTGGCTCAAAATAAATATCTTAAAATATTTTACAGAGTTTGACTCTTTCAATCAACTTACCATTCTCAACCAGAGGAAAGCATAAGAAATCTGGTGGTGTTGAAAATTTAATTGGTGCTGCATGTCTGTCACCTTTATAATCAGTCCCTGGGCTTGAAACTTAGTCATATCTGTCCTACAGGAGATAAGAAATTTCTGTAAATCTACCATCGAGCTGTCCACCCATGTTCTGAGTTAGGCATGCACGAGCTTCAGTGTGTTTGCGTATGGTCTCTAGGGCTGTCAGAAAAGCCATTCCACACCGTAGATCAGTATTATCCATTACCAGCATAGCTAAGCCACTTGTTCTGCCAACATCTTGCTATCCATCTACATTTTTCCAATGCCACTACTGGTGATAATTTGAGTAACTATAGTGCAACTATATTTTATAAATTATCTGCATTCTATGTCCCTCTGGTATGTAAGCAATCCCATCCTAGAATTTCATTTGAGGGTTATTTTCTTCTGGGGCTATTCCTGGTCCCAGTTACTTTGTCAGTCATGGTTGCAGTGGGAAAGGAATGGCACATTGAATTAGCGTAATTAAAGAGGGTTTAACAAACAGATATTTCCTAGTTGTGAGCAGACTTAAGGGAAATCAGTAGGGTATGGCATAGCACCCTTGGGCTGGAAAGAGCTGGGTTGCTTTCTTATGTAGGTCTGAGTGGTTACCAGAGCCTGAAGAGAGAGCTATAGCTGTAGGAAGAGGGCCAGAGAAGAGAACCTCTGGCCTTGGGAAGGGGAATGCTGTTACTGCCAATCTTCAGCTCTACAGGGCAAATCCTCAGCTCTTTAGGGCAAACGAATACCCCTAGCCTCACCCTTTTTCTACCTTTCAGTTGCCTGTCAGTGAGTCCCAGTGGTTGAATCTAACCAGAAGCAACAGGACAAGGGACTGTTGCTACTGTCTGAAAGAGTCAGTCTCCCGTGTCATCCAGAATGGATCTTGAGGAACTGATGGGGAATATTCAGCACAACACCCAATCTTTCAACTTTCTCTAGGTACCAAAGTTACATAAGTTAGGGTAGGAAAAGGAAACAGTCTTTCACCTCCCTCAGAAAGAGAAACATTGCTCAGAAACAGTTATTGCAGTGGTTTCAGCCAAGGTCTTGAGGGCTCCTATAGGTGAAAAAATATCCCAATAATTAAAAATCCTGTGGTTGTAAGGCTTTTGGGGAGTGGGGTCTTCTTTAGGCTCCCTGAAAACTGCTGCTGAGGTAAGGGAATTGATATGCTTTGACTGTGTCCCCACCCAAATCTCATCTTGAATTCTCATGTGTTGTGGGAGGGACCCCCTGGGAGGTAATTGAATCACAGGAGCAAATCTTTCCTGTGCTGTTCTCATGATAGTGAATAAGTCTCACAAGATTTGATGGTTTTCAAAAGAGGAGTTTCTCTGCACAAGTTCTCTTCTCTTGTCTGCCACTATGTGGGATGTGCCTTTGACTTTCCACCATGATTGTGAAGCTTCCCCAGCCATGTGGAACTGTAAGTCAATTAAACTTCCTTCGTTTGTAAATTGCCCCATCTCAGGTATGTCTTTATCAGCAGCATGAAAACTAACAGGTTGGAACAGTTTGGAGGGCTCAGAAGAAGACAGGAAAATGTGGGAAAGTTTGAAACTGCCTAGAGACTTGTTGAATGACTTTGCCCAAAATGCTGATAGCGATATGGACAATAAAGTCCAGGCTCAGGTGGTCTCAGATGGAAATGAGGAGCTTGTTGGGAACTGGAGCAAAGGTGACTCTTGTTATGTTTTAGCAAAGAGATTGGTGGCATTTTGCCCCGCCCTAGGGATTTGTGGAACTTTGAACTTGAGAGAGATGATTTAGGGTATCTGGCAGACCAAGCTTCTAAGCAGCAAAGCACTCAAGAGGTGACTTGGGTGCTGTTAAAGGCATTCAGTTTTATAAGGGAAGCAGAGCATAAAAGTTTAGAAAATTTGCAGCCTGACAGTGCAACAGAAAAGAAAATCCCAATTTCTGAGGGGAAATTGAAGCCAGCTGCAGAAATTTGCATAAGTAACAAGAAACTGAATGTTAATCCCCAAGGCAATGGGGAAAATGTCTCCAAGGCATGTCAGAGGTCTTCAGGGCAGTCCCTCCCATCACAGGTCCAGAGGCCCAGGAGGAAAAAGTGGTTTCGTGGGCCAGGCCCAGGGTCCCCATACTGTGTGCAGCCTAGTGACTTAGTGCCCTGTGTCCCAGCCACTCCAGCTGTGGCTAAAAGGGGCCAATGTGGAGCTCTGGCCATGGCTTCAGAGGGTGCAAGCCTCTAGCCTTGGCAGCTTCCATGTGGTGTTGAGCCAGAGAGTGCACAGAAGTCAAGAATTGAGGTTTGGAAGCCTCCACCTTGATTTCAGAGGATTTATGGAAATGCTTGGATGTCCAGGCAAAAGTTTGTTGCAGGGGCAGGGCTCTCATGGAGAACCTCTGCTAGGGCAGTGCAGAAGAGAAATGTGGGGTTAGAGCCCCTACACAGAGTCCCTACTGGGGCATTGCCTAGTGGAGCTGTGAGAAAAGGCCCGCCATCCTCCAGACCCCAGAATGGTAGATCCACTGACAACATGCACCATGCACCTGGAAAAGGTGCAGACACTCAATGCCAGCCTGTGAAAGTAGCCAGGAGGGAGGCTGTACCCTGTAAAACCACAGGGGCAGAGCTGCCCAAGACCATGGACCCACCTCTTATATCAGCATGACCTGGATGTGAGACATGGAGTCAAAGGAGGTGATTTTAGACCTTTAAAATTTGTCCTGCAGGATTTCAGACTTGCATGGGGCCTGTAGCCCCTTTTTTTTGGCCAATTTCTCACATTTGGAATGGCTGTATTTACCCAATGCCTGTATCCCCATTGTATCTGGGAAGTAACTAACTTGCTTTTGGCTTTACAGGTTCATAGGTGGAAGGGACTTGCCTTGTCTTGGATGATACTTTGGGCTGTGGACTTTTGAGTTAATGCTAAAATAAGTTAAGACTCTGGGGGACTGTTGGGAAGGTATGATTGGTTTTGAAATGTGAGGACATGAGATTTGGGAGGGACCAGGGGTGGAATGATATGGTTTGGCTTTGTCCCCACCCAAATCTCATCTTGAATTCTCATGTGTTGTGGGAGGGACCCAGTGGGAGGTAATGGAATCATAGGGGCAAGTCTTTCCCATGCTGTTCTCATGATAGTGAATAAGTCTCATGAGATCTGATGGTTTTGAAAAGGGGAGTTTCTCTGCAGAAGCTCTCTTCTCTTGTCTGCCACCATGTGAGACATGCCTTTCACCTTCCACCATGATTGTGAGGCCTCCTCAGCCACGTGTAACTGTAAGTTGATTAAATCTCTTTCTTTTGTAAATTGCCTAGTCTCAGGTATGTCTTTATCAGCAGCATGAAAACAGACTAATACAGGAACTAATTTCTCTGACAAATGAGACATTCATTTTAATCTGCTATCATGGTGGATTGCAGTGCATGCAGAGAAATTCTGATGAGGAAGATAATCCTAGAAGTTGAAGCCCACTAAGAGAAGATTAAGAGATACGAAAGGATCCTGAATGTGACTCAAGCCTGGCTCCCACCAGAGCAGATTCATTCCAAGCCATTAGCTTGGTCCTTCTACTAAAACTGGCAGGGAACAGACAGGAGGGAGCAACAAAGACAGAAGTGACTGGAGCTCAGTGGTAGAGGATAGTGACTCTGCAAGTGATCCTGTACTCAAGTCTGATGATGTCCCTGACATCTCCCATTGCTCAGATTGGCAAAGAGGGCCTCTGTGGGGCAGGTATAAAGCTCATAGCTCTCTTTAGAAGATTGAGTACTTAATTCCTTTGTCTTAAGCTTGGGTCCTACTCATCAATACCAGGGCAAGAGAGAACATCAGTTCAGTTTCATGTTACAGGTGGCTGCGTATTTATTAGACTAGACTTTCCTGAGGGTCTATGGGGGGTTAGTGAGATGATAAATCATGCCGCCAAGGTTTGTCCACAGTCATTGTCATATGGGATGCTTTGAGACAGCCAAGATTTAAAAGTAGCAGTCCAGTACTGGAGGTAGCATTTGGGAACAGAGACACCAGTTATCCCACTCCCTCATGATCTTTGTTCTGAAGTCTGCCGGAAGATGATGGAGGCCAGATAGAGCCAAATGCCACTAACTTCCCTTCTTTGTTTCCCATATGCCCCACAAATTAAAACCCAAGAATTTTGAACTTGAGGATGCACTATTATCTGAAGAGTGGAAGGAGAGTTGTAAAGGGGACCAACGAAATGGTTTTCTCCAAGAATGGGACATGGATTGTTTTCAGAAAATGATAATAGAGTTGAACCATATGACTCTCAATCCTTCTGGGAAAAGTCTGAAAAAAAAATCAGTGTCTGAAGTCAAGGCCAGTAAGAATGTAAGAAATGATTGTATAGCTCTTTGGCATCCCCCAGTGTGGCAGTGCTTAAGAAATCAGACAAAATATAGATGTGAATTGTGAACCCAGAAGTATCTGAGACTAGTCTCAATCAATTTAGAAAGCTTATTTTGCCAAAGCTAAGGACACACCAGTCACATAGCCTCAGGAGGTCCTGATGACATGTGCCCAAGGTGGTCAGGGCACAGCTTGGTTTTATACATGTTAGAGATACATGAGACATCAATCAGTATGTGTAAGATGTACATTGGTTCAGCATGGAAAGGCGGGACAACTCAAAGCAGGGTCTTCCAGTCATAGGTGGATGAGAGACAAATGATTGCATTCTTTTGAGTCTTTGATCGGCCTTTCCCTGAATATACAATTTACATGTGAGGGGAGGTAGAGGAATAGTCACGTATGCCTTAGTCTTGCTCAGTGAAGCTGCATTTTTACATAAACAGTAGGGCAGAGGAAGAAATCAGATAGGCATTTGTGACCAGAAGGATGACTTTGAGTTCTGTCCTTTGTCCTGCACCTGTGAAGAAAAGCTATCAATTTACATCGCCAAGGTGAAATTCAACAGAACTGTTTTAGGGTAAAGATCTTGAGGCCCACAAGGAATCTCTCTGTGGGCAAATTTTGAGGGAGGTACGTAGCTTTTATTAATTTTTTATTTTTATTTTTTATCTTGTTGCTATCTTATTTAGGAATAAAATAGGAGGAAACTTTGCCTGACACAGTTCCCAGCTTGACTTTTCCCTGTGACTTAGAGATTTTGGGGTCCTGAGATTTATTTTCCATTTACAGTATACATTATCCTACTCCAAATAGGTGCATAAAAATAAATCAATATGCTATACTTTGATTTCTGGGCACTTGGACCATTAGCTAGGGAGCCTGTGATTGTTCAGTGCTGACCATGCAGAATGAATAGTGTCATATCATGTTGCCAGCAAAGAGGACACTACCCATTTGTGCCATGTGAAAAGATGCCCCAAGCTCTCCCAGAGCTCCTGCTACATTTTGGTGTTGATGGAAAATGTTTAGAGATAACTATCTTCAAGTTTGGGTTGATTTTTACATTTTTCTTCTTTGGGCTAACAACAATTTCTTTATGCTCTGGAATGCCTGGGAAAGTTGGTCCCCATCTGAAGTTGCTCCTTGATACGTGTGATTCTGTCAGTGCCTAGGGAGTGTGTGGGGTACATTGTTTCCTACGGGGAAAAAATGACCTGGAGCAGCAAGTTGGGAACTGAAGAGTGTTCCAGGGCTTCTTCCGAGAACTGAGAATGAGAGGGGAGATAGAGGAAGAGGGCCTGGGGATGGAAAGGGGGAGGTGAGAGCCATGAGCCTGGAGAGACAGGTGGGAGCAACCATGTTAAGGTTTTGGACATTATTCTGAGAGCAGTTGGGAGCATGTTGAAGCAACTTAAGAGGCATATGTGTGTGGGAATACAGGAAAAGACATGGTCAAATTTGTAGTTTGGAAAGACCACTCTGATTTGCAGTGTGGAGATTGGATGGAAGGAATCAGTACTAGAGGCAGGAGGACCAGCTGGGAGACAGATGCCTTGATTATAGCCTGAGCATTGTTGAGGATGAGCATGGTTTGAACTAGAGCAGTGGCACTGGGAGTGGAGAAAACAGGGTGGAACGTAGAATTATTCAAGGAGTAAAATGGGCAAGTCTAAGTAATCACTTGGATGTGAGGAAAAAGGAATGGGCAGTCAAGGATGGTTCCAAAGTTTGCAGCTTGAGCATTTGGTAGATGACATGACTCCCTGAAATAAATACCTGTCGCTATAGTTTGAATGTTTGTTCCCCTAAGCCTCATGTTGAACTGTGATTCCCAGTGTTGGGGTGGAGTCTGGTGGGAGGTGTTTTGGTCACAGAGGCAGATTCCTCATGAATGGCTTGGTGACCTCCCAGTAGTAATGAGTGAGTTCTCACTCTCTTAGCTTCCACAAGAGCAGGTTGTTAAAAAAACACACACACACACACACACACACAAATAAAAACCTGGCATCTCCCTTTTCTCTCTTGCTTCCTCTCTCACTATGTGATCTCTGCACATGCTAGCTCCCCTTTAGCTTCTGCCATGAGTAGAAGCAGCTTGAGGTCATCACAAGAAGCCAGGAAGATGTTGGTGTCATGCTTGTGCAGCTTGCAGATCCATGAGCCAAATAAACCTTTTTTCTTTATAAATTAACCAGCCTCAGGTATTCCTTTATAGCAATACTAAATGGACTAAGACACTTGTGGAGAAACTGGTTTAATGGGTACAACTGAGGTTGGGTCTGTTGACGTCTTGGTATCTGTAGGAGTCAAGTGGAGATGACCATTTAGCAGTTGTATACACATGTCTGAAGCTTAAGAGAGAGATGTATATTGGAGGTGGAGATTTGAGAGTCATCAGTATATGGCTAGTGCCTGACATCCTGAGAGTAGATAAACTTCTGAGAAACTGGAGTAAGAACAGATCAAAACCTGTCAATCCCTAATGCATGCTTTCTATGCTCCAGTCACAGCTGATGACAGGTCATTACCCAATCTGTTGTACAATTTCCCAGCTCCACACCTTGGCTCCTGGTGCTCCCGCTGCTAAGACACAATATCCTCTTTTTCCTTCCTGTAAAATCCTAACCTCTTGATGCTCTACTCCATTATCATTTCATTGAAGACACCCTCCTAGAGCCTCCCCACTCCTCATCTGAACCCCCACAGCACAGAACACCCAATCGCTGTTTATTAAAGTTGAGATGCATCTGCCTCCGCTTCCAGACTGTGTGCTCTAGGGTAGGAATGTGCTCCCATCCATGTCACACCCCCAGTGCCTTGTTCTGTGCTACCTCACACCTTCACACATGCTGTTCTCTGCCCGGAGGTCTGTCTCTTCTCCTTCCCATACTTCCCTTCACTCACCTGATGAATGAAGAGTAGCCAAATAGAGGGACAGATCCTGGAACAGATAAACAGAGTCTGGCATGCCATGTGATGCAGTTTAGGCTTGATTCTGTAGGCAATGAGGAGCCATGGAAGGTTTTAGAGCACAAGGGTGGCATATGAGAGGATTGTGGTGGCTATGAGTTTCTAGAACTCTTTCCTGTATTTGTTGCTTAATCAACAAGGATAGCAACAACTATAGGAAAGGGTTCTACAGCCTCACAGTTGTATTCCTGTGATGATTCTGAATAGATTTCAGTTATGAATCTGGGAGTCAAGGAGTAAAATGGGCAGGTCTAAGTAATCACTTGGATGTGAGGAAAAAGGAATCGGCACTCAAGGATGCTTCCAAAGTTTGCAACTTGAGCATTTGGTAGATGACACAACTCCCTGAAATAAATACCTGTTGCTATAGTTTGAATGTTTGTTCTGCCAAACCCTAGCACCTACTGGTTACCAAGCTCTCAGCTTTCCAGGGCATCATAGTGACAGGTGACATAGTGACAGGTGACCATGAGGACATGGTCCCGCTGATCCTCACCACTGACAGCAAGAGGGACTTTCTGGCCAGGGAGAGGTTGCAGGGTCATCTGGCCTGGGCTCCAGGGGAAAACCAACCTGTGATCCATGTGCTCATCAGGGTATCGAAAACCTAGGGGACTCCCACCACACATCACCCTGGAAATCTTCAAGATCTGTCTCAAGAAGTTACATCAAAATTGATAGAGCACAGTTCCTGGGTTTTTTTTAACCATCTATGAAAGACATTTAGGGGGGAAATTAGGGAAATTTGAATATGAACATATATGATGTCCAAAAATTGTTGTTGGTTTCGTTAAGTCTGATAATTTATTGTGGATGGTAGGAAAATGTCTTTATTTTATAGACATGGTTTTTAAAATGTCATGGTGTCTGTAATACACTTTAAAATGGTCAGCTAAGAAGGAAAATATACAGAGATATACAGACACAACAAATATGACAAAAAGCTAGCAGTTTTAAAATCTAAGCACTGAGTATATGGATGATTATTGATGTAGTCTTTTCCTGTCTGTTTGAAATTTTTTGGAATAAACAGTTAAAAACATGATAAGGGAGCTGTAGTTTCTCATTTCCTTAAAGAAGTAGAAGCTGATGGGAGCATCCAACAGCTAAGCACCTGTTAGGTGGTGTGCTCTTCTCCGAGTGGGATCACTAGACCAGCCCATGTCAAAATTACTAGGAAGCTCAACAGAATGCAGATTCCTGAGCACCACCAGGGCCCCCTCGCATCAGATTTTCTTGTGGGTAAGGTACGAGCATCTACATATTTAACAGATTCTTTTGGTGAGAATCATAGTTGTAGTAAGCTATCCACACAGCTAAGGGTCAACAGTGAGACAATTTGATTCTGTTTGCCACTAAATAGCTGTGTGACCTTGGAAAATTTACTTAACTTCTGAGAGCCTCCATGGTGTTGTATGTAAAGTAATGACATTTCATAAAGCCAACTTCCCTACCTCAGTGGTAGGTTTAATTTCACATTACATGTTTCTATTTATTTATTAGAGACAGAGTCTCTTTCTGTTGCCCAAGCTGCAGTGCAGTGGTGCAATCATAGCTCACTGCAGCCTTGAATGCCTGGACTCAAGGGATCCTCCTGCCACAGCCTCCTGAGTAGTTGGGACTAAAGGTATGCACCACTACTCCTAGCTTGGTTTTTTTTTTTTTTTTTTTTTTTTTTTTAATTTTTTGTAGAGACAGGGTCTTGCTATGTTGCCCAGTTATAGTTGCCCACTGTAGCAATATAGTATGTTGCTCCATAGTTATAGTTTCCTAAGTGCTGCCTGTTTCCTAAGTGCTCTGCAAAGTGCTACGCAGGTATAAGGTGATGTGCTAAACAATGAGAGAGAATAGCTACCAATTATTGAATACTCTAATGAGCATTGTGTATACAATATTGGGTTTGATGCTTACGACAATGCTGTGAGATATAAATGAGTATCCTTTCTCTACAGATGGGGAAATACACTTGTCCATGGTGGTTGCAGTAGTTTCCTATTACTGCTATAACAAATGACCACTGTCCTTCTGAAATAATTGAAAGCATCAGAATCCAGTTTAATGAGTATTCAAGCAAAAAGTTGGGAATGGCCATCTGGGAGAAAAAGACTGCAGAGAAATGGAATCAGTGCTCCAAAGTTAAAAGTTAAGCTCTTGCTTATAGGTGCAGAAAACAGAGACATTTCGCAGGATTATAACACTTTCTATACAAGGCTGGCTTATGAGTTACAACAATTTAATTAGTTACAATTTGTTTTCTGATGGCTTGTTTTCTTTTCTTTACAGCTGGTTTTCATTTTCTGTCCAATTTAAAAGAGTGTATTTAACCTTCCATCTTCAGACAATGTGATAGCTATGAGGTCTTTGTGTGAGAAAGCTAAGAGGGAAGATAATTTGCAATTAAGATCAACACGGAAGCGGGAAGGGATATTCCCTGGTGTCCTTTAGTCATTTGCAACATTTTACAAAACAATGTAGGTAGGGAAGAAAGCTAGTCTATAATCAGAGAAACAAAGCTTATAGCTCTCTAGGTTACAGCTGTCTGTCACATGACTCAAGCCCCATAATCACATTTCCTTAAGGCTTAAAAAATAAAGGTGTCAACAAGGCTGTGTTCCTTCTGGAGGCTCCATTTCCTTGACATTTCTAGCTTCTAGAGACTCCTGGCATCTTTGGCTAGGACTTCTTCTTCCATCTTCAAAGCCAGCAGTGTAGCATCTTCAAATCTCTCTCTTTCTCTCTCTGACTTTTGCTTCTGTGGTCACATCACCTCCTCTAATTCTGACTGTAATTGCCCAAAAGGTTCTTCTTACCCATTGCACAGATAAAACAATTCACTGAGATTGCAGTATTGCAGCAGAGAAAGGGTTTAATTAATGCAGAGCTAGCCAAATGGAAGAACAGGAGTTTATTATTTAAATCAGCCTCCCCAAGGACTTAGAGGGTGGGGTTTTTATGGATAATTTAGGGAGCAGGGGACTAGGGAAAGAGTGATGCTGATTGATTGAGGATAAAATCACAGTGGTGTAGAAAATGGTCCTCATGACCTGAGTCAGTCTCTGTCTGGGTAAGGGCCACAGTACTGGTTGAGCCATGAGTCTGGGTGAGGTTGGTCAGTTGCCAGAATCCAAAAGTCTGAAAAATGTCTCAAAAGACCAATCTTAAGTTCTATAATAGGGATGTTATCTACAGGAGCAATTGGGAAGTCACAAATCTTGTGACTTCTGGCCACATAACCCATGAGCAATAAGGGCTTATAAAAACTATACTTACATTTTAGCAGAATGTAGGCTCCTCTGTAATCCTAATCTCATGGCCTTTTGTTAGTTTTACAAAGATTGCTTCAGTCCCTGAGCAAAGAGGGGCTTAGTTTTAGAGAGGGGCTCTTTTCATCTTTCCTTCAAGGTTGAAACTACAAACTGCTCCCATGTTTAGGTTGGCCTATGCCCAGGAATGAGCAAGGACAGCCAGCCTGTGAGGCTAGAAGCAAGATGGAGTCAGCCACGCTAGACTTCTGTCACTGTCATTATCTTTGCAAAGGCAGTTCCATGGCCTTTCTGCCTTCCCTTTAGAAGAACACTTGGGGCCAGACATGGTGGCTCATGTCTGTGATCCCAGCACTTTGGGAGGCCAAGGCAGGAGGATCACTTGAGGTCAGGAGTTTGAGACCAGCCTGGCCAACATGGTGAAACTCCATCTTTACTAAAAATACAAAAATTAGCTGGGCATGGTGGCGGGCACCTGTAATCCCAGCTGTTCCAGAGGCTAAGGCAAGAGAATCACTTGAACCTGGGAGGTAGAGGCTGCAGTGAGCTAAGATTGTGCCACTGTATTCCAGACTGGGTGACAGAGCTAGACTCTTTCTCAAAAAACAAAAAACAGAGGAACACTTGGGTTCACCCGAATAACCCAGGATAACCTCCCCATCTCAAGATCCTTAACTGAATCATGCAAAGTCCCTTTTGCTGTGTAAGGTAACATATTCACAGATTCTGGGATTAGGATGTGAACATCGTTAGGGGGCCTTTATACCACCTATCACAGTTATGAAACCAATGAGTGCCCATCTGATTCCAAAGCCCACCCCCAGCACTGCACCCTCAAGGATAATGACCCAGGGAAATGCCGGATACCCTCAGAGTGTCTTCCTCCTCCATAGTTATAGTCTTCTACACTGTCTAATTTATCAAGAGAGGGGCTGGTCTGAATTTCATAAAAATTATTGAACAAATGTTGAGTGAGACACTGGTCTTAATTTAACACAGAGAAAGGAACGAGGCTTGCGAGTGCTTTCACCCTGAATGGTGTGATGCTCTTCTTACACACCATGGTTGGAAAGCATGCAGATGCCATGGCCTGTACATCCTGGCTTCCTATGATTATCACATTGAAGCACTGTGGAGGGAGAAAATGGTAGAGAACCAAAGCCTCAAGGAATGACAGTCAGGACAGTCCCAGCAACCACGTAGGTGCAGCAGAGCCTTTGGATCAAAACATGCATAGGAGTGTAGCGTCTACACCATCCTCAAGACTGGAATCTAAAGAAGGTTTCCCACTGCCTCCCAACAACACCCCCAGTGCTTTTCTTTCCCTGATTATTTACTCATTTTTGGAAACTGAAAATATAGACCACTATAAGAGAGGAAATTCCTATAATTCAGGCAGATTTTAACATGTTTTGCTTCGGCTTTTTTTCTTACATATTTTTACATGATTTAGATTGCACTGTATATGTAATTTTGTACCTTGCTGTTTTTCTTTCAACATTATTTTGTGAGCATTTTTCCAAGTCATTAAAAACTCTTTGTAAACATCATTTTTAATGGCTGTGTAACGACCCCTTGTAAGAATGTTCCATCATTTACTTAATCAAGACATTCATTTTTGGACTAGGGTAGACTTTTTTCTAGTTTTGTTTTTGTTTTTTTTTTTTTTTTACCTTTAAGTATGCTGTTTCAATTAATATCTTGGTACATAAATCTTTGTATAGTGGAATTGCATCTTATACTGGGGCTGGGCTTTAAAATCAAAGTATAAAGCAAAAATTGAATATAGTTAAAATAATTTTTTTTTTGAGACAGGGTCTTGTTCTATCACCCAGGCTAGAGTGCCGTGGCATGCTCATAGCCTAGGCTCACGCAATCCTCCTGCCTCAGCCTCTGCAGTATCTAGGGCTACACATGCATGTCACCACACTTGGCTAAATTTTTTATTTTTTGTAGAGTGGGCATCTCGCTATGTTGCCCAGGCTAGTCTTGAACCCCTGTCCTCAAGTGATCCTCTTGCCTCGGCCTCCCAAACTGTTGGGATTAAAGACATGAACTACCATGTCTGGCCTAAAATTAATTTTGAAAAAAAAAAATTACCTAAAGCAGTTCCATTAAGCGGTCAATCCGTCAAAGCCACTGGAAGCTCAAATGCTGAGAATTAACTACTTGTATTTTCTCTTTGCATTTAGCTGTGACCTCTTTCCTTGGGGCAGTGAAGAAAATGTACTTGGCTAAGAAAGACTAATAGAGTTAACAAAGACATTTTTCTTTCCTTCCCATTCCCTCCCTTTTCCCGCCCCATCTCTTCCTTTCTGTCTCTTTCTTAGGTATAGTTAAACACACATACGATGCCATAGTTGGATGCTCTGAAGGATGATTCTGGAGACAGGCTCAGTGCTTCTGCAGTGCATCTCTGGCATCTCTTCAGTCCCCTTGGCCCTACCTCTTCTTCCAGTCATTGCTTTGATCAGCTAAGTGCAGGTGCTCCTTGGCCTCCAGGTTCCCCTTGGCAGCTAGATTCCTGCCGTGTGGCTTTTCTGAAGCCCTGCCATGAGCCAGCTGCAAGAAGCTACTCCCAATCTGAAAGTGTGGGAGCGTTAACACCTGCGGAGCAACTTTGACCTGCAGGCCATGAGGAGCCGGTGGATGAATGCTTCCCCTTCCTTCCCTGGGTGGGAACTTCCAAGATGAATTTCATGGGCGTTTCAAGTTATTACGTCAATGGCGCCCTCCAACTCAGTGACACAGGCTGCTTGGGCTTGCTCAGTCAGGACTTGGGCACCAGTCTTGGACCCCTAACCGTAAGGAACACACATCAAGCTTTCTGAAAGGTCACGCCAAAGCCCCTCCCACTAGGCCCAAGAGGAAGGGCATAGATCTTCCCTCCCCACCACAACTACCCTTGGGATGAAGGTGGGACACACAGCTCCCAATAACTCTCAAAAATCCTCCTTACAAAATTCTCTCTCTCTTTTTTTTTTTTTTTTTTTTTTGAGACCGAGTTTTGCTCTTGTTGCCGAGGCTGGTGTGCAATGGCACGATCTCGGCTCACCACAACCTCCTCCTCCCAGGTTCAAGCAATTCTCCTGCCTCAGCCTCCCAAGTAGTTGGGATTACAGGAATGTGCGACCACCCCGGCTAATTTTGTATTTTTAGTAGAGACGGGGTTTCTCCATGTTGGCCAGGCTGGTCTTGAACTCCCAACCTGAGGTGATCCACCCACCTCAGCCTCCCAAAGTGCTGGGATTACAGGTGTGAGCCACCGCACCCGGCCTTACAAAATTCTCTCTTTATCTTTACTCTCTCTCGACTCTTTTTTCCTTGATGTGAATGAGGGATTCAAGGTTGTGTAATTTTCAGCTATCTGCTTTGAAATTCTGCAAATAATCTAAGATCTCCTTTATATAATATGACATTTATTGTAGCGTGGTGAAACTTCCAATTTAACATTGTGTTATGATAATAGTCCTAACAATGTGCTATGCTAGGTGTTTGAGATATCTTAGTCTTCACAGCCATTCTGCGAAGCTAAGTGTTATTATCCCCAATTTACACATGAAGAAACTGAAGCTTTGAGAGATTTCATGACTTGCTCTTGGCTCCACAAATGAAAGAGCCAGAGCCAGTTTGAAGCTAAGTTCCTCCTGTGCATGTGTTCCTTCCTGCATCACACTGCACCCTCCTCTCCATGACAAGGGGTTGGGAGGAGGAGGTCCACTTTCCCACACCCAACCCATGAACGCGGAAATGCACTTGTCTCAGTTGAGCTCAGTTATTCGTGTAATCATCTGCTACACGTTTGTTTTCCCTGCAAGAATATTAGCTTCATGAGCTTAAACACCCAGTCTCCCTAGACTCTCCAGCCTGGTCCAGCAGCTGGCACACAGTAGTGTTCATTGCATGTCAGACAGGTTATTGGGATGGGGATGGACAAAGACAGGTCTATGTTGGACATTAAGGAATTAGAGAGAAATGAGCGAGAGAAAAGAAGAGAGGGCATTATTGACAAAGTGAGAAAGATAAGTGTTGTGGGAGTAGGGGGGAAGTAAGTTTGGTTTTCTTGGATTAGAGAGTATGTCGGTGGGAGGCCCCAACTGGAAGGAAAGGCTGGGATCAGAGTGGAGAAGCCTCCAATTCAAGGACAAAGTCTTCCAGGAGCCAAGGTTCAGAAGAGGCCATCCTAGGGTTGGAGGCAGAGGTGGCAGTTGGGGGGCACGGGGGGTGTTGGTTCCTGAGACTAAACCATCAGGGATGTTTCTCTGGAGTTCTATGATGATTAAGATGAGAAGCCTACAGTGAAATCAACAGAGGACAGCCAGGGCATCCCATGATTTATAGACATTGTTATCTCTTGGAGATCCCTGAATACAATCTGCCCTGAATCTGTGTTTTTGTTTTTTTTTTTAACCTAAAATGTGCTTAAGGTCAGCACCACAATTCTTCTTAGGGAAGGGATTTTTTTCTTGTTGTTTGGGAAAATATCTTGAAAAACCTCTTTGGGATACAAGATGAGACTATGAAAGGCATGGTTTTGGTAGAAAGGCAAGGAAAGAGAAAGAGCTGTTGAAACCGCCCTGCATGAGAATGTGAGGAGGATTTTATCTCAGCTTGAGAGGAACAGAGAGAGAAGAGAGGGGAGCCTATGTGTCATCAAGTTTTTGACTACAAGAAGCGGAATATCTCTCTAAAAGTGGCAGAACCAATAGGAAATTAAAGTTTCTCATTTATAAGGAGAAGTCCCCAAATAGGCACCCAGGCTCCTTCTACGTTTCTGCCTGCTGTCCTCAGCTTGTTTAGTCTCCTCTCCTGGTTGAGCAAAGTCTGACAACTCTGGATGACACGTCCTCATGCAGCTGCACCAAAGCTAGGGCTGAAAGCAGAGGAGGAGAGAGGTTTTTCTTTCCTTTTTTGGAGACAAGATTTCACTCTTGCCCAGGCTGGAGTTCAGTGGTGTGATCATGACTCACTGCAGCCTTGAACTCCTGGGCTCAAACAATCCTCCCATCTTGGCCTCCCGAGTAGCTGGGATCACAGGCATGCACCACTACACCTGGCTAATTAAAGAAAAAAAACTTTGGTAGAGACGAGGCCTTATGTTGCCTAGGCAGGTCTTGAAATCCTGGCCTCAAGTGGTCCTCCCACCTTGACCTCACAAAGTATTGGGATTACAGGCATGAGCCGCCGTGCCCGGCTGAGAGAGGCTTTTCCTTTGTATCTTTTTATTTTTACCAAGAAGGAAAATATTTTCCAGAAGCATCTAGGAGACTTTCCTTCAGACCACTGGCTGGATCTGATTTCTCTGATGTCTGTGCCTACCTCTTATCCCCTCCCTGGCAAAAGGGCGATGGAACTGTCTGAGTCGCTTGGGTCCCTCATGGCTCATCCCCTGATATCTGTGGGAAGGCTTATCTTTGGAAAGCACAGACCCTGTGTTTGGATAAAAATGAGATTTCAATAGCAAGGAAAAAACAGGAGGTGGCTGTTAGGTACTCATGGTGTCTGGCATGAGTGAGGACAAAGTGAGGAGGATCCTTCGCTGGCAGCACAGCCAAAATAACTTTCAGAGTGAGAATGTCCAATGACGGTATAATAATATGTATGGCACACAAATGACCTCTCCTCTTGGCCTTCAGCAATTTGTCTAGTGGATCATCCTCACTGACACAGTGGGCACATGTGTCTGTGTGGGTTAGTGTGCAGAGCTCCTAACAATCTGGTGCCCTGGGGCGGGCTCACCCCCATTGTGTGTCTGTTCTGATCATCAGTGCTTGTACCAGGATAGGTGAGCAGTATTTCTTTTTCTTTTTTTCTTTCTCTCTCTCTCTCTTTTTTTTTTTTTTTTTTTTGTTGTTGTTGTTGAGACGGAGTCTCACTCTGTTGCCCAAGCTGGAGTGCAGTGGTGTGATCTTGGTTCACTGCAACCTCCGCCTCTTGAGTTTAAACGATCCTTTCACCTCAGCACCCCAGGTAGCTGGATTACAGGTGCACGCCACCATACCCAGCTAATTTTTTTTGTTTGTATTTTTGGTAGAGACGGGTTTTGCCATGTTGGATAGGCTGGTCGTGAACTCTTGACCTCAAGTGATCCATCTGCCTCGGTCTCCCAAAGTGTTGGGATTACAGGTGTGAGCCACTGCACCTGGCCAAGGATAGGTGAGCATTTCTAATATGACCCTGGGTGTGTGCAGATCAAGGATGGGGTGACTTTCCTGTCTCAATCAGCATAACAGGAACCCAAGATATCATGGGTAGAGGCAGGGATGCCCACAACACCTTAACCCCTCAAATGAAAATGAATGATATCCAGGAATGCTTTGGATGTACAAAGGTCATGGAAAAGAAGTCTGGGCCAACCTTACCTAGATTTTGAGTGGCCAGAAGATTTAGCCGACATGGAGGTTATAACTACACTATGCTGTTTACGTAACATTAATAGGAAATACAGGGTCAGGGGAATTCCCAGAGAAGACTCAGAGGGTCTCCAAGGTATGTGGTAAAATTGGCCTGGCTCCTTCCCATCTCTCTTCACTTGCCCTGGACTCTTCTTGCTTCTGCTTCCAGGAACCCACCAAGGTTAAGGTGAGGTCTGTGCAGCTGCAGACTCCTCCCCAAACCAGCGAGCCACAGTGTGGGGACAAGGTGTGCAGTCCTGTTCTCCTTTCCCAGCCCTGGAAAGAACAGTAGGAGGTTCTGCTTAGAGGGATCCTGGAGACAGAGGGTGGAAGCCAGGAGTTAGGGCTTTAAGGCTGGGAGGATGCACTCCTGAGCATGTCAGACAGGGGTCCCTACCGTGGCATTTTTTATGTACAGGGTTCATTGTCTGAACGGAATTTTATGGCACATCTGGACTATACTGGCAATTCCCACAGGGACCCCTGGGATTAACTGTATTTATTTTCTTGCATGTAGGGCCAAAGGAATCATTTGCTAGCAACTGTGAGAAGCTCTGAATAAGACCGATCGAGACAGTTATTAAACTAATCTGGGATAAAGGCAAGAACGAGTGTTAATTCTACCTGGCTTAACACCAACCTAATTTCTCTGGCATCTTTCTACATCATTGAAAGCAAGTGGGAGCTCCAGATGACACAAAGCGGAATGGCATTTGGTGATGCAGAGCAGATGACAGTGGACTTTGCTACCTTAGAGGAGTCAGTGTCTCATCCCAGCCTTTGCTGGGAGAAACCTTAGCAAAGAGAAGCCCGAATACCACTGGGCTGCTAAGCTCTCCCTCTCACTGAGGAGTCCAGTGCTAGTGCTAGGCCTTCACTTTCCAGCCTCTTCTCCTCCTGGGTGCTTCATATTTGCACAGTCCTTGGAAGAGCTGTGCTTGACTTAAGTTTAGTCAGCTCCTTGAGCTCCTTGATCTTATTGCTCCACTGTGTTAGGCTCTATTTCCCACGTTAACTTTGTGGTACAAGATGGCTGCTTCAGCTTTAGCCATTGTGTCTGCATTCCAGTCAACAGGAAGGACAAAAGAGGAAGAAGGGGACTGTTTTTTTTTTAAATGACATCTAGAAATTGCACACTGTATAAGCATTCCATTTATTCCCTCCCATGTTTTGTAATCCTGTTGTCTTATGCTATAAAGCCTACAACATATTGTCATTATTTTTGGTTTACATTGTCAATAATATTTTTAAAAACTATTTTTAAAATATTACTTTATTTATTTATTTTGAGATGGAGTCTCACTTTGTCGCCCAGGCTGAAGTGAAGTAGTGCAGTCTTGGCTTACTGCAATCTCCACCTCCTGGGTTCAAGTGATTCTCATGTCTCAGCCTCCCGAGTAACTGGGATTACAGGCATGCACCACCACACCCTGCTAATTATTGTATTTTTAGTAGAGATGGGTTTCACCATGTTGGCCAGGTTGGTCTTGAACTCCTGGCCTCAAGTGATCTGCCCACCTCAGCTTCCCAAAATGCTGGGATTACAGGTGTGAGCCACTGCAATTGGCTTAAGATATTACTTTAAACTGTCAATAATCTTTTATAAAATTGTGCATAGGAACACAGACACACACACACACAAAAACACACACACAGACAGACACATTACTATTACAAAGATGAGATCATTCATAATAACTATTGCCCTTATGTTAACTTCCCTGTTCTTCATTCTTTCCTGCAGATCTTGGGGCCTATCAGTCTATCTGGTATGCTATTTCCCCTAAGAAAGATACAACTCTTTCAGCCTGAAAATTCTTTTGGCATTTCTTATGTATTCTAGAAATAAATTACTTAAGTTTTTGTGTGTTTGAAAGATCTTCATTTTGCCTTCATTTTCCAAGCAAATTTGTGTTGGATATAGAATTCCGTATTAACATTTTTTTCTTTCAGTACTTTAAAAAAAGGTATCATTCTGATCCTCCAAGATGGCCGAATAGGAACAGCTCCAGTCTACAGCTCCCAGTATGAACGATGCAGAAGACGAATGATTTCTGCATTTCCAACTGAGGTACTGGGTTCGTCTCACTGGGGATTGTCAGACAGTGGGTGCAGGACAGTGGGTGCAGTGCACCGAGCCTGAGCCAAAGCAGGGCGAGGCATCACCCCACCCAGGAAGCACAAGGGGTCAGGGAATTCCCTTTCCTAGCCAAGGAAAGGGGTGACAGAGGGCACCTGGAAAATTGGGTCACTCCCACACTAATACCGCACTTTTCTGACAGTCTTAGCAATGGCACACCAGGAGATTATATCCCGTTCCTGGCTCGGAGGGTCCTATGCCCATGGAGCCTCGCTCACTGCTAGCACAGCAGTCTGAGATCAAACAGCAAGGCAGCAGCAAGGCTGGGGGAGGGGCACCCACCATTGCTGAGGCTTGAGCAGGTAAACAAAGCGGCTGGGAAGCTCGAACTGGGTGGAGCCCACCGCAGCTCAAGGAGGCCTGCCTGCCTCTGTAGACTCCACCTCCGGGGACAGGGCATAGCCAAACAAAAGGCGGCAGTAGAAACCTCTGCAGACTTAAATGTCCCTGTCTGACAGATTGGAAGACAGTAGTGGTTCTCCCAACACGCAGCTTGAGATCTGAGAAGGGACAGACTGCCTCCTTAAGTGGGTCCCTGACCCCCAAGTAGCCTAACTGGGAGGCACCCCCCAGTAGGGGCAGACTGATACCTCACACGGCCGGGTACCCCTCTGAGACAAAGTTTCCAGAGGAAAAATCAGGCAGCAACATTTGCTGTTCACCAATATTCGCTGTTCTGCGCCTCCGCTGCTGATAACCAGGAAAACAGGGTCTGGAGTGGACCTCTGGCAAACTCCAACAGACCTGCAGTTGAGGGTCCTGACTGTTGGAAGGAAAACTAATAAACAGAAAGGACATCCACACCAAAACCCCATCTGTATGTCACCATCATCAAAGACCAAAGGTAGAGAAAACCACAAAGATGGGGAAAAAAACAGAGCTGAAAAAATAAAAATTTTAAAAATCAGAGCACCTCCCCTCCTCCAAAGGAACGCAGCTCCTCACCAGCAATGGAACAAAGCTGGACGGAGAATGACTTTGATGAGTTGAGAGAAGAAGGATTCAGAAAATCAAACTTCTCTGAGCTAAAGGAGGAAGTTCGAATCCATGGCAAAGAAGTTAAAAACCTTGAAAAAAGATTAAACAGAGGGCTAACTAAAATAACCAATGCAGAGAAGTCCTTAAAGGACCTGGTGGAGCTGAAAACCATGGCACAAGAACTACATGACGAATGCACAAGCTTCAGTAGCTGATTTGATCAACTGGAAGAAAGGGTATCAGTGATGGAAGATCAAATGAATGAAATGAAGCAAGAGGAGAAGTTTAGAGAAAAAAGCATAAAAAGAAATGAACAAAGCCTCCAAGAAATACGGGACTATGTGAAAAGACCAAATCTACATCTGATTGGTGTACCTGAAAGTGACGGGAGAATGGAACCAAGTTGGAAAACACTCTGCAGAATATTATCCAGGAGAACTTCCCCAATCTAGCAAGGCAGTCCAACATTCAAATTCAGAAAATACAGAGAACACCACAAAGATATTCCTTGAGAAGAGCAACTCCAAGGCACATAATTGTCAGATTCACCAAAGATGAAATGAAGGAAAAAATGTTAAGGGCAACCAGAAAGAAAGGTACGGTTACCCACAAAGGGAAGCCCATCAGACTAACACTCATCTCTCGGCAGAAACCTTACAAGCCAGAAGACAGTGGGGGCCAATATTCAACATTCTTAAAAGAAGGAATTTTCAACCCAGAATCTCATATCCAGCCAAACTAAGCTTCATAAGTGAAGGAGAAATAAAATCCTTTACAGACAAGCAAATGCTGAGAGATTTTGTCACCACCAGGCCTGCCCTAAAAGAGCTCCTGAAGGAAGCACTAAACATGGGAAGGAACAACCGGTACCAGCCACTGCAAAAACATGCCAAATTATAAAGACCATCGAGGCTAGGAAGAAACTGCATCAACTAACGAGCAAAATAACCAGCTAACATCATAATGACAGGATCAAATTCACAAATAACAATATTAACCTTAAATGTAAATGGGCTAAATGCTCCAGTTAAAAGACACAGAGTGGCAAATTGGATAAAGAGTCAAGACCCATCAGTGTGTTATATTCAGGAGACCCAACTCACGTGCAGAGACACACATAGGCTCAAAATAAAGGGATGGAGGAAGATCTACCAAGCAAATGGAAAACAAAAAAGGCAGGGGTTGCAATCCTAGTCTCTGATAAACCAATAAAGATCAAAAGAGACAAAGAAGGCCATTACATAATGGTAAAGGGATCAATTAAACAAGAAGAACTAACTATCCTAAATATATATGCACCCAATACAGGAGCACCCAGATTCATAAAGCAAGTCCTTAGAGACCTACAAAGAGACTTAGACTCCCACACAATAATAATGGGAGACTTTAACACCCCACTGTCAGCATTAGATGGATCAACGAGACAGAAAGTTAACAAGGAAATCCAGGAATTGAACTCAGCTCTGCACCAAGCAGATCTAATAGACATCTACAGAACACTCCACGCCGAATCAACAGAATATACATTCTTCTCAGCACCACATCGCACTTATTCCAAAATTGACCACATAGTTGGAAGTAAAGCACTCCTCAGCAAATGTAAAAGAACAGAAATTATAACAAACTGTCTCTCAGACACAGAGCAATCAAACTAGAACTGAGGATTAAGAAACTCACTCAAAACCACTCAACTACATGGAAACTGAACAACCTGCTCCTGAATGACTACTAGGTACATAACGAAATGAAGGCAGGAATAAAGATGTTCTTTGAAACCAATGAGAACAATGACACAACATACCAGAATCTCTGGGACACATTTAATGCAGTGTGTAGAGGGAAATTTATAGCACTAAATGCCCACAAGAGAAAGCAGGAAAGATCTAAAATTGACACCCTAACATCACAATTAAAAGAACTAGAGAAGCAAGAGCAAACACATTCAAAAGCTAGCAGAAGGCAAGAAATAACTAAGATCAGAGCAGAACCGAAGGGAATGGAGACATAAAAAACCCTTCAAAAAATCAATGAATCCAGGAGCTGGTTTTTTGAAATGATCAACAAAATTGATAGACTGCTAGCAAGACTAATAAAGAAGAAAAGAGAGAAGAATCAAATAGACGCAATAAAAAATGATAAAGGGGATATCACCACCGATCCCACAGAAATACAAACTACCATCAGAGAATACTATAAACACCTCTATGCAAATAAACTAGAAAATCTAGAAGAAATGGATAAATTCTTCGACACATACACCCTCCCAAGACTAAACCAGGAAGAAGCTGAATCTCTGAGTAGACCAATAACAGGCTCTGAAATTGAGGCAATAATTAGTAGCTTACCAACCAAAAAAAGTCCAGGACCAGATGGATTCACAGCCGAATTCTACCAGAGGTACAAGGAGGAGCTGGTACCATTCTTTCTGAAACTATTCCAATCAATAGAAAAAGAGAGAATCCTCCCTAACTCACTTTATGAGGCCAACATCATCCTGATACCAAAGCGTGTCAGAGACACAACAAAAAAAGAGAATTTTAGACCAATATCCCTGAAGAACATCGATGCAAAAATCCTCAATAAAATACTGGCAAGCCGAATCCAGACACACATTGAAAATCTTATCCACCATGATCAAGTGGGCTTTATCCCTGGGATGCAAGGCTGGTTCAACATATGCAAATCAATAAACGTAATCCAGCATATAAACAGAACCAATGACAAAAGCCACATGATTATCTCAATAGATGCAGAAAAGGCCTTTGACAAAATTCAACAGCCCTTCCTGCTAAAAACTCTCAATAAATTAGGTATTGATGGGACGTATCTCAAAATAATAAGAGCTATTTATGACAAAATCACAGCCAATATCATACTGAATGGGCAAAAACTGGAAGCATTCCCTTTGAAAACTGGCACAAGACAGGGATGCACTCTCTCACCACTCCTATTCAACATAGTGTTGGAAGTTCTGGCCAGGGCAATCAGGCAGGAGAAGGAAATAAGGGTATTTGATTAGAAAAAGAGGAAGTCAAATTGTCCCTGTTTGCAGAAGACATGATTGTATATTTAGAAAACCCCATTGTCTCAGCCCAAAATCTCCTTACGCTGATAAGCAACTTCAGCAAAGCCTCAGGATTCAAAATCAATGTGCAAAAATCACAAGCATTCTTATACACCAATAACAGACAAACAGAGAGCCAAATCATGAGTGAACTCCCATTCACAATTGCTTCAAAGAGAATAAAATACCCAGGAATCCAACTTACAAGGGATGTGAAGGACCTCTTCAAGGAGAACTACAAACCACTGCTCAATGAAATAAAAGAGGATACAAACAAATGGAAGAACATTCCATGCTTATGGATATGAAGAGTCAATATCATGAAAAAGGCCATAATGCTCAAGGTAATTTATAGATTCAATGCCATCCACATCAAGCTACCAATGACTTTCTTCACAGAATTGGAAAAAACTACTTTAAAGTTCATATGGAACCAAAAAAGAGCCCTCATTGCCAAGTCAATCCTAAGCCAAAAGGACAAAGCTGGAGGCATCACGCTACCTGACTTCAAACTATACTACAAGGCTATAGTAACCAAAACAGCATGGTACTGGTACCAAAACAGAGATATAGATCAATGGAACTGAACAGAGCCCTCAGAAATAATACCACACATCTGCAACCATCTGATCTTTGACAAACCTGAGAAAAACAAGCAATGGGGAAAGGATTCCCTATTTAATAAATGGTGCTGGGAAAACTGGCTAGCCATATGTAGAAAGCTGAAACTGGATCCCTTCCTTACACCTTATACAAAAATTAATTCAAGATGGACTAAAGACTTAAATGTTAGACCTAAAACCATAAAAACCCTAGAAGAAAACCTAGGCAATACCATTCAGGACATAGGCATGGGCAAGGACTTCATGTCTAAAACACCAAAAGCAATGGCAACAAAAGCCAAAATTGACAAATGGGATCGAATTAAACTAAAGAGCTTCTGCACAGCAAAAGAAACTACCATCAGAGTGAACAGGCAACCTACAGAATGGGAAAAAATTTTTGCAATCTACTCATCTGACAAAGGGCTAATATCCAGAATCTACAAAAAACTCAAACAAATTTACAAGAAAAAAAAATCCCCATCAAAAAGTGGGCAAAGGATAGGAGCAGACACTTCTCAAAAGAAGACATTTATGCAGCCAAAAGACACATGAAAAAATGCTCACCATCACTGGCCATCAGAGAAATGCAAATCAAAACCACAATGAGATACCATCTCACACCAGTTAGAATGGTGGTCATTAAAAAGTCAGGAAACAACAGGTGCTGGAGAGGATGTGGAGAAATAGGAACACTTTTACACTGTTGGTGGGACTGGAAACTAGTTCAACCATTGTGGAAGAAAGTGTGGCGATTCCTCAGGGATCTAGAACTAGAAATACCATTTGACCCAGCCATCCCATTACTGGGTATATACCCAAAGGATTATAAATCATGCTGCTATAAAGACACATGCGCATGTATGTTTATTGTGGCACTATTCACAATAGCAAAGACTTGGAACCAACCCAAATGTCCAACAATGATATACTGGATTAAGAAAATATGGCACATATACACCATGGAATACTATGCAGCCATAAAAAAGGATGAGTTCATGTCCTTTGTAGGGACATGGATGAAGCTGGAAACCATCATTCTCAGCAAACTATTGCAAGAACCAAAAACCAAACACCACATGTTCTCACTCATAGGTGGGAATTGAACAATGAGAACACTCAGACACAGGAGGGGGAACATCACACACTGGGGCCTGTCATGTGGTAGGGGGGAGGGGGGAGGGATAGCATTAGGAGATACACCTAATGTTAATGATGAGTTAATGGGTGCAGCACACCAACATGGCACATGTATACATATGTAACAAACCTGCATGTTGTGCACATGTACCCTAAAACTTTAATAATAAAAAAAAAGAAACAATGAATAAGACCTAGTATTTGACAGCACAACAGAGTGACTATAGCCAATAATAATTTAACTGTACATTTAAAAATAACTAAAATAATATATTGGATTGTTGGTAACACAAAGAATAAATGCTTCAGCAGATGGGTACTCCATTTTACATGATGTGATTATTACACATTGCATGCCTGTATTAAAAAAAACTCATGTACCCCATAAATATATACAACTACTATGTACCCACAGAAATTAAAATTAAAAATCAAATAGTTAAAAAAAAAGGGTATCATTCCATTTTCCTTTGCCTCTGTACTTTTTCTCTGGTCGCTCTGTTTTTGTTTGTTTTTTTTTTCTTGAGACAGGATCTCACTCCATTGCCCAGGCTGGAATGCAGTGGCGCAATTATGGCTCACTACAGCCTCAACCTCCTGGGCTCAGGTGATCCTCCCACCTTACCCCCGCTAGTAGCTGGGACTACAAGCGTGTGCCACCACACCTGGCTAATTTTTGTATTTTTCGTAGAGGTGGGGTTTTGTCATGTTGCCCAGGCTGGTCCTCAACTCCTGGGCCCAAGTGATTCACTTGCCTTGGCCTCCCAGAGGGCTGGGATTCCAGGTGGTTGCTCTGAAGATTGGCTCTTTATATTGATTTTCAGTAGTTGGCCATGATGTGCCTTGGTGTGATTTTCTTCTCATTCATCTTGCTTAGGATTTTC
This sequence comes from Homo sapiens, assembly GCF_000001405.40. Taxonomy (NCBI): domain Eukaryota; kingdom Metazoa; phylum Chordata; class Mammalia; order Primates; family Hominidae; genus Homo; species Homo sapiens. Next base: position 31,712,990 of record NC_000010.11, on the reverse strand, counting down.
TGAGTTCCTTGAATTGATTTGGAGGAAATATTGGCCATTATCTCTTCAACTATTTTTCTTTCCTCTTCTTTCTGCCCTCTCCTGGGACTCCAGTCACACGTATGTGGAACTGCTTAATATTTGATATTGTCTCACAGATCTCGGGTTCTTTGTTCTGTTGTTTTCACTTGTTTTTTCTCTTTATTTCAAATTGAAAAAAATTCTATTGACCTGTCTGTAAGTTTACCGATTCCTTCCTTTGCAAGTCCAGTGTCCCACTAAGTTTATCAGTTGAGTTCATTTCTAATATTGCACTAAAAAATTTCTAGCATTTCCATTTGATTCTTTCATAGCTTCCATGTCTCTATAAATTTCCTGTCTCTTCATGTATGTTTTCCGTGTTCCTACTAGATTCTTTAGCATTCCTACCATAGCTTTTTAAAAATCTTTGGCAATTCCAAAATCTGAATCAGAGACAATCTGTCTACTTCTACTGACTATTTCTACTCTTGATCTTAAATTACATTTTCATCATTCTTCATGTGTCTTGTAATTTTTGATTGATGCCAGCTATTTTGTATAAAAGAATAATAAAGAGTGAAGTAAATAATAGTTACCTCCAGGAAGGGTTACTAGAGTCGGGGACTGGGTTAAAATTTGTGTGGTTGGGTATGGATTTTTATTGCAGCTTTATTTTGATTTGGTTCACCAATAGATGCAAATATTTTAAGAGCATAATCAAGACTTTCCTTTCTCTGGGCCTTGGCAGTGTGAGTACTGGTAAAGTTCTGGAGAATTCTTAGTTCTTTATAGCTGAGCTTCCAGCTTTCTGAGCTTTACAGCTTGACCACCTTATTACCAGCATTTTGAGTTGTAGGCATTCTCTTTGCTTTCTGGTCTTGCCGCAGGCTTTTTGTACCTGGGAAGATCTCTGTCTGCCTGAAATTTCTGGAGCAATTTCTCTCAGCTGTCCTTCTCTGCCTTCTTCTCTTGGTAGCCAAAAGTCCACAGTGCCTCATGTTGATTTTTCTTGACTTTCCTACTCCACTCCCCTACCTTCATAGGTTAGCTGCCTTGAACTTGGTGGAGAACTCACACATCTCAGGCAGTATCTCTCTCACTTCTCCTGCCTTGCCTCCCAGCCTTTGGCACACTGCTCCTGAGAACCTCTTGAAATCTGTGGAAGGCATTACTGGAGGGGAGCACCCTAATTCTGTGCATGGGACACTAATCTATAGAATGCCAGTCCATACATAGTTGTTAAAATTTTTTAGAGATTCAGCTGGTTTCTCCTTGTCCTCAATTATCAAAGATTCTTCCTCCTCCTGACACTTTAGCAGTGCAGGGGTAAGAGCAGCTGTAGGAATCTTATCTCCTACAAATAGTTTGTCATTTTTGGGAGTTGAATTCATTTAGGTTACTTTGCATCCTCAGTTCTCTTTGGGGTTCAGAAAACCTATTGTTTAGTTTATCCAGGTTGTTTTGGCTGTTAGGATGAGAGCAAGGATTTCTTGGAATTTTTTATATCGTAACGTGAAGCAAAACTCAACATAAAATAATTCATTATCATCACCACCCAAATCTTTTATCTTTTAATTTACTTTATCTGCTATGGATACATCATAGATCCATTAAAGCATCTCATGGCAATTTTTTTGTCAATAATTTATGTATTTGTAGTTTTTTACTTTATGTATACTGTTATCATATCTGGTGAATATTCCAGATTATTTTGCTCACAAAACAATAGATTGAATACATAAATCCCCAAATGGCTTTTTGGCACACCCCTAAACAAACAAACAAAAACATGCAAAAATAAATAATTACATGTAAATCCAGTTAATTTGACCTTTGTGAATGTAAAACTGTTGTTTTGATTTTTTGATTTACTGATTTGCTTTAAATTCTACTTCTGCTATATTAATATTGCCGATTTTCTTTTCTCTTTGCTCATGTTTCTTCTTATTTTTGGCTACTGCAATCCTTTTATATTTAGTATGTTTGGGCCATTTTGTGTTAGATATAACTCTTTTTGTTTTGTTTTATTTTGTTTTTTTTTTTTAGACGGAGTCTCACTCTGTTGCCCAGGCTGGAGAGCAGTGGCATGATCTTGGCTCACTGCAACCTCCACCCACCAGGTTCAAGGGATTCTGATTCTCCTGCCTCAGTCTCCCAAATAGCTGGGATTACAGACACATGCCACCATGCTCAGCTATTTTGTATTTTTAGTAGAGATGGGATTTCACCATGTTGGCCAGGCTGATCTTGAACTCCTGACCTCAAAAGATCTGCCCACCTCAGCCTCCCAAAGTGCTGGGATTACAGGTGTGAGCTACCACACTTGGCTTGTTTTAGATATAACTCTTGTAAGCAGAAAATTGAAGTTTGCTTTTTCAGTTCAATCTGAGGCTTTGGAGAAATATAAGCCATTTATATTTATTGCTATAATTTGATGCTTAGTATGACTTTTTATTTACACACTTATCAAATATTTATTGAATATTTTTCTTAAAGCAAAAACATGAACAAAGTAAAAGTCTTTGTCTTTTGGCAAAAGTCTAGTAAATTATGAGTCCACTAATAATAGTTTTATTCAGGGAAAAGGAAAGCGTGATAATGAGAGAACTGACTCTGACAAAAACTGATTTTAAGTTCTAATCTATTATTCAATTGAATTTATATAAGAATGCAAAATATGAGTATCTTATTTTTTATGGTTACATAAAGGATTTTTTTTCTTTTTCAAGTGATATGTTGTGGTATATATGACATCTAAAGGAGTTTTCTTGAATTCTCTATCCACAGTACCATGTTTCTGGAAGAATAATTTTATCTTTGTAGCCGCTTTGGATCATTTCAATTTGATTTCAATATAATTTTTGCTTACAGACTGGGGATAAGGATAAGACATGTTATAGAATACTATTTTGTAGACCAATTAACTGTTTCTACTCTAGAAGGGGATCATCTGTTTTAAGTGAACAAAAAAGAATTTCCATCCAATAGTTAAAAAGTTTTTTTATTCTTTGGGGTCTGAGGAGAGAAAATTTTAAATAGACTACTTTAGCTTTTTTTCACCTCTGGAAATAGAGGAAGTTGTCTTTTATAAACCTCTGGCTGGCTAGGTTAAACATGTAAGGCCTAGAAGAAGATGGTTTCTGCTATAGCCTTGCTTAGGGTGGGAAAAGGATTTTGAGCAGTGGATCTGTCACTGTCTGTAAGAAGGGATGAAGGAGAATACCATCTGCTTGGACTTTTTGACAGAAAGCCAAGGATAAGTAAATGTTGCAGATCTGAGGTCCTATCTTCTGATGGACTCACAGAAGCTAGTGGGGATAGTGGGCCTGGAATTCCAACCTCAAGGCCCAGGACTCTGCTGCATTTTGCAGCTGGAGTGGGAGTTGGCAGAACTCAATTTCTTTGCTGAGAGCAAGTAGCAGTTCAGACAAGAAAAAGGACCTGGATTTCCTCAAGTCTGTAGCAGAGTCAGCTTTTTCTGGATTAAATTGATCCCCTTTCTCCCCATTCCCTACCTCCACATGGCCTTCAGACAGGCATGGTTGCTGACCTTCCTTACCCTCCTCAACCCCTCTACCCTGTGGACCTAGGGTCACTTGGGTATTATATTATACATAAACCTAATAGACAGCCAGCACAGGAGCCTGCACCAATTTAGAGCTCACAGTCATAGCATGACCATATGTCCCAGTTTGCCTGGGACAGTCACCATCTACACCTGTCGTTCTGGCATCGTTATTAATAGCTCTCCTTTTCACTCTCATCGGTGTCCAGGTTTAGACAATAAATTATATGGTTACTCTAACTTTTCATCTGAGACAAGGCACATTCTTTGGTTTATACTGACACCTGTAGGCATACAAAATGGCTTGGGAGAAATGGAAAAGTGGAAGGCTCTCCCTTTCCTCAGTCTCTGGGATTGCCTCCAGACTCTGCTGAGAACCCCAATTATTTGGTGTGATTCTAGAAAGGGGCAATGGAGGGGGAAGATTTCTCCTTGAGGCTGCTACACACTCTGCCACCATAAATGTCCAGGGTTCTACAAACACTTAATACTCCAGAAAGGATGTTTTGACCACTCCTGTTGGTGACAGGAGTCACCATCAGTTTCAGGTCAAACTATGAGACCCCATGGCTGCGTGAGCTTTGTAGATGTTCTCTGGATGGGAGATACAGCCATGCATGGCCCGCCCTTGGGGATCAGCAGTTGTCTGCAAAATGCAGGAAAAGCATCATGTGGACGACATAGGACTACGAGCCAGGGGATTTTCACAGCTGGAGAGGCTTACAAGGAGGCTCGAGCTGGTCAGTTTCAAGGTTTCTGGGCCTGCGTGTTGGAAATTAGGTCACCCTTAGTCTGCCTTGACAAAGAAGACACAGGACATTGGAGGGTGATGTGAGATGCAGTACACGAGGGTCTTACCCTCTCATCTCCCCCGGGTTCCATCACGACACCTGGACTCCAATCTGAACATCAGAAACAATACAAAGCACTTTTAAAAAATTAAATTCAGAGGTCGGGACAGCTTGGGCAGGACTAATTTGTGTGCTTGGCTGTCACAGTGATGGATTTGAGACAGATTAACCCTTGGGCTCCTGGGCCCAGCAGCCTGGGATTGGGTGGGGGGGTGCATTTTCCCTGCATGAAATTACCTTTGTGTAGGGCCCTCTGTCCCAGCAGATGCTGCTCCCTTCTGTTCCCTCACACCCCTGGGCCAACTGTTGTAAACCCCAGAAGAGTGAAAAGAAGCAATTGCCAAGATAAGAAAGCAGGCTTGCAACTGTGTTTGTCCTACTCCGAGTCATTCGGGGTAGGAAAGGGAAACACAGGATGTCTGACTTCCAGGTATTCTTGTAGGTTTTTACGGGGGCTTTTGTTTTTGTCTTTTCTTATTCTTATATTTTTTTAAGACAGCCCTGTGTGGTGAAGTCTCTAGTAAGATAGAAACCTAGGGCTTCACCAGTTCCCTCTGAAAAGGGTTTGAACTGGATTCTCTCAGACTCCCTGTGAGAAAATCCCAGCCATGCCCCCTGACCCTTGTCTTGGGGCTGTGGGGGCTGGGCTGGCTGCCTTCTGGCTGACACTCTCGGAGCAAGCAGACCATAATGAGTCAATTCTCTGCTGTCTGCTATTTAAAACAACGGGTTCCTTCCTGTTTCCTACGCGCTGACTGAGGCGTCTTCTGTGTTAGAAAAAAAAAAGAAACTCAGGAATAAAGTGCCTCCTCTCACAATGAATGGGCTACACATTTCGGCCCGCAGTGACACAAAAGCTCCTAACTGTTTCATCTGTACAGATGGCTCTCATTTGGTGTTGGTGGCATGACTCTGTGAGGTAATTTCCCACATACTTGGTCCATTTAACTGGAGGAGGGTAAAAACCTCCTCTAAGCCAAGTTAGAATCCTCCAAGAAATAGAATTGCTCTTAGCCCTGAGTGTGAAATTTTTGCAGAAGTCCCTGAATTGCAGATGTTCCCTCCAAGAGGGAAGGAGGGAGAGTGCGCAATCTCCCTGGTCTGAAGTGAGAACGGCCTATGCTCTCACTCTTTGTTCCCCTCCCCAGGGAAATCCAGTTACCCACTGGGAGTGAGCTGCCCCCTAACCCCGCATGACCCTGTTCCCCGGGAGGGGCAGCCTGGGGAGTGACAGGCATGACCTCGATGGTGGGCCAGGGGCCTCCTCAGGTGAGTCTTGACCTAACTTTGGCTCTTTCTCTATTTCTCAAACTAAGTGGGAGGGATGTTCAGAGGGAAGCCAGGTTCCCTTGGTTATGCAACACTTGAGTTGCAAATTTCAGTAGCAATATAGAAGGCAAAGCAGTTCTGGCTTTCTTAGCGACACCACCCAGCTTCCGGGTCCAGAGGGACACTAAGATGATTATCTCTCTGTGTGCACAGCTCGGTGACGCTGGGGGCCCAGGCTTCCTGGGGGAGACAGACCAGCCTTAAGAATGCTCAGGAATTGCTGGGACGTTGGTTCATTCACTCATGCAGCAAATGTACTGGTCCCTGGCACCAGCTGCAGATGCAGAAGATGAGCACGTCATGGCTCCCTCCTGCAAGAGCTGTCAGTTTTTGGATGGTGGGAATGTAAGAGACACATCAGGGAAGCAGGTTTCATGGAGGAGGTGCTGTTGGGCCAGGTCCTGAAGAGAAGGGCTAGGACTATGTTAGGCTGAAAGGGAGGATGACATTCCCAACAGAGGGAATAATAGGAGGAAAAGCACAGAAGACATATACATGTGGTATGTTTAATAAATGTAACAAGCATCAGTGTCATGTCTCAAGTGCAAATGTTGGCACTCTGTCAGGGACTGCACGTGTGAATAACTAGATGGGCGTGGCCAGAGTATGGTGTATATGTATGTGTGTGTGTGTGTGTGTACATGTGTGTGTATGCGTGTAGCAGGAGGCCTGTGAAGGGGTATAGGACCAGAGGCTTGAAAAGACATGCTAGAATCAGACTGAGAAAAGTCTGTTAGCAAAAGGAAGCCCAAAAAGAAGCTTTAAAAAGCTCAAGATCTACAAGAGTTGGTTGGTTCGAATGAGATAATCAGGCTTGTATCTTCAAGTGCTCATCCTGGATAACATCTGGGGAAGGGGTTGGGAGGGTGCAGTGGGCAGGAGGCTAAGGACTAAGTAGGAGTACTGGAGATGGGGACACCCCCTTTGTGCTTGGGGGTGGCATGGGGAAGGGGAGGAGGCCCCCGCTGGAGTGGCAGGAACGATATTGGAGCACTTACTGAGGTGCTGAACTTTGGAGCAGCTCATCCAGGGAAAGAAAGTGAGTTCATTGTTGTGAATTTGGGCTTCCAGAGGGACAGCAGGACCAAGCCCATATTGCAGGGCTGTCAGGCTTTGCAAACCCACGGATAGGCATGTAGAACCCCCGAGACAGGGAAAGATCCTGCATGAATGAGAGGAAGGCCAGGAAGGAAGCGGAGATGGAAGAGATCAGTGCCTAGGGCCCAGCAGGAAAACAGGTGGCCAACCAGAGAGCTGGAATGGGGAGCAGAGGGATGGGGGAGCCTGGGGTCTGCAGCAGTGAGAGGTGGGCACAGAGCCAGCCTGGGGGGTGAATGGCACAGGACACTAGAGAGGCAGGACGGGCCTCATGACTACTGCCACACATTCCTTCTGCCTCTTGGCTTGGGTTTGGAGAGACAAGACTCAAGAGCTGGTGGAGGTTGGCAGTGTGGAAGGCAGAGGCTTGGAGACCAAATTGGGATGAGGAGAGAGACATGGGTTCCCTGACACCCTCACCCAAACTCAAACCCCAAGGCCAGCTCCACAGCCCATGCCTGAGCTTCAGCTCCTGAATTCAGGAGGAATTAATGTTCTCAATGCCAATATGGAGTGCCCCCAGGTACCAGCTGAGGCTGTTCTAGGGCAGCTTTGTCAGAGATGCCTACATTTTCTTGGTACCATTCCCATAAGAATGTTGGGTACTTCCTGCTGTGACCCTCTCAAAGCACAGGGCTTTCCTTTTTTCAGTAGGTTTTGACTTAAAGCCAAGGAAATCCTCGTCGAAAGGCCCTCTTGACCACTTACTGGCCACAGGACCTTGAGCAACTCAATAACCTTCTCCAAGCCTCTTGGAGTTGCTGTGAGTGAGTGAGCTAACATCCATGGCACTCCACACTGCCCCAGTCCACATGACCCCATGAGGGCAGGCATTGTCCTTGGTTTCATTCTGTCATGTGACCAATGGTTACAACAGTGTCTGACACATAGGAAATGCTTCGAAACATATCTGATGAACAAATGAATGAATGGAGCATCCTTTCATTCATGAAATTACCTTTGTGTGGGGACCTCTGCCCCAGCAGATACCTAGTATTCTTCTGGCACTCAGGAAAAGTGGAATAAATGTGCATTTCCTTTCTTCCTTATTTTTTTTCAGCCCCATTTGCTTCCCTTTACCCCACACCTTTCTGTCATCTTGGTCTCATTTTTACTGCCTTCCTCCTCACCCTTCCCAACTCACCTCTCATCGTCTCTCACTCTCACTTTTATAAAAAGAGGAGCAAACAGTGGCTTGGTCACACTCTTAGTATTCTCTCACAAACACTTTTTATTCTTTATATGACCAGTCTGAGACTTTTCCAAATATTTCTTTTCTGCTTCCCTTTTAATAACAAATTTCATCTTTACATCATTTATCTTCTCTTGAATTTTACTATATGCAATTCAAAGAAGCCACACAGCACCGTGAATGCTTTGCTGCTTAGATATTTCTTCCACTAGATATCGTAGTTCATTGCCTTTAAGTTCTGCCTTTGTATTAGTCTGTTCTCACACTGCTATAAAAAAATACCTGAGACTGGGTAATTTACAAAGAAAATAGGTTGAAATGGCTCACAGTTCTGCAGGCTGTACAGGAAGCATGGCTGGGGAGGCCTCAGGAAACTTAAAATCATGGCAGAAGGTGAAGGGGAAGCAAGCACCTTCTTCACATGGCAGAGCAGGAGAGAGGGTAAAGTGTGAAGTGCTACACACTTTTAAACAACCAGATCTTGTGAGATCTTGGCTTGGGTTTGTCTATCCAAACCCAAGCCAAGAGGCAGAAGGGATGTGTGGCAATAGTCATGAGGCCTGTCCTGCCTCTCTAGTGTCCTGTGCCATTCACCCCCCAGGCTGGCTCTGTGCCTACCTCTCACTGCTGTAGACCGCATGCTCCCCCTTCCCACTGCTCCCCATTCCAGCTCTCTGGTTGGCCACTTGTTTTCCTGTTGGGCCCTAGGCACTGATCTCTTCCAGAGAACAACCAGATCTTCTGATCACTATCAGAAGAACAACAAGGGAGAAATCTGCTTCCATAATCCCAATCACCTCCCACCGGGTCCCTCCTTCAACATTGGGAATTATAATTTGACATGAGATTTGCATGGGGACACAGAGCCAAACCATATCAATCCACCCCTGGCCCCTCCCAAATCTCATGTCCCTTTTACATTTCAAAACATAATAAAGCCTTTCCAATAGCCCCCCAAAGTCTTAACTTGTTCCAGCATTAACTCAAAAGTTGATGTTCAAAGTCTCATCAGAGACAAGGCAAGTCCTTTCTGCCTATGAGCCTGTTAAATTAAAAACAAGTTAGTTACTTCCAAGATACAATGGAGGAACAGGCGTTGGGTAAATGCCCCCAACCCAAAAGGAAGAAATTGGCCAAAACAAACGGACTACAGGCCCCTTGCAAGTCCAAAACCCAGCAGGGTAGTCATTACATCTTAAAGCTCCAAAATAATCTCCTTTAACTCTGTGTCTCACATCCAGGTCACAATGATGCAAGGGGTGGGATCACTAGGTCTTAGGCAGCTTTACCCCTGTGGCTCTGCAGGGTATGGCACTCCACACTGCCCCAGTCCACATGACCCCATGTGCTTTCACAGCTGCTTTCACAGGCTGGCATTGAGTGTCTGTGGCTTTTCCAGGCACATGGTGCAAGCTGTTGGTGGATCTACCATTCTGGGATCTGGAGGACAGTGGCCCTTTTCTTACAGCTCCACTAGGCAGTACGCCAATGGGGACTCCATGTGAGGGATCCAACCCCACATTTCCCCTCTGCACTGCCCTAGTAGAAGTTCTCCACGAGGGCCCTGCTTCTGCAGCAGACTTCTGCCTGCACATCCAGGCATTTCTTTACGTCCTCTGAAATCTAGGCAGAAGCTCCCAAACCCCAACTCTTGCCTCTGTATACCCACAGGCCCAACACCACATGAAAGCCACCAAGACTTGGGGCTTTTACCCTCTGAAGCAGTGGCCCAAGCTTACCTTGGATCTTTTTAGCCATGGCTGGAGCTGGAGTGGCTGGGATGCAGGGCATCATGTCTCAAGGCTGCACAGAGAAGTAGGGTCCTGGGCCTGGCCCATGAAACCATTTTTCCCTCCTAGGCCTCCGGGCCTGTGATGGGAGGGGCTGCCGCTAAGGTCTCTGAAATGCCCTGGAGGCATTTTCCCCTTTGTCTTGGCTATTAACATTCGGCTCTTCTTTACTTATGCAAATTTCTACAGCCTTGAATTCCTCCTCAGAACATAGGTTTTTCTTTACTATTGCATGTTTAGGCTGAAAATTTTTGAAACGTTTATGCTCTGCTTCCCTTTTAAATATAAGTTCTAGTTTCAGGTCACTTCTTTGTTTATACAAATAAATGTGGGCTGTTAGAGGCAGCCAGGCCATATCCTGAATACTTTGCTGCTTAGAAATTTCTTCTGCCAGATACCCTAAATCATCTCTCTCAAGTTCAAAGTTCCACAAATCTTTAGAGCAGGGGCACAATGCCTGCCAGTCTCTTTGCTAAAGTATAGCAAGAGTGACCTTTACTCCAGTTCCTAATAAGTTCCTCTGTCTGAGACCACCTCAGCCTGGATTTCACCGTTCATGTCATTTTCAGCATCTTGGTCACAATCATTCAACAAGTCTCTAGGAAGTTCCAAACTTTCCCTCATCTTCCTATCTTCCTCTGAGCCCTCCAAACTGTTCCAACCTCTGTCCATTTCCCAGTTCCAAAGTCACTTCCACATTTTCAGGTATCTTTATATCAATGCCCCACTTCTCTGGTATCAATTTTCTGTATTAGTCTATTCTCACACTGCTATAAAGAACTACCTAAGACTGGGTAATTTATAAAGAAAAGAGGTTTAATCAACCCAGTTTCACAGGCTGTACAGGAGGCATGGCTGGGGAGACCTGGGGAAACTTAGAACCATTGCAGAGGGTGAAGAGGAAGCAAGCACCTTCTTCCATGGTGGAGCGGGAGAAAAAGAGTGAAAGGGGAAGTGCTACATACTTTTAAACAACCAGATCTCATGAGAACTCACTCACTATCACAAGAACAGCAAGGGGGAAGTCCGCCTCCATGATCTAATCACCTCCCACCAGGTCCCTCACAACCAGGTAGGTAATCTTTAAGAAGTTTTAGTCTTTTTCTGCATCTATTCTCTTGTTTTGAGCCCTTGCCAGAATAATCATTAATGCATTCAAAGCATTACAGGCTTTTTCCAGCAGTCACTTCAAAACAGTTCCAGCATCTACCCATTACCCAGTTCCAAAGCTGCTTCCACTCTGGTCTTCTCAAGGACTCATCTGGAGAGCCAGTGATTGCTGAAAGATGAGGTTTTCCTTATGCTGGGCAAGGAAAGCCCCGAACAGTGACAGGCTCTTTAGAGAGGAAATCCTCCTGGGCCTCCTGCCTCCCAGGCCCCCCGGAGTGCTGTCTGGGAGTCTCCAAGACTGTCCCTTCAGCTCTGGCTAGAGAACTCTCCATCCTTGGGGCCATGGGATCCCCAAAGCCACGGTTTCTCACGGCTGGGAGGAGAGAGAGAGAACGTGGCTCAGGGAGGCTGGCAGGGCTCTCTGTGTGGGACCCCACCCAGGCAGGGCAGAAGAGGAAGACAGTTCTAGAGCCTCTGCATCAAAGATTACAGGCTTCTTGCCATATCTCCAATCACTGTTCCCCTTGTTCCAGGCTGCAGTTGGCACATGAACCCATGGGCCATCAGTTGCTTTTGTTTTTAAGATCTAAATATCGTATTTATGACTAATAAAACTGAGTGGAGAATTACTAATAAAACTGGCCTTAGATCTGCAGCCCAGAGGGCATTCAAATAATCTCCATTCCCTCCTTTAATTGAACTTGTCCCCCAAAACATCAAACCCGCCCTCTTATTCTTCAACCATAGGGTACAATTAGTTTTTACACAAGCACCCCACACAATGGGGAGACCCAAGAGAGAGAGTCGGGGAGTGTTTATGAGGTTTATTGAGGGGATTAGGGGACCAGAATAGAGGGGAGGAAACAATTCTGCCGGTGGAAATCCTTTCTCTACTTAAAAAAAACTCACCACACACAAAGACCACAAACAAAACCCCCTGTAAGAATTTTGTTTTGAAAGCTGTTCCCTGCCCCAGGTCAAAGAGAAGGAAAGAAGGGATCTGGGCTTTGCGGGACACGGCTCTCCCACCGTGGCGCCCACTCTCTGGTTCCCTGTCTTTTCCCTCCAGGAAGTTCAGGTGCCTCAGCCTGGGTTTCATTTGAGCTTTTAAATAATGAACAGTTGTTATCCTTGCCCTCATTCGTTACATTTTTTAAAAAGCAAAATAAGCTAAACAAAGCAGAGAAGTATGCACCTAAAAACCTTTCTTCGACAGCCAGAGAAGCAAGGAAGGAAAGGCCGCCTACCATTTATTTTTTATAAACATCATACTAAATAACACGGATTTCAACTTATGGCTATAAATAACATGCGATGTTTTCACTGCAGATTTCCCCAGGCCCTAAAGCTATTTCAGTGGAACCTGCAGCCACCCTGTCCTCCCATCGCTGCTCGAGGTCCGGCGTTACCTACGCCTCATTGTTTCTAGAAGTTGCATTTCTGTATGTTGCTCAGAATTGGTTTGCATGCCGGACCCTTGCTTTCCTGTTTTTGCCTCCTCCCACCCTGGGCCACCCCATCCCATCCTCGTGATCGTTGGGACGCCCCCTCGCCTGCCCAGCAAGGACACTTGATGGAGAGGCTGCCGGGTTATGGCTTCCTTCCTTAGCTGGCTCGCAGGCCCGTGGCCCCACAGATGTTCTCCCTGGGTTTGTTTTGATAGCCCGTTTTAAAAACAGTTCATATCCACCAACTGTTCAGATAATAGTATTCCAAGTGGCAAGCAACTGTGATTATTTTTGTCGCTGTTTACCCTGACAAGCACAGCTCAGCTGGAAAATATGGGGCCGGGGGGAATTCCCCTTCCTTGCTCTTCTAATTGTTGCCCATATTTGCCATAAGGAAGTTGCATTTTTGACTTTCTCTCACATTGAGCCCCATGTTCCCTGGGAAGGAGAGAAGAAGGCGAGAGAAATCAGATGGAGAAAATGCAGTATGGGGCCTATTGGAATCGATAACCCTCCTTCCAAGTCAGGCTGTTTCACTATCAACACTAAGAGGAGTTTTTGTGCACATGTGTGTGGTGACATAAAGAAAGCCTTGCTTGGGGTAGAGCTGGTACTTTGAACTGGCTCTCTCTCCAACATCTCAGACATCCCAGGCCTAAAATCGAACTTCTCGTTTGCCTATCCAGTTGCAGAAACACCTGTGGTCTCCCGTAAAAGTGCAAAAGACCCCCACTCCTTCCCCAGGTTCCCAGAACAGGCCGGCTGGTCCCTCTGACTGTTCCACTCCTCTGACCTCCAAAGTCAGTTATTTGTCAAGCCTGGCTGATTTTCCCGGGACTTTAAAAAATTCTCTTGCACCTATCCCTTCTTTTCCAGCCACACCACCTGCCCCACCGACAGTTGGCCCTTTCCCTGTCCCCTTTATTGCAGCGGTAATTTCAACCACATCCTGGCCTTCCATCCCTTTCCTCCCATTTCACCCTCATACCATGGCTAGGCCTAGCTTCCGAAAGCTTGACCCTGTTGCCACTTACCTGCTCAAAAATGCTTAGCAACTTCCCACTGTGTGCAGCCTTTGTCTGGCTTTCCAGGCCCTCCACGCCCTGGTCCCTGCCTGATCTCTCTGCTTCCCCATTCAGATCCCTCCCATGGTGTGCCCAAGCTCAGGATTTCTTGAACACACCTGTGCTTTCCAGCAGGGCTGCCACGTGGCTGATTCCATGGCTGCCCTTCCCTTCACTATTACCTGAATGTGCTTCCTAGAGGTGAATATGGTTCAGCCTGTATGACCAAATGGCCCCCAGGCCTTTGAATATGCTGCTTCCTCATTCTGAAGTGCCCTCCTCTCCCAGCTCCACCTGTCAAAATCACACTATTCTTCAAATGCCACTTCTTCCATGAAGCCATTGATGGTGATTCTTGCTGGAAAGGGCGGCTCTTGATCATGAAAATCTGAAAGACATTATATTGGAAGTGTTTATAATTTTCTTTGTATTTAGATGTCAGACTTTCTTACATAAAACCCAAACCTCCTTAAGAATAAAGGCTGTGAATTACTTTCCTGCATATAATCTGCTGTGCCTAGCAGTCGATTTTTGTTGGAGGAATGAAAGAATGAATGATTTATTTTGGGCTTGGGCGTGTACATTTCACTGATGACCCCTGGGTGCATTTAAATTTAGCACACCTGTCAGATCTCTCCTCATCCTTATTTGTTACTCTATGCTGCCAAGTTAGGTGGAGGATAGGGTAGGAACCTGGGGATGTTTTCTTCATTATCTACAGTCACATAATCACGAATCACAGATTCTCAGATACGAGCAAGTCCATCAGATACTGACGGCCCAGTGTTTTGCAAATGATTGCTCAGAGCTATGAGTCCCAGGACATGGGGGTTGTGCAGCAGAGGGAGGCTGTAGGAGAGGGAGCTTTGGGATTTTGCTCCTGCTCCAACCAGATCAGGTCTGCTTGTGTCTGTTTCACATTTTGAGGTCTGGTGGAATTTATCTTTACCAGAGGCCAAAAAGAATTTTTATGAAAAACAAAACCAAACCATAGATATAGTCCAAGTTGATAAAAATCCAAAACTTAAGAAAATGCCTGTCTAAACCTATCTGGAGGGATCTCAAAGAAAGTACATTCAACAGCTTGTAATCTATAGCAATCACCCGCACCATCACAGGATGGCCCCACAAAACAATCGTCAGACGCAAGACGTCCATAAGAGTCCAGGAAAGAGCTGGAGGAGACGAGTCACGCCAGGTTTTAGCTCCAGTTACGCCAGGAACAAGTTGTGCAATGCAGCGAGTCCTTTTTCCTCTCTAGACTCAGCATCTCATTTAAAAGCATGGCCCTAGCAGCCTAGGCTGGGTGGCTCAGTGGTTATTAAGGGCACAGGGAGACCTGAGTGGCACCAGCACAGCCCAGGGAGCCACTGAGAGAGGAGAGGTGCCCAGCAGTGACACAGCCAGCAAGTGTCTGCACAGGGAAGAAGCACCGAGAGCTGGTCATTCTGCTCTTAGCCTGAACTTGGTGATCTCAGAGGCCCGGCCCAGCTCTAACATCTGTGACTCAGCTGGCAGCCGCGTGGACCCCGTTGCTGGGGGAAATGCTGTGTGCACATTTATTCTGGGTTTGGATATTTAAAGAGCCGGGTGTGTTGAGGGACATTTCGGAAGTGCTTGGGGAGGGAGGGGACTGCAGACTGGGCTTTTCTTTAAACACTTATAGATATCCTGTCTTGATCTCTCGGTCCACAAAGAGTAATTTTCTTTCCCTAAGAAAGTGACGTGGGTCTTGCCCATTGTGTCCGCCTCGCTGGCTCCCGGCTGCGCAGCCCAGCAGGAAGCAGGTGGCCTGAGGTGAAACACATGCCCGGCCCGGCTCAGGCCATTTCTGGGTTCCTGTCCAAGGGCAGCCTTGCTCCCCACAGGGAAAACTTGGCATGCCCCCTAGACTGCTGGGCACCTGGGGCACAGGGCTGACCCTCCACCTGGGAGGAGAAGAATGGAGCTCTCTCTGAGCCCCCAGGGGTCCTGGCAAAGGTGGCAGCCGTGGACCCTGGGGACATGGGGCAGCCTGGGCTTCCTCTTCCGCACTTGCTGTTTTCACTGGCTCAGGAAGCTCTGACTGCAAGCTGGGATTTTGTTTCCAAATCCCTGCGTCATTTTTACTATTTGAATTGCCACTTTGGGCTGCTTTTAGGGAGGTGGCTCTTTTGTTGCTTTCCTCACTCAGGATGTTGTTTCCAGTAGATTTCCTCACAGACTCCGTCTGCTGCCTTTGTTTTCCCTTCTGGGCACAAACACAGAAATCTTCCAGAATGGAGACTGCATCAGTGAATCGGACCTGCCGTGCTGTGAGCCAGCACAGTTTAATTTTTCTCTTAGGACATTTATTGTTTTTTATTTCTGCTTTCAGAGGTCATTGTGTCTACATGCTCATTATAGCACATTTGAAAAATATGGGAAACACATATAGGTGATATAGGAGGAAAATGAATATCACCCATAGGCTCAGTAGCCAGAGATCTACCTAGAATTCCGGTGATAATTTTTGTTTTGTTTTGTTTTGTTTTAAATTGGGCTCATACTGCACACATTGCTAAGGAACCTGCTGCTTACACCCAACCCTGTATCCTTAACACTGTCCCATGCTCTTTTATTTTTTGCAGACACAGTTTTTTGTTTTTGTTTTTTGTTTCGTTTTTGTTTTTTTGACAGAGTCTCACCCTGCTGCCCAGGGTGGAGTGCAGTGGCCTGATCTCTGCTCACTGCAACCTCCGCCCCCCAGGTTCAAGCAATTCTCCTGCCTCAGGCTCCCAAGTAGCTGGGATTACAGGTGCACAACACCACACTCGGCTAATTTTTGTATTTTTGGTAGAAGATGGGGTTTCACCATGTTGGCCAGGCTGGTCTCGAACTCCTGACCTCAAGTGATCCTCCTGCCTCAGCCTCCCAAAGTGCTGGGATTACAGGTGTGAGCCACCGTGCCAGGCCGCAGACACAGTTTTTAAGTCCCTACAGCTCTCCTTTGGCCTTGCCACCAACAATGCTGTGTCAAAGACGTTAGCCGGTGTGAAGGAGGAACGAGGACAGGAAAACAGAGTATGTCACACAATACACATCTACATGCAAAGCCCAGATGGGTGAAGTTGTGGGTGGCTTTTCTTTTCTTTCTTCTCTTCTAGAGTGTGCACATTTTTCTGTCACAAACACAGGAGAAGAGACAGAATAATGTGGTGATCGGAAGCGCAGGCTTGGGCAACCTGCTGTATGGGTGCAACTCTGCCACTAACCAGATGAGGTGCTTAATGGCAGTGTGCCTCAGTTTCTTCATCTCTAAAGTGTGAACAATAATGCTACCTGCCTCACGTGTCAGTTTTGAAGATGCAGGTGAAGTCCAGTAAATACCCAGTACTCAGTGACAGTTATGGCTTTATATGAACATTGTGATCATAAAAAGTCTGGGCGGGCACAGTGGCTCATGCCTGTAATACCAACACTTTGGGAGGCCAAGGTGGATGCATTACCTGAGGTCAGGAGTTTGAGACCAGGCTGGCCAACATGATGAAACCTCGTCTACTAAAAATGCAAAAATTTAGCCAGGCACGGTGGCTGGTGCCTGTAATCCCAGCTACTCAGGAGGCTGAGGTAGGAGAATCACTTGAACCCAGGAGGCAGAGGTTGCAGTGAGCTGAGATCGTGCCACTGCACTCCAGCCTGGGCAACAAGAGTGAAACTCCATCTCCAAAAATAAAAATAAAACAAAATAAAAATAAATAAATAAAACATCTAAAAGTCCCTGCTATGGGCTGAATTTGGTCCCTACAAATACATCTGTTGAAGTTCAACCCTCAGCACCTCAGAATGTGACTGTTTTGGAGACAGCATCCTTACAATGGTAATTAAGTTAAAATGAGGTCATTGGAGTGGGCCCTAACCCAATACTGCTGTGTCATAACAAGAAGATGCAGAGACATCAGGGATGCGCTTGCACAGGGGAAAGGCCATGTGAGGACACAGCAAGAAGGCGGCTGCCTCCCAGCCAAGGAGACAGGCCCCAGGAGAAACCCAACCTGCCCACAGGTTGATCTTGGACTTTCAGCTTCCAGAACGGTGGGAAAACAGACTTTCATTGGGTAAGCCACCCAGTCTGTGGTACTTTGTTATGGAAGCCCTAGCAAAACAATGCAGTTCCTTAACAAGAACATCAGTGTCATAGTTGCTCATCTAAGTGCAGTGCAGAAGCAGGTGATATACCCTAGACAAGTGGAAAACAGCTCGACTGCGGGCCCGGCAGTTCCTGCCCACCAGCCTCCCCTCAAGGCGAGCCCCCCCTCGCCTTTGCAGGGTACCCGGTGGCTGCAGGATGTCCTCTGGCTGCGCAGAGCCCCCAGGCTCTTGCTTCGCCAGGTCTGTCTCTTCCAGGCAACAGGGTCTTTCTTGGCTTCATTTGGAGGGCAAGAGCTTCCTCCTCCTTCAGGAACCTTGGCTAGCCATTTCCAATACAATACCTGCGTCTGCACTTGAATGAAGTGGTTTTCCACCCTCCAAAGACCAGTGGGAGAGTTTTCATGCATGGTCCATTTGAATCACTGACATGATGTGCTCTGAGCGTGGAGTGTTGGATCTCAGACTCAGGCATAGAAAGGGGGCCGCTGGAGGATGTATGTGCAATGCTTCCTCAGATTATGAAAGCACAGCCAGCCTTCTGTTGGAAGCACAGGACAAGTGTTTGCTGGGTAAGGATATTTTCCATCTTTGCAAACTGTGGGCCAGCTCTTTCTCCTTGGCTAGGTAGATAACCAATGCACCTTGTCTGCTAAGTCAGCCTCTCTTCATTCCTATTTTCTCAGTAGACAGCCTTATAAATCTGGCTAATAACTCCCATTTCATTTCCCCAAACTCCATTAGAGGGAAATTATAATGAAGCTCAAATACTCACCAGGTTATTCATGGGAAGGACCTTTGGCTTTTTAAAAATGCATTTTAGATGGCTGGATTAATCTAGTGGCACATTACAATGCAGCCCTGCTGAAGTTTGCAGGAGATTCCTGGCACCCGGCATTGTGCACTGCACAATGCCGCCAAGAAGCGTGAATTATCTTTACAGGAAGAGGCAGGAATTAATATGTCAGATGGAAAAGACCCACTGGCAGCACCTGATGAAAACCCAGGACTCTGCTCCCTGTCAAGGTTCTGCAAGGTTGGAGTCATAATCACACAACTCACAAGCAAACGCCCTGAGCAGGCTCCTCTCTGCAAAGGGCATAAGGGCAGAACAGCAGAGAAGTGACACACTACCCTCTCCATCTGGCCCTGCTCACCCACAAGCGTTGGAACAGGAATATTTGTAGCCTTGGAAAGAGGCACTTACCAAGATGCTTAATTGATGATAGGCACATTGAGAAAAAAATGCTGATTTCATTCCTTTTATTACCTCTCTGGCACAGCAAGTTAATTAAAAAGAAAGTACGATTGCAGCTTTGTATTCATTAACCAGGTTGATTTGTAATGTAAATATATGCATTTGTATGGTGCATACATCAAAGTAAGAATAACAACAATAATGATAGTATCTGTCACTAAATGAGCTCCAGATCCCAGGGAAGGAGTGATCGGCAGATTACTTACAACCCTTCCAACAACCCTGTTCAAAGGGTTATAAATAATGTTGGCCTTACTGGGACCAACAGTATTACATTTATTTTATTGATGGAGAAACTGAGGCTCAGAGTAGTTAAGGAGTTTGCCTGAGGTCACACAGCTAATGTGTGGTGTGCTGGGATTCGGTCTACGTGAGGAAATAATACATTTGTGGCAGAGTGAACTGAAACTTCTTTCTGCACACTCCCGCCCCAATCCCACCATCTGCCTCAACCTAATCCTCAATGTGGTCATGAGAAAAGCCCCGTGCAGTGGAGAGAAGCCAGATTGACTGCCACTATTCACTGTTGTGTAAAATGAGGAAGCTCTGGAAGTCACTGGAGCAGGAAGGAGCATAGGAGCCCTTAGCACGGGAATGGCAAGGACAGTGTGGTTATTTTGCAAAAAAATAGCTCCTTCATGTTAATATGAAGAACACACTTTTCTCGTACAGATTAAGTGGGTTGATTTTTGGAAGGGCAATACTCCTTCCGGTGGTGGATTGTGTTTGGTTTCACATACCTCAGGAGAAAACCAATCACACTTGAAGTGAAAGACCAGCTCCATTTCCCCTCCTTCCCATTCTAACTTTGTTACTCCTTTATTCCTCCAGAGGAGCAAAGAGAAGCTTGGTGGAAGAGAAAGCCGCTAGTATTCAGCGAGAAGATCACTCAAATCCTTCACCAGCATGCTCAGTGAAGAATGCATTAAAAAAATTAGACTTTTTTTCTTCCTGGCAACAAAATCTTGCCAAAATAAGTACCAAAATAAGTGTTCCAATGGTTTTATTTGGGGAAAGCCAACGCTTTCCCCAAAAAGACTTTTTCTTGTTTCTCATTTGGCTGCTACAAATAAAGCTGCAATGAACATACATGTACACATCTTTGCACGGAAGTAGCTTTCTTTTCTCTTAAGTAAATGTAGGTGTATTTCATTTTATTGTACTTTGCTTTCTTGTGTTTCTCAGATGTTATTTATTTATTTTGCAAATTGAAGATTTGTGGCAATCCTGTGTAGAACAAGTCTATCTGTACCATTTTTCCAACAGCATGTGCTCACTTTGCATCTCTGTGCCACACTTGGCTAATTAGGGAATACTTTAAACTTTCTAATTACTATTATATTTGTTATGGTGATCTGTGATCAGCGATCTTTAGTGTTACTACTATAATTGTTTTGTGGTTTCATGAATGGCACCCGTATAAGGTGGTGAACTTAATTGATAACGCGTTCTGACTGCTCCACTTACCAGCTGTTCCCCCATCCCTCTCTTTCTTCTAAGGCCTCTCTATTCCCTGAGACAAAACATTATTGAAATTAGGCCAATTAATAACCCTACAATGGCCTCTAAGTGTTCAAGTGGAAGGGAGAGCTACACATTGTATTAATCCATTCTCACATTGCTATAAAGAACTATCTGAGACTAGGTAATTTATAAAGAAAGAAGGTTTAATTGACTCACTGTTCTGCAGGTTATACAGGAAGCATGGCTAGGGAGGCCTCAGGAAACTTACAATCACTGTGGAAGGTGAAAGGAAAGCAGGCACATCTTCACATGTGGACCAGGAGCAGCAGGGAGATGCTACACATTCTTAAACTAGCAGTTCTTGGGAGAACCCTATCACAAACAGCACTAGAGGTAGGGTACTAAACCATTAGAAACTGCCCCCATGATCCAATCACCTCCCATTAAGCCTCAATATCAACATTGGGGAATATAATTTGATGTGAGATTTGGGCAGGGACACAGACCCAAGCCATATCATTCTGCTCTGGCCCCTCCCAAATCTCATGTCCTTCTCACATTTCAAAATATAATCATAACTTCCCAATAGTCTCCCAAAATCTTAGCTAGTGTTAACTCAAAAGTCCACAGCCCAAAGTCTCATCTGAGACAAGGCTAGTCCCTTCTGCCTATGAGCCTATACAAACAAAACAAGTTAGTTACTTCCAAGATACAATGGGGGTATAGACATTGGGTAAATACTCTCATTCCAAAAGGGAGAAATTGGCCAAAACAAACGGGCTACAGGCTCCATGCAAGCCGAAACCCAGCAAGGCAGTCATTAAATCTTAAAGCTCCACAATAATCTCCTTTGACTCCATGTCTCACATCCAGCCCACACTGATGCAAGGGGTGGGTTCCTAAGGCCTTGGTCACACATCTCTTGCTTTAAATCAAAAGCTAGAAATAATTAAGGTTAGTGAGGAAGCCAAGTCAAAAGCTGAGATAGTCTGAAAGCTAGGCGTCTTGCACCAAACAGCCAAGTTATGAATGCAAAGGAAAAGTTCTTGAAGGAAATTGAAACTGTTACTCCAGTGAACACACAAGTGATAAGAAACAGAAACAGCCTTATTGCTGATATGGAGAAAGCTTGAGTGGTTTGGATAGAATGGATAGAAGATCAGACAAGCTAAAACATTCCCTTAAGCCAAAGCTTAATACAGAAAAAGGCCTTACTCTCTCCAATTCTGTGAAGGCTGAGAAAGGTGAGGAAGAAGAAAAAGTTTGAAGCTAGAAGAGGTTGGTTCATGAGGTTTAAGGAAAGAACCATGTCCGTAACATAAAAGTGCAAGGTGAAGTAGCAAGCACTGATGGAGAAGCTGCAGCAGTTATCCAGAAGATCCAGCTAAGAAAATTTGAAGATAGATACAATAAACATCAGATTTTTTTTTTTTTTGAGATGGATTCTTGCTCAGTTGCCCAGGCTGGAGGGCAATGGCGCAATCTTGGCTCACTGCAAGCTCCGCCTCCCAGGTTCACGCCATTCTCCCGCCTCAGCCTCCCAAGTAGCTGGGACTACAGGCACCTGCCACCATGCCCGGCTAATTTTTTGTATTTTCAGTAGAGATGGGGTTTCACCATGTTAGCCAGGATGGTTTTGATCTCCCGACCTCATGATCCACCCGCCTCGGCCTCCCAAAGTGCTGGGATTACAGGCATGAGTCACCGTGCCTGGCCAGATTTTTTTTTTTTTTTTTTTTTTGAGACACAGTCTCACTTTGTCACCTGGGCTGGAATGCAGTGGTGCAATTAAGGCTCACTGCAACCTCCAGCTCCTGGGTTCAAGTGATTCTTTTACCTTGGCCCCCTGAGCAGCTGGGACTACAGGTGCCCACCACCATGCCCAGCTAATTTTTGTATTTTTAGTGGAGACAAGGTTTTGCTGTTTTCTAGGCTGGTCTCAAACTTCTGAGCTCAAGCAATCTGCCTCCCTTGGCTTCCCAAAGTGCTGGGTTTATAGGCATGAGTCACTGTGCCTGCCCCAGATGTTTGAATAGAGATGAAAACAGCATTCTATTGGAAGAAGGTGCCATCTAGGACTTTCATAGCTACAGAGGAGAAGCCAATGCCTGGCTTCAAAGCTTCAAAGGACAGGCTGACTCTCTTGTTAGGGGCTAGTGCAACTGGTGACTGGAAGTTGAAGCCAATGCTCATTGGCCATTCAAAAATCCTAGGGCCCTGAAGAATTATGCCAAATCTACTATGCCTGTGCTCTAAAAATGGGACAAAAGAGCCTGGATGACAGAATATCTGTTTACAGCATGGTTTACTGAATCTGTTAAGCCCACCGCTTAGACCTATTTCTCAGAAAAAAATACTTTTTTCAAAGTATTTGCTGCTCATTGACAATGCACCTGGTCACCCAAGAGCTCTGATAGAGATTAATGTTGTTTTCATGACTATAACACTACGTTCATTCTGCAGCCCATGGATCAAAGAGTAATTTCAACTTTCAAGTCTTAATATTTGAGAACTACATTTTGTAAGGCTATGGCTGTCATAGATAGTGATTTTTCTGATGGATCTGAGCAAAGTAAATTGAAAACCTTCTGGAAAGTACTCACAATCCTAGACGCTATTATAAACATTTGTGAGTCACAGGAGGAGGTCAAAGTATCAACACCAACAGGCGATTGGAAGAAGTTGATTCCAACTCTCATGGATGGCTTTGAGGGGTTCAAGACTTCAGTGGAGGAAGAGACTGCAGATGTGGTGGAAGTAACAATGGCACAGAGTAAGAAGTGGAGCCTGAAGGTGTGACTGAATTGCTGCAATCTGATGGCAAAACTCGCATAGATGAGGAATTATTTCCCATCAGTGAGCAAAGAAAGTGGTTTCTTGAGATGGAGTCTACTCCTGGTGAAGATGCTATGGATATTGTTGTAATGACACCAAAGAATTTTGAATATTCCATAAACCTAGTTGATAAAGCAGTGGCAGAGCTCAAGAGAATTGACTCCAAATTTTAAAGAAGTTTCACTATAGGTAAAACGCTATCAAACAGCATCACATACTACAAAGAAGTCTGTTATGAAAGGAAGTCGGTTGATGTGACCATCTTCACTGTTGTCTTTATTATTTGCAGAAATTGCCACACCCACCCCAGCCTTCAGCAACCACCACCCTAATCAGTCAGTAGCCATCAACATTGAGTCAAAACCCTCTGCCAACAAAAATAACTGAGTTGACAGTTATTTGCTTTCAGCATTTGGAAAACGTTGTGCCATTTCCTTCTGGCATCCATGATTTCTCATGAGAAATCTGCTGTCATTTGAATTGTTTTTTTCCCTATAGGTAAGGTATTGTTTCTCCCTCTCTGTTTTCAAGATTTTTTCTTTGTCTTTAGTTTTTAGAAGTGTGACTCTGATATGTGTCAGCATAAATTTATTTGAGCCTAACCTTATTGGGGTTTGTTCAGCTTCTTGAACCTGTAAGTTCATGTATTTTGTTAAATTTTGAAATTTTTCAGCCATATTTCCTCTAATGCATTTTCATCCCTCCTCTTCTCATTTCAGGACTCTGAAAGCATGAATGTTAGATCTTTCACCACAGTTCTATAGCTTCCTAATGCTCTGCTCTTTTTTTAATGTCTATTTTCTATCTCTTGTTCAGATTGGATAATTTCTATTGTTTTATCTTCAAGTTTATTTATCCTTTCCTTTGTTTTCCCTATTCTGTTCCTGAGCCCATTCTCTAGAGTTTTAAAATTTTGATTATCATATTTTTTCAGTTCTAAAATTTTCATGTTGTGCTCCTTTACATTTTCTATTTATTGGTTGAGATATTCTTTTTATAAGCCTGTTTGTCATTGTTCATTGAAACATTTTTATAATGGCTGCTTTAAATTCCTTGTCAGCCAGGTGCGGTGGCTCATGCCTGTAATCCCAGCACTTTGGGAGGCCGAGGCAGGCGGATCACGAGGTCAGGAGATCAAGACCATCCTGGCTAACATGGTGAAACCCCGTCTCTACTAAAAAACACAAAAAATTAGTCGGGCATGGTGACAGGTGCCTATAGTCCCAGCTACTCGGGAGGCTGAGGCAGGAGAATGGCGTGAATCCGGGAGGCGGAGCTTGCAGTGAGTTGAGATTGCACCACTGCACTCCAGCCTGGGTGACAGAGCGAGACTCTGTCTCAAAAAAAAAAAAAAAAAAATTCCTTATCAGGAATTTGAGACTCTGTCTCAAAACAAACAAACAAACAAACAAAAAATTCTAATATCTGCATCATCTTGGTATTGGTGTTTATTAAATGTCTTTTCTCACTTATTTTGCAATTTCTTTGGTTCTTGGTGTGGTGAATGATTTCTGTTTGTATCCTGAACCTGTGTATTGCTATGGACTATGGATTTTATTTAGATGTTCTCTTTTAGCAAGCTTCCACTGACTCCACAGGGTCCAGGGTAAGGCAGGCCTCTGTACCACTGGACGGTGATGATAATTGTGGTTTCTCATTCACCTTTCTCTGTCACTAGTGGAGAGGAGAAAGAGGTACCTTGTTAGCCCTGGGTGGAGGCAGAAGTCCAGGATCCTCATGTAGTCTCCATTGGTACTCGGGAGGTGAGATTATAACTGCTGGGTAGCTATGCAAGTTCCAGATCCTCTGTCAGTCTTCTTTGACATCACTCTGGTAGGCAGTAGAGGGAAAGGTGCCTCATTACAGCCTAGCAAAGTGGAAACCTAGCTCCCCATTCTGTGTTTGCTGGTGGGGGTGTCAGTGCAACTGCATTTTTTTTCTCGATGTTTGGCTAGGGGTGAGATTGTTATTGTCTAAAAACTTTCCATCTTGCTAGGTTACCCTTTATCTTTGCTAGGGAAAGCAGGTTTTTCTTAGAGGCTTTTTTTTCTTTTTAACTGATCCCATTGGTGTTTTCAGATTGCTGGCCTTTATCAGCACCTTGTCTGAGATATATGAGGCAAAAAGGGAAACACAGGGGGACTTACTTGCCATGTCATTTTTGGGTCCTGAGATCTCTAGCTGGTCTGCCTTCTGTAGACCTTTCAGAGTCCTTGTGTGTGTACATGTTTGTGTGCATATATATATATATATATAAAAAATGTGTATATATATAATGTATATATTTTTATATATATAAAATTTATATATAAAATATATAATGTACGTATATTTATATATAATGTATATATAATGTATATATATTTATATATACATTATATATAAATATATTTATATATAATGTATATATAAATATATTTATATATAATGTATATATAAATATATATTTATATATAAATAATGTATGTATAAATATATATTTATATATAAATAATGTAGGTATAAATATATATTTATATATAAATAATGTAGGTATAAATATATATTTATATATAAATAATGTAGGTATAAATATATATTTATATATAAATAATGTAGGTATAAATATATATTTATATATAAATAATGTAGGTATATATATTTATATATAAATAATGTATAAATATATATTTATATATAAATAATGTATATATAAATATATATTTATATATAAATAATGTATATATATAACATATATATGTGTATATATACATTCTAGGATTTTAATCTATACTTCACAGGAGAAACAGAGAGAAGTGCACCTACTTCACCTATTCCACCTTAGTCTAGAGACCTAATCTTTTCAGAAAAGGAAGTTTGAGGAGAAATTTTACTTAAGAAAAATCTTAGCAGTCCTCTGCCCAACTATAGTTTCAGGATAGTTTGTATTGCTGCTTTGGAACCATTCCCCAGCATTTCCACTCAATGTCTAGGCATCTTTTGGAGAAGACCTGGGGAAGTGCAGAACATGACTGAAAAATGCAGAAGGAGGTGGGATCATGTGGGGTACCCAGGCCACCATGTCTATCCTTAGTGACATGGCCAACCCTTTACAGAAATGGCCTGAGCTTGTTACTTTGAATGGTGCAGTACTCAAAGATAAACCAGGAAGTTACTGACACCTAAGAAAGATCCTGGTTTTTTATTCAGAATCTGATAGGCTTTCCTTTCATTGTTCACCAATAGCTCTGGCCAAAGCTTGTCAAGAGACCTTGCCATGCTTTGCTCTCTCAAGGTCCACCTAGAGTCAGTGTTTTACTTGTACCACTGTGTCCCTCATCCTCTCTAAGAACCCTCAATTCCAAAAGTACAAGAGAGAATGATTAGCCTCTAGCTGCTGTCTGTGTCCCAGCAGCAGCTTGGTGGATAGAATACCAAGATGGGCGTGGAGACTGTGCAAAGCAATGAGGTCTTAACCTCAGACTTACATCACACACTTGACCCACTCAGTATGTTCCAGACTGCTCAGCCATTTTGTGTACTAGATTTTGTTTTAAGGGACTTTGTGTCACTTGAAAACAAGCCCTCTTTCTAAAAGTGAAAATTTGCCACTGTGTGAGATTTTCAAAAATACTGTGTCCTACTGACCTTGAAATTTTTTCCAGAGGCAAAGTTACAGCATTGTTGCTGGAATGTATGCTATTCTCCAAGGAAACTCATTTATTTGGGGTATCACTTCTAAAGGGATGGCTTGTCACACAAAACTAAACAAAAACAGTCATCTTTCTTTGGGCGTAATCTCTCCCCTCTACCTTCAGTGGATCAAGTGGGCACCAGGGGCCTCCTGTATTCCTATGACTTCCTAATATTGTGTGCCCAAGATGGAGGTGCTGATGCTAGCAAAACATTGGCTCTAGCCCTGGAAGAATTTGTTAAGGACTCTGTGACCAATTTCCTCTACCCATAGGGTCCCATCTCTTCTTAGTATTAAAATTAATTACCAAGCACACACAGGCTAATTTAGCAAGAAGTACAGCATTACTGCCAACAATATTTTTTTTTTTGGCAACCCTTCAATTGTTCATTCAAAAAACGTAAACTGAGCACTTATTTTGTGCTAGGCACTGTTCTAGGTACTGAAGATACAGCACCGAACCAACCAAACAAAATGCCACCTTTATGTTGGCTGACATTCTACTGCAAGAGACATACAACAAATGGATAAATATTATGTTAAAAGGTGCTCTGGGGACAAATAAAGTAGAGAAAGGGAATAGAAAATGTCTGTGGATGGGGTTGGGAGCCTCAATAGTATGGCCATGGAAGGCTGCATTGAGAAGGTGATATTTGAGCAAAGACTTGAAGTAGGTGGGGAGTAAGACATCTGGGCTCCATGGCAGGGACAACCCAGACAGTCGTGATGGCCCTACTGAGTGGGAGTCTGCCTATTCTCTTCAAAGGGCATCAAGAAGGCAGTGTGGTCGGATGGGATGAACAGGGAAATGAGGATAGAGAAGGGTGGTGGGCAGATCATATAGGGTCTTGTCAATTAGTAAAGGCCTTTGGTTTTCACTCTGAGTGAGAAGGGGGACACTGGAAAGTTATGGCAGAGAAGCAATGTGATCTAACTTAGATTTTTGGCAGAATACCTTTAGAAGGACAAAGGTAAGAGAAGAATGCCTACTAGGAGGCTTATATGGTGGTCTATGGGAGAGAGAACAGTGGTTTGAGAAAGGGTGGTGGTGAGGGTCATGAGAAGTAGGTCAATGCTGGAGATATTTTGAAATAAAAGCCAGAGGATTTGCTATTGGTATGAATTTGATGTGGACAGTCTGTCACATTAGGTTTACCTCATCCCCTCAAAGTTTCCAAGTATGCCTGTGGGTTATTTATTCTTATACTAGAAAACTGGACAGAAGAAAGAAAACTGAAGATCTTACTGACCCAATGTTAGCCTGAGGTTTTCAGCTACTGTGTCTTCTGCCATTGTTGAAAGCTGGTCTGAAAACTTGCTTTAAAAATGTTTTTCACAATGGCCCACTGTAAGAAATACATTTCTACATTGCAACCCAGTGTGCTTGGTCCCACAAACACATCATCATCACAAAATTTTACAGAAAATCATTCGTCTTACTAAATGCATCATGATGCTTTCCTTTCTCTTCCATTTTACTTCATTAAGACAATGCTGGTCACTGCCCTCTAAATTAATTTCACAATCCACCAATGACCTCAATCTATGGTTTAAAAATCCCTGGACTCTGTAACACCTTTGGTGAAGCAGATCTTTGCACTGGCCTGGTGATGCTCTTGATATGATTCTTGGGCTGTCAAGGTCACAGTTCTTTAATACTATGCTCATTGTGGTGTGTATGTTGGAGAGTCCATAGATCATTGGCATATAGGCTATGGTGCGCCATAGAGATGTACATAAGGCTTGGGATCCTGCAAATAAAATCTTTCTGAGGTCTCCATTTGCCTGGAGACCAGACAATGTTAGAGGTAAGCCATGTCAAGCTCGGTAGGAATCATAATTAGTAACAAGAGAATTAAAGGACATTTGATACCAAGTTGATTTCAATAGTGTATAAAAACTTTGCTTCTATATAGCTTCATTTCCTTCCCCCTCCTTTGTCCTGTTCTCATACAAATCACATATTATATGTATATTCCCATAAATACAGATTTAGAATTATTTTTATGCAGTTTTCTTTTAAATAAATAGGAGAAAAAAGAGACAAACAAAAATATATTTATACTGCCTTTTATATTCACCTAAGTAGTTGCCTTTACTAGTGCTCTTTATTTCTTTAGGTGGATTCAAGTTACTGTCTAGTACCCTTCTATTTCTGATTGAAAGCCTTTCTTTAATATTTCCTGTAGGGCAGGTATGCTAGTGATGAATTCTCTGTTTTTGTTGATCAGGAAATGTGTTAATTTCTCCTTTTTTTTTTGAAGGATAGTTTTGCTGGATATGAAAGTTTTGGTTGACAGGTTTCTTTCTTTCAGCCCTTTAATAGGTAGCCCCATTGCCTTCTAACCTCCATGGTTTCCGATGAAAAATCTGCTGTTATTTCTTATAGAGGATCCCTTGTAGGTGATGTCTCACTTATCTTTTTACTTTCAAGATTATCTCTTTGTGTTTCAATAGTTTAATTGTAACCTGTCTAGGTTTGATCTCTTTGACTTTATTCTGCTTGGAATTCATTGAGGTTCTTGGATGTGGAGATCAATGTTTTTCATCAAATTTTGGAAATTTGGGTCATTATTTCTTCAGATATTTTCTTCTGCCTTCTTCTCCTCTCTCTCTTCTTTTTGGGGATCCTATTACATATATATTGTATGCTTGAGTCTGTCTATCAAGTCTCTGAGACTCTATTAACTTCTCTTCTTTGTTTTCTATTCCTCAGACTGAATAATTTCAACTGATCTGTGTTCAGATTCACCGATTCTCTCTTGTGTTTGCTCTGTTCAGACTCTGTAGTGAATTTTCATTTTAGTTATTGTACTCTACAACTCTGGAATTTCTATTTGGTTCTATTATATAATTTATATCTCCTTATCAATATACTTTATTTGGTGAAACACCATTCACATACATTTCTTTAGTTATTTAGATTTTTTTTCTAGTTCTTTGAACACATTTTAAAAAGCTGATTTAAAGTTTTTGACTAATAAGTCCAACATCTGGACTTCCTCAGGAACAGTTTCTATTCCTGGGGCTTGTTGCTATCGCTATTCTGCTATAGCTATTGTTGTGTGTTTGTTCAGTCATTTTTTAGAAAACTAATTCTGTAAAGTCTCTATTCTTTGTCCCTGACTTTGAAGTCTATGCTGGGTTAGCTTAGTTGTCTGCTAATGACTGGACAGAGACATCTTTAAATGCCTAAATCAGTAAGACTCCCACTCCTTGCAAAGAAGTTCTGTGTGCATTTCAGGGCATGTCTTCAATACTCAGCCAGCTGATTGTCAACTCTTCCTTAGCCTTTGCTTTCTGCTTCTGCAGAGCCTCAAGGTCAGCCAGAGGTGAGAACTTAGAGACTTCTCAAGTTTACCATGAGCATATGCACAGGCCTATTATGCACATGGCCTTCTAGATTCCAAAGAATATATTAGAGCTTCTCAGAGCTCCTCATTGACATCTCATTTCCTAGCTTTTCTTTTTAAGTTTTTTTGGTGAGACTATTATTTGCCTTAATTATAATCTATTTCCTCAGGCAGGTGGTTAAACAATTGCTGATGATTGATTTTTATACATGCTTCCAAGAAAAAGACTGTTTGCACTGTGTGAGCTCTTAGGTCAAGAAAATACAAGTCTTATGAGTGGGGTCTTCCAGGGAACCACCAGGTAGATATGACAGTGGGGCTTTGAAGGAGGTCTAACTCTGTTCTGCCCCTCCAGAGACTGCCAGCTTTCTGTTTTTCACTGAAATTGCATGCTGCTGGTTTCCAAGGCTACTGTGTAGCTGGAGATAGGGGGATGAGAATAAGGTAAGTCAAAATACTATAAAGCTCACTGTTCTTACTGAGATTCTGCCAACTTTTTTTTCAATAAATGCTCCCAGGTTGCTGCAAGATTTTGTTTAATTTTCTGAGTTCTGAAAACATTGATTATGACCATTTTTGTCAGTGTTCACCTTGCTTTTAGGGAAGAGATAATTTTTAGAGGTCTTTATTAAACCACTCCCTCTGATATCACTCTTAAAATGATGTTTGAGGCTGGAAATCAACATAAACCAAGCTGACTGAGTGGGAACATAACCAGAGTATTTAATGGATGTGCAACTTTTGGAAGAAGTACAATTTTGGCTGGATCATAGGGGCTGTATAGAGACCCCATGTGGGAATAAGGTAGGGTGGCAAGATTGAAGCCACATTCAAACTGACGTTCAAAATGTTTGAAGACAGAAATCAACATGGGGAAGACAATGTTTTAGGAATATTAATCTTGCAGTGTGTCCAGGAGGTGGGTGAGAGTAGAGGCAAGAAAAACAGTTACTTTAGTCAGAAGGGGAACATTGTGTACCTGGAACAAGCAATAAGAATAGGTTGGGTGTGAAAGCATCCCAAAGGAAGCTTCTTTAGGACAGTCAATTACTGGTTACTGGGGAGGGCTTCAAAGTATGGTTGTTGTATACATAATTATTTTCTGTAGCTGCTAACAGTGGGGATGCTTCCCTGCCAAGTTTTCTTCCTGCCTGCTCAGAAGTTACGTATCTTCCAATGGGGTCCTTTTGGCCTCATCCTTTTGTACTGTCTGCATCTATAAATGGTCCTCCTAGTGAAGTACCATGAGGTGTTTGGCCATCAATCCTATCAGTAGTGCTGCTTATTGGTGGTGAAGCATAGCTGGTGTTCACAAAGCTTCATGGAATCACATATGAAGTTTTTGACTCATAGGAGCCCTATTTTAGGAACATCAATAGGTTTGCCATCCATTTGCTGCTGGTGGTGAGAGAACCCTGCACAGAGAAGGAGAAGGGCTGGGCGCTTTCCTTCTGGGATGTCACTGATATTCAGAATGTCCCCTCCAGGTACACTGGCCCAAAGGTAAAGATGTGGGGAGGATAGCTCATCAGACACAGCAGGTTCCGGGGTTCCACTGTGCTTTATGTCTCCCAAATGGTATATCCAAATTCTTTCTGTATCTCCAAACATTCAGGTCTTTTCAGACAACCAGAGACATGTCTCAAGTTCTAGGTCATATCAGACACAGTTTCCCAAAGTACAGTAGTCCCCCACCTGCCGCCCTCCATCTGTGGTGATACATTTGAAGACCCCTAGTGGATGCCTGAAACCACAGATAGTAAGAAACCTGATTGCTGTTCATTGCAATATGGCTCTGTTCACGTGTTCCACCCACAAATCTAATGCCCTTTTCATCTTAATTAAGCATTTATCATGAACTGTGGCTGTAACTTTGGCAGACTGAGGTGAGACAGCATAACTAGTCCAAATTACCTTTTCCTTCTTTACAATTTTACAGATAGATTATTTTTACTGTAGATCATAGAAACATCAGCATATAATTGTTTTCTTTCCTCCTTAAGTTGAGAACTTTCACCTTTTCACTTAAAAGAAGCACATTATAGCTTCTCTTTGGCATATCCATATTGCCAGCATCACTACTCCTGTGCTTTGGGGCCATTATTAAGTAAAATTAGGGTTACTTGGACACAAGCACTGGGTGGTGTAGACAGTGTGGAGATGCCAGACAAATGGAGGATTCACGTCCCAGGAAGGCCAGGAGTGGGACAGTGTGGGTGAGATGTCATTGTGCTACTCGGAAGTGTGCAATTTAAAATGCATGAATTGTTTACTTTTGGACTTTTCCATTTAATATTTTCAGACCATGGTTGGCAATGGGTAACTGAAACCAAGGAAAGAAAAGTGTGGATAACCGAGACTACTGTATAGTCCACGGAACTCCAGCCCCATAAGCGTCTCTCACAAAGAAGTCTAACATGCCAGAAAAGGCTTCATTCTCTGTTTTCTTTAGGAAGGGTCACAGTGCATGTTACCATGTTCAAAGCTCTCAGAAGTTCTGTGAATAACTAAACTTCTAGTCTATTTAACTTATTATTTCCTAGTTTCACTGACCACAGAACCCTTTTTCCTATGGCCACCCCACTTTGAAGTGAGGCCTTTGATAAGCGTCACTTAATCATTCATTTACCCTCTTCCCTCTGGTCATACACAATATGCATCAATGTTCCAAGGGCTTCAATAAGTGCCAGACCCTTGGAAAAATGAGGAATCAATTAAGCACATGGCGAGTCACCCAGACAGCCCAGATGTCACAACCCTGCCGTGCTGAATTGCCCCAAAAGATCCTGAATGGCTACAGCTTCCTAGAAACTTGGAAGACTCCCTCTGCTATTTTTTTTCTCAATGGAGTGGGGTTTCTTCAATGTAAAATAGGGTAACTGGTAACAGCACTAACCTCATAGATGCTACATCATACGACTGTGGCGAGGTTATTTACTTGATATGAGTTCATGTATGCGAAGTGCTCAGAACAGTTCCTGGCACATAGTGAGCTTTATTGTGTTAGCAAGTCTTGCCCTGAATACGTTCCTTAATGACCTATGTTGCATTCATTATCATCAGGTTGCTATTATAATGTTATCATGATCTATTATTCTGGCTTTTTAAAAAAAATAAATGGTCAAGAGTGAAGCTTAAGTCTAAAATAGCAGGGCATGATTGCAGGATGCATGCAAACAGTCTCTGTGTCTGTCTGTCTCTCTTTCAGTCTGTCTCTGTCTCTGTCTCTGTGTCTGTCTCTATTTCTCTTTCTCTCACCTACGCACATACACGCCACTCTCTCCCTCTGAATTAATCAATTGCCATTGATCTGTCTCAGGCCTGGGGTCCCAGTTACAGCCCCCCTGAGGTATGGACTCAAAAGATGAGAGAAAGAAAGAAAAGAGGCTTTCTTTGGGGAAGAAAGATGGGAGCTAAGAGGGGAGTAAGGCCTGCAAATATCCAGGATCATTGTTCAGAATATGTCTCGACAGTTTTATAGAAACAACCCAGACAGCTCTGGGGCCGGCAATTTCCACCAAGGGAAAGAAGAAGCCCTTGATCTCCATAAATCTCCCCGAGAGTAAGGTGTGTGCATCGCACGCGATAGAAAAATACTGTCACACACGATAGAGGGAGAAAAGATGCAAGCCAATGGAAGTGACATTTTTCCCTGGAGGTAAATGTTAGCTGGGAGGGTGACTGTTCCCCGCCTCTAAGAAAAGGAAATAGCAGGTTTACATGTGCCTGCATCCCCCAGCGCTCCCCACCTCTTCAACTCCTCATTTCCGCCTGCAAGAAAGGAGAGGATTGCTTTCCTCTTTAGAAACAGCCATTGGAAACTAGGGAAATAGCAAATTGGGCATTATGCCCATCATTTCCAAGAAAATCAGCAGGCGCTGGAGAACCCAGTCTTTCCTCCCAGGCCTACTTTTCTGGAGGAATGGGGAAAGAAGGGAAGCCAAGGAGACCAGGCTGACATTTCCAAACAGAAAGGGCATGTCCCTGGCCCTTAGGGAGCGAGAACTGGGACGCCAAGGGGCCACGTTGGGAACCAGGTTGCACAGTGACACGACATTGCATGTGTGCACTCAGAAAGACGACACACTCACCACGCTGTAATGACTAATAAAAACAACCCGTCAGAAATATGTCTCCACTTTCCTTTGCGCCAGGTAATGAATTAAAGATGACAAGGGAAAAACAAACTTCAGTGGCGTGCCTTCTTTCTAAGCATTAGAAAAGCTTCAGTCAAATTGTGCTGCACTGGAAATTCCTCTTCCCAATCAAGCCTGCAACTCTAAAGTGGATCAGAACCTTCCAGGGCTCAGACCCAACTCACAAACATGTGCCCACCTGGGCCTGGGGTCTGGCAACCCTCGTCACCGTGCCCCAGACAGAACGCCAGGTTTGACCCCTTGTAAGCAGTCTGACAGCTCACGAATGGAAAAGGGACAGGTCTAATTTAAAATGTGTTACCGCCCCTGTGCCCAGGCTGGGAGGGACAGAGAACTGAAGGGTGGGCACTGGGCCAGGGAGGCTCGGGAAATGATATGCTGCCTGCCAGGTAGCAGGCTCGGCTCAGCGTTTCCCAGGAGCTTGTTGTGCTGGCTTTATTTACAGCCTGAATATTGGGTGTGGTGCCGAGTTCCCTTTGAAGATGGCTGTGTCCGTCAGATCAGTATCCGAGGTCTGGAACTGCAGATTGGGGGTGAGGATGAGCGCTCTCCACCAACCCCTAGATTTGCTGTGTCACTGAGGAGGGCTTGGAGCGGACCCTTATCCCCACTCAGCTTCTACCTCGGCCTCCAGCAGAGCTGTCTGGTTTGTATGCCCCACCCTGACTTGTTTGTCATGCAGTTGTGTTTGAAGAAATCGTCCTCCGTTGAGGATGCTGTTGGCCTGCTCACTGCTGGCTGCCTGCTGGGATTTCACAGTCCTTGCCCCTCCTCCAGCCAGACCTGTGACTTTGCTATGCCGGGCTCTGGTCACAGTGGCCACCTCTCCGGTCAGGGTGTATACCTTCAATTTGTTCTGGAAAAAGTCCCCATAGGCACCCTGGGCATGTGTGGGAAACCCAAGAATGCCAGGGTATGTCTCAGAGCTCAGCTCAGCCATTGCTCCCATTCAGGGAGACTTGTGGAGGCCCTTTCTTTGTGTCCAGTGGAAGATACCAAAGGCCTGTGTGAGGAAGGGGGTCACCCAGCCGGGACAAACCATTTCATCGCATCTTTCCTGAGGGGTTAGACCAGGCAGGACAAAGCCGTGGGTCTCGAGCACATTCCTTGTCCTGCGCATTCTAACCACAGAGGCCTCAGCAAAGACAGGGTCTGAGACTCTCTTCAATGAGCTCCTGCAGAGCTATTATCTGTGGGCTGACGGCTCCTGAGCACTTGGCCTGTGTAATTGTCTGAGGCAGTGCCTGGGGTGGGGCGTCTGCTACAGAACCCAAACTGGGAACTGTGCAGACCACGGCCTCCACAGGCTAAAGTGGCTCCCACCTGCTCCAAGACCAAAGCCACAGTTGGTATCATTCCTTATAAATAGCACACATCCAGTCCAAATGCTAAATTAAATTAGACTTAAAATAGTGACACAGTCGACACCTGGTTCACTGCAAATGGTAACTAATAGCACCCACGTTAGTAAATACTCATTTTCTATGGCAGGGCTCCTTCTTTCCAAAGTTCTCCCACTTGACCTGAACCCAAAGCTGTTTTTTGTGTGTGTGTGTGTGTGTGTGTGCATGCATGTGTGTATTGGTGTATACTAAGGGGCAGGTCTTTGTGGAGAACTTTGACAAATATTGGCAATGAGTCGCCCTCCCCATCTGATGCATGTGTGAATGAAAGTGCTCTCCACTGAAAAGATAGAGCAGCAGGAAAGCTAACTTCTAGTTCCTCCTTGCTTCCACCCCTCAGTCCAGTTTTCATTTGTCCCTTTCTCTTGGTGTTCACAGGGGCAACTTGCTCTAATTCCTGACCCCATCACTAGAACCAGAAGTCCCAACACTCAGGTCTTGATTTCAGCCCAACCTGCTTCAGCCTCAGACTGTGGCTGAAAACATTCTCCTCATTTTGCTGTGTGAGGACCCTCAGCCACAGCTGGATAGCAGAGTCTGAGTATGTGAGCATATGTGTTTGGGTTTTCAACAGACATTGATTAAGTATTGACTAAGTGTCAGACAGTGTATTCTGTGTTGGGGAGACAAGGGGCACAGCCATGGTTCCTGCTCTTGGGGCATCATCCTTCAACAGAAGAGGTGAAGGTCATCCTTTTTTATTTATTTGTTAGTTTATTCATTCACCCACTTACTTAAGATTTATTAAGGGCCTTTCATGTGCCAGAGACTATACAAAGACACTACAAATCCAAAATTAAATGACAGTCACTACCCCACTGAAGCTTGCGGCCCATGGGCAGCATTTGATAAACCAATGCACACAGCACAGAGTATGCCACATATCATAGCTGTAATATGCGTGGTTTACAGTAGAAAATCCGAGGAGGGTCATCTACAGCAGAGAGCTTCACTTCAGTTTTCTGGAGATGTTGCTGGAGTTGAGTTTTCAAGAGCACTGTGGTAGATTAAAGATGGTACCAGAGTGTTTGCTTTCCCCACTCACTGAAACCTAGCTTAACTCTTCTGCCCTTGAATCTAGGTTGGGCTTAGTAACCTTCTTAATTGGTAGAGAGTTCAAGAACTATTTTTCTAGAACTACCAAGGCTAGGTAAGAAGACTTGCAGCATCTACTTCCTGGCTCTTGGAATCAGGACTATCCTGGAGAGGTGACATGTAGGTGCTCCAGTTGGCAGTCCTGGCTGGGCTTGGCCTTCTAGTCATTCCAAGGCAACAGACATGTGAAAGAAGTTATTTTGGACCCTCCACACCAGCCCACCTGCTAGCTGAATAACACCAAGTGACCTCTGTTTATACCATGAGGAAAAGAAGAATCACCCAGCTGAGCCCTGCCAAAATTTCTGATCTATAAAATATAATAAGTGTTAGGCTTTGAGACCTGCATAGTGGTGGGACAGACATACCCCTGTGATCATATTCATGCTAATGGGTGCAAGGAGGGTATGTAGTTTGTCCTCCTGGTTACAGGGCATAGCATAGCCTGCTGCTGGTCTCTGAAATCATTTACTCCTAGAGGAAGTTTCTCTTTAGCAAGATAAATCATCAGCCTTCCTCCTCCCACCACACACACACTTCCTAAATTACTGCTCCCCACTCCACAATTAGGCATTCTTGTGTTCACTGATTCATTCTTTGATTTGTTTAAAATATAATGATTTGATATATATTCATTACACTAGCAACACTTATTCACCACTTATCAGGCCCTGGGTTCAACACTTACATGAATTATGTCACTTAATCCTCATGACATCCCATGAGGTAGTTAGTACAGCTAGTTCTGCTATGGTACTCATTTTAAAAATGAAGATTTGTTCAATACAATTGACATACTAGGAAACAATTTAATCATATGCAAATGTTGCATTTGCTTATGTATAATTTTGTCTACACACACACAACTAAGTGATCACAGAAGATTGCATCCAGCTGAACAGAACTGGATAGGGATACAAAAAATGCACATATGTACATGCCTTAAACATCTATCAGCTGCCTCAGTTACCATGTACCCAGAGGTGCATTCATTCACATCCAATGTTACCTCTTTGCATCCAATTTTAGATTATCCTCCTTCCAGTACTTCATAATAACTCACAAGCTGCAACTTACCTGATGCCACTTCCACAAGCAAACTTTAGCTCTTGTTCAAGGTAAAGCACCATACTTATTTGCGGTAGTTATGTATTTAACCAGTTAACATGTGTAAAACAGTATGCTATGGACTGAATGTCTGTGTCCCTGCTGCCGACCCATAAAGTCATATGTTGAAACTTTAATCCCAAATGTGATGTATTTGGAGATGGGCTTTTGGGAGTTAATGGGGGCTTAGGTCATGAGGGTGGAGCTGTTATGAGGCGATGAGCATTCTTATAAGAAAAGACACAAGAGAGCTTGCTTCTTCTCCCTGCTCTCTGCAATATGAGGACACAACAAGAAGATGGCTTTCTGCAAACCAGGAACCAAATTGGCTGCAACTTAATCTTGGACTTCCCAGCCTCCAGAACTGTGAGAAATAAATGTCTGTTGTTTAAGCCCCCCAGTCTATGGTATTTTTGTTATACCAGCTCAAACTGACTAAAACACAAATACTACCATTTTTATTAGGTGCCTGTTATTTTATGTGTCACTAACCAAGGTTTTGGGTTTCATACCCTAACCCCATTTAGGAATGCATGTGTTACACTGTAGCAAAACTGACTGTAAAGTTATCTTCATTTTATAGATGAGGAAATTGGGACTTAGAAAAGGCTGGCTCAAGCTGGTAAGTGTGGGATCAAAGCTCAAATTTCTGGTTGAGAAACTAGAATCAGCCTAGCCCTGCTTCCCCTCACCCCGGCTCTGAACTACTGCACTGTATTGCTTCTCAGCATGCAGGCAGAAAGATAAAGTGGAGAAGGAACGGGGCCCTGAGCCACGAGAAAACTGATTCCTCAGTTCCTGAGCATTGAAACTCTGGCTTCCCTCTTACAGTCTCAGCCTCCTTTCCTCCCCAGACCCCTCAACTGGGTGCCCTGGCCCCAATGCCCACCTGGTAGAACACTCCTCTTCTGTGCCTCTGCCCTCTTCCCTGAGGCTCTGAGGCACGACTGCCTCTTACTCTCCTCTGTCTTCTCAGTCATGGCTCAGGGCCTGGCACCTGACTGAGCCTCCTAAATGTTTCTGGAGCTAGACTAACCAGAACAGGAGGCTTGGCTGCAGTAAGTGGGCAGAAGGAGCCAAGCTCCTAGGGCTAGCATGGAGGGAGGCCTAGGAGGGCTACCAGTAGCCTCTACAATACACTCAACAGCAAAGCAAACTGATAAATTCCAGGCACAATTATAGCCCCCCTCCCTAATATCTGATTAGAAACCAAGGAAGACAGAGTGCCCTGCAGCCTGAAGAGGACATCTCTGAAGCTTCCCAAAGGTGGAAGTAAACTCCTTGCTCCTCCCTGCCCATTTGTTCTTCTCCACCTTCCTCTAGTGGGTTGATCAGAACTCTGTGTATGCTTCATGGCTGGCCCAACATTTCCTTGGTCTACAGACCCCACCTCCCCAATGAAAACGTGCAATCTCTCTGTCTCTTTAGATCTCAGTGCCCGGTGGCTTTCTATGCTCCTTCAGTCATTAATCATGTGCATCTTTGTGATGAGGCCTAAGACATTGTCTAGCGGTATTTCTTAACTTCTCATGCACATGCACATCCTAACTTGAGAACAAATTGTGTATTGAGGTCGAAGGCAAGTGAGCCATTGGATTCAGAACACATGTTCCCATAGAAGCTGTGTTGCAAATGGAGGGTGGGCTCCTCAGCAGCTCATGAAAGTCTATTTAGCCCGCCATGTGACTGAACCAGACCACAGCAGAATCTTGGGTGCTGGAGGGGTGGGAGGACATGCAGGAGGGAGGGAAAGGTGGAAAAGAGTTGCTTCTTCCTGAGCATAAGACCAGCAGTCAGGAAAAAACAAAGAAATATAGAGTTTAATGTATGTGCCTCCATATCTCTTTCTGGAACCTTCTCCCATCTGCTACTCCCTCTTTCCTCAATGTCACACTCCCCTGGCCTCATGCCTGCTCCTGAGACACTCAGCAAAGAGGTTAATAGCAGAAGATTTGGAGTCCAACAGATCTAGGTTTAGTCCCAGTCTCAGGTCCAGTGTATGCATACAGTGTAATTCTTAGATCTCAGACTAGGAATTAAACTTCAGCCTCAGTTTCCTCATCCAGTGATGGTTTTCTTACCTTGTAGGGGTGAGGTAAGTAATGAGATAACTTGCATGGACCTAAACGCTTCCCCCGGGGGCTGTCTTAAAAGTTCAGTGACTGCTATTATTAGGTGATGAAGGACTCTGCAAGGACATCTATAGGCATCCTCTAATGTGGAGTTATTCAAGCTTCTTAAATCTGTCAGTTTGGAAAAATTCTCAGGATCTAGTTCTTGAAATACTGCTTTTTCTCAATTTTCTCGTCTGTCCATCTAGAACTTCAATTTCACCTTTTCAGATAATTTTACTGTTTGCCGTGTGTTTGCTAAACTTTTCCCCTCTCCTGTGCTGCTTTATTCTGGGTATTTTTTCTTTATCTCTCTTCAAGTCACTATACCTGCCTACTACTGTATATTATCAATGTTTGAACAAATCTGTTGAATTCTTAATTTCTGTCATTGCACTTTTTAGTTCAAGGAGTTCCATTTGATTATTTCTTATAGATTCCAATTCTCTGGTGAAATTCTTTGTCTTTCTTATTATTTCCTTGAACTGCTGATCATAGTTATTTAAAATTTCATGTCAATTAACTCTAATATCTAGAGCACCTCAGTTCGTTTCTATTTTCTATTTTATCTCTTTCTACCTCCTCCTTTTCCCCATTTTTGCCATCCCCTGCCGTGTCTGGTAATTTGCAAATTGAATGTTGGACATTGTGCATGAAAAATCATACAGACTTTGAATGATGTTATCTTCCTTCAGAGAGGATTTAACAGGTTGGTAGAGTGTTGGCGGATCACCTTCATCTGATAAAAAGCTGGTTACTTATTTCAGTTTTTTTTTCTTACTCCTAGGGGTAGCTTTTCCAAGGTCTCAACTGACAGTTTGGGTGTTCACCAGGGACTTTCTTTCTTGGCACACCATGAACTCCAATTTTTTCTTTTTTTTCTGAGACACAGTCTCACTCTGTTGCCCAGGCTGGAGTGCAGTGGTGCAATCACTGCTCACTGCAGACTCAACCGTCCAAGCTCATGTGATCCTCCCACTTCAGCCTCCCAAGTAGCTGGGACCACAGGTACTTGCCATCACGCCTGGCTAATTTTTTAATATTTGTAGAGAGACAGGAGTCTTGCTATATTGCCCAAGCTGGTCTCAAACTTTTGGGCTCAAGTGATCCTCCCACCTCAACATCTCAAAGTGCTGGGATTATAGGTGTGAACCACTGTGCTCGGCTCTGAACTCTAGTTTTTGTCTCTTTAGGACCCTAAAACTATTGAAGTTAATGATTAGTTTTTTAATGTGGCTTATTTCTGCTTGGTTTATGTGATGGTTAATTCTGTCTGGGCTAAGGGATGCCTAGAAACCTGGTAAAACCTTAATTCTGAGTATGTACCTGAGTGTGTTTCCAGAAGAGACTGGCATCTGAATCAGTAAACTGAGTAAAGAATATGGCTCTCACCACTCTGTGTGTGTGTGGGGGGGGCACCATGCAATTTGTTGAGGGCTGGAAGAGAACAAAAGGCAAAGGAAGGGCCAATTTGCTGTCTATGTTTGGGTCGCGACATCCATCTTCTCCTACCCTCAGACATGAGTGCTCCTGGTTCTCAGGCCTTTGGACTTGGACCAGGACTTGTATTATGCCATTGTTTCCCAGCCCCATTCCCTTCCAGGTCTCAGTACTTCATATTCAGACTGAATGACATCACTGGCTTTCTTGGGTCTCGTTTGCAAACAGCAGGTTGTGGGACTTCTTAGTCTCCATAATCTCATGAGCCAATCCCTGTAATAAATCTCTCTCTCTCTCATACCTTCATGGCTGTTCTCGTCCACCTTCCTTTAATGGGTCTATCAGAACTCCATGTATGCTTCATGGTTGGCTCAACACTCCCTTGGCCTACAAGGTCCCACCCACTCCCCGCACTGGAATCTTGTAACCTCCCTCTGTCTCTTTAGAACTCAGTGCCCTGTGGCTTCCCATGCTCCTTCAGTAGTTAATCATGTGCATCTTTGTGATGAGGCTGAAGACATCATCTGGTACAATATTAGGCCTTCTCGCATTGCTATAAAGAAATACCTGAGACTGGGTAATTTATGAAGAAAAGAGGTTTAATTGGCTCACAGTTCTGCAGACTTTACAGGAAGCATGTTGCTTGGCTTCTGGGAGGCCTTGGGAAGCCTGCAATCATGACGGAAGGTGAAGGGGAAGCAGGCACGTCACATGGTGAAAGCAGAAGCAAATGAGAGACACACTTCTAAATAACCAGATCTCACGAGAACACATTCACTATCTCAAGGACAGTGCTAAGGGGATGGTGCTAAACCATTCATGAGAAATCCACCCCCATGTTTCAATCACCTCCCACCAGGCCCCATCTCCAACACTGGGGATTACAATTCAATGTGAGATTTGGGTGGGGAAAATATCCAAACTATATCAGGTGCTATTTCTTAACTTCTCATATACAGGAACATCCTAACAATAGTGTGTGTGTGTGTGTGTGTGTGTGTGTACATATATATGTATCAATAGGAAAAATAGTACCTGATATAGTTCAGATACTTACCCTGCCCAAATCTCATGTTGAAATGTAATCTCCAATGTTAGAGGTGGGGTCTGACAGGAGATGATTGGATCATGCCGGTAGATTTCTTATGAATGGTTTAGCACCATCCTCTTAATGCTATCCTTGCAATAGTGAATGAGTTCTCACAAGATCCGGTTGTTCAAAAGTTTGTATCAATAGGAGATCTGGTTGTTTAAAAGTTTGTATTGATAAGATATATATATATATCTCTCAATAGGAGATATATATATATTATGTATAGGATCAACAGGAGATGTATATCTACATATACACACATATATAGTTCTATTAATGAGAGATGTGATCCTATTTCTCTGGAGAACTCTCACACTAATACAATTTTTTACCCTGTAGGTGTGACAGATACTGTGATGCAATGCCTAGATCCCCCTTCAGGAATGAAGGAATTAGTCCCCCAACTGCTAGGGATTGTCAATTGGCAGCCCCTTTGAGGATTGCTTCTGCTGAAAAAAAAAAAAGTAAAAACAAAACTGCTTCCTGCAAGGTTCACACCCTTCCAGGGCAACCTGTATCCAGTGCTTTCTTGCCTTTGGGGTAAAAGAACCTGCTGCTGTGCAGCAACTTGGGACAATTCTAGATTGGGACAACAACCCTGGAGCTAGAAGGGTTGCTATAGCTCCAGAACTCCCTGTGGGGTTGGCAGAGGCTGAGGCTGCAACAAATTCTGCTTTCTTCCTCTCCCTTCTATAGAGGGTGATCCTAAAAGTACCTCCTAATAAACATTGTGCTCATTAATCTCTGTCTCAAGGAACACAGTCTGTGACATTAGGCCTGCACATGCACAACTTGGAAGTCAGCAATGCCTTGAGGGTATATTGGGTGCCAAATAGTAGGCACATTTGAATGCATTTCCTGTGTCTTTGGGA
The DNA here is from genome assembly GCF_000001405.40 of Homo sapiens. Lineage (NCBI taxonomy): Eukaryota > Metazoa > Chordata > Mammalia > Primates > Hominidae > Homo > Homo sapiens. The sequence goes on along the minus strand of NC_000010.11, from coordinate 31,669,575 downwards.
TCTTGGCTTCTTTGGGGCATTGGCTGCCTTGGTTGCTATCCAATGCCTTCCAACAGTTGGCCTTTGTGTTTTATCCAGCTTTTATAGTTGTTCTCAGTGGGAGATTAATCTGATATCATCCGCTCCATCATAGCTGGAAACAGATCATGCTGACTGTTTTAATTCTCAGAAGCCAGAAGGAGCAATGATGGAAACTGTTGCTGGGAACCTAATTCTGTTCAACAAAGAACTGTTGATTGGAGATGCAGAAATGATGAAAACCTGAGGAGAAAATGACCTTGTTTTCTTAGACTCTGCAACACCCAGGAAGGAGAATACAGAGCACAGTTACATATATGTCACGGACTTTAGAAATACAGACTTCAAACTTCCCAAGGAAAAGAGATAGAATCCAGGGGCCAGATAAATAAAAAAGAAATATCAAAAGCCATCTGAAAGTAAAAGTGAAAATTTGACACTATAATCGCAAAAAAAGCCAAAGAAAGAAGGAGAAGGAAATCTGGAAAACAGATAGACTCATATGCTGGTACACTTTTTGGAACGTAGAGTATAAATAATAAACAAGTAGTAATGATACACAGATGAGTTAATATGTTGGATAGCAGTAAAAGAGCAGAAAGATCTAAAGAAGATACTAATGGGCTGGGTGAGTGAAATCTAACAATATGAGATTGAGTAGGGGCAATGGATTTACTCAGGTCCTAAGAGCCTAAATTTACAAGGACAAGGTGAAAATCAGGTTTAATAAGTGTTCATGTGAAAAGCAAAGAAACAAACAAAGCACCTTAAGCACTTTAGTTTACTTTAAGTTGGTATGAATCACTGCTATGAACTTATCATCTAAAATAAAATTTTAAATTGCATTAACAGAAGTACAAAGTCTCAAGTGAGAAAGTCCTATAATTACTCTGTGTGGGTAGTCTGACCTCAGACCTTGACACAGTCTGAATGTGTCCCTCCAAAATTCATATTGAAATCTAATTCCCATTGTGGTGGTATTAGTAGGTGGGGCTTTTTGGGAAGTGCTGTTACAAAAGAGGTTGTAGGGAGCTGCCCTGTCCCTTCTTCCATGTGAGGTAACAGGAAGAAGTGTACCATCTATGAAGCAGACAGAACCCTTCACAGTCATCAGATCTGCTGGTGCCTTAATCTTGAACTTCCCAGGCTCCAGAACTATAGGAAACAAACTTCTGTTTATAAATTACCCATCCTAATGTATTTTGTAATAGCAGCCCAAATGAACTAAGACAGATGCTAATTACCACAATTTCAGCAAGATATTAACCAACCATGATGTGTTCAGAGCAGGGCAACCAGGATGTTGAAGGAAATGGGTCATATGAGTGACTTCGGAAGAAATGGAATGAGAAGAAGTAGGTCCTCTGTAGGAATCATCTTCACGTATGCATGTGGCTATCAGGTTGAAGGGGCTTTTGATTTTTTTCCTTCATGAAACAAGGGACTGACTGTGGAGAGACAGATTTAGATTCAAATACATGAAGAAATGTTAAACCATTAGAACTGTTGGAAAATGAAATGGGCTTCCACTAAAGCTGGTGTTGTCTCCCTCCGTTGTGCATTCATGAGAGGCTGGAGGCTGAGGGTCCCCTAGCTGGTTGAAGGGTAGAGGAGGCAAGGGAGTGTTTTGGTTGGCCAATAATGTTAAAAAAGTTTGGCCGGGTATGATGGTTCACTCCTGTAATCCTAGCACTTTGGGAGGCAGAGGCAGGCAGATCACCTGAGGTCAGGAGTTTGAGACCAGCCTTGCCAATATGGCGAAACACCATTTCTACTAAAAATACAAAAATTAGCCAGGCATGGTGGCATGTACTTGTAATCCCTGCTACTCAGGAGGCTGAGGCATGAGAATAGCTTGAAGCTGGGAGGCGGAGATTGCAGTGAACCAAGATCACGCCACTGCAGTCCAGCCTGGGTGACAGAATAAGATTCTGTCTCAAAAAAAAAAAAAACAAAAAACAAAAAGAAGTTTGAGTCAGCATTAAAGTTTGAGAGATTTTACATAAAATAAATTTCTAGCTTCCACTGAAAAAAATAAGATATATGACATTACTTAGCTCTCTTTTCTGCAAATAAACCAACGGCAGCTAGTTTGCTTATAGCCTGTCTTAGTTCATTTGTGTTGCTGTAAAGTAATACCTGAGGCTGGGCAATTCATAGACAAAAGAGGATTATTTGGCTCATGGTTCTGCAGGCTGCACAAAAGCATGGTGCCAGCATCTGCTTCTGGTGAGGGCCTGATGAAGCTTCCACTCATGCAGAAGACAAAGGGGAGCAAACATCAAATGGTGTGAGAGAAGGAAAGAGACAGAGGTGGGAGCTGCCAGGTTCTTTTTAACAATCAGATCTCATGGGAAGGAGTAGATAATAAACTCACTCATTACCGTGAGGACAGCACCAAGCCATTCAAGAGGGATCTGCACCCAGGATACAATCACCTCCCACCAGGCCCCACCTCTGACATTAGGCACCAAATTTCAACATGAGATTTGGAGGGGACAAAATATCCAAACTATATCATCCCCTTTATACCAGGCTGTGTTTTCCAGTTTTCCAAAGTCTTTCCCACTCACACAACGCATGCTCTTGACGGACCAATTCAACCTTTTCATATCACCTGCCTGAGGCTGTAGGTACTGGAGTGTACAATCCCCATTATAGAGGAGACTTAACTACTAAATGAGGGCAGGAAAATCCCACAGTTTTACCACCCTTTGCCCTGCTTTCTGATGGGAACTGCCCACCCAGAACCCCTGCTGCCAGAAAGACTGTTTTGAGACAGGTTCCCCGATTGCATACTGAGCAGTTTAGGTGGACACCTGATCACAGGGCAGTCAATTCACAGGCTGATAGTGACATGTAATGGGGCCGAGCATGGAAAAGTGAGCTGAACCAATCACATTTTCTTTCTCGGCTTTAAAAACGAAGAAAGTGTGAACCAGCAAGCTTGCAATGGTTTTGATGCTGAGGGCCCACAGAAGTCATGATGGGCCAGGAACAAGTTGAAATTAGGATGCATCTAAAACAAAGAGTTTATTTCATGAGAGAGGGGAGGGAGCACGTGAACAGAGAGAGGCAGAGATATCTTGATAGAGAAACCGTGTGGCCTGAAAGAGACACATCAAGCCACGGGTCCCCAGAGCTGTCTGGGTTCCTCATGGTTTTTCAGCTTCAGACACAGGCGCAAGTATATTCTTGCAAGAAACTCCAATTTCTTGAGCTAACTTGAGTGTTCTCTTGTCCTTGCACTCAAGAAAAGCTAACCAAAGCTCCCTTAAGGCCTCTGCTAACTTGAGAGTCTGTGATTCTACAAATTTGAATCTAAGGGTTTACCTCCAGGATATGAACTGTGAAAGGAAAATATCTTGGGCCCCTAAAATCACTAAGCTAAAGGGAGAACTCAAGCTGGGAACTGCTTAGGGCAAACCTGCCTCCCATTCTATTCAAAGTCATCCCTCTGCTCACTGAGATAAATGCATATCTGATGGCCTCCTTTGGAAAGGCTAATCAGAAACTCAAAAGAATGCAACTGTTTGTCTCTCACCTACCTGTGGCCTGGAAGCCCCTCCCTGCTTTGAGTTGTCCCATCTTTCCAGACCAAACCAGTGTTCATTTTACATATGTTGATTGATGTCACCTGTCTCTCTAAAATGTATAAAAACAAGCTGTGCTCTGACCACCTTGGGCACATGTTGTCAGGACCTTGTGAGGCTGTGTCACAGGCGTGCGTCCTCAACCTTGGCAAAATAAACTTTCTAAATTAACTGAGACCTGTCTCAAGTTTTCGGGGTTCACAGACTGCTCCCTGACACCCAGGTAAGCCAAGCACACTGTGGACAGATAACCCATGCAGTAGGGATCCATCTCTAAGACTACTTTCCCAAATCCTTTTTCTTCTGCAACAAAGCCATGCGTAAAATTTTAGAGGTATAAGCATGCAAACACCTTAAGATCTAATTTTATCACATTATCATATTCCCAACAGGAAAAAGAAGTGTGTAGGTAAACCTATGTGCTTTCTTATATGCATCTGTCAACCCTAATCAGACACCCTCTTCCTTCAATAGAAAAAATGATTCAGATGTTGTCATCAGACTTGTGAACCTGAAGAATATTTAACTTGTTGATTAAGTACTTAACATTACAAATGAATGCAAAACTGTCTATCAGTTCTGGTGTGATTACTTTGGAAAGGTTGTAAGTTTTTAGGTGGCTGTGATAATGAATGACCTTTGTGATATTAAAGCCTTCCTTGTTGCGTCAGCTTTTTGGAGGAGTTGCTAGGCGGGCCCCAAGAAGAAGAAAAGAAAGATGCCTATTAGAACTCATCATAAAGTCACTGATTTGTTTTTTTGTAAGCAACTGCTGTTGAAATTAGATGACAAAGAACAGGCTGTAGCTGCCCCTGTGAAGGGAGTTGTGGATGTGTAAAGAAATTTGTTATTGGGGAAAGCTTCCAACTATGATGGCACCTCCCTGGCACCGGCCACAGGATCTGCAACCTGTCTCCGAACAGTCACATACACTGGGGGGACACACAGACACAAAACAGCTGGGCGGTTGACTGACCTTTCCACTTTGCAGCCCAGTATTTTGGCGTCATGGAGATTAAGACTTGACTGATCTCACTGGAAAATTGTCTAAGCATTTGCTACACTCTGCTTTTGTAGACACCAGTCCCATTCCCAGGGGAAAAAAATCTACACCTGCTGAATCTTTTCAAAACCGGTAGATACAGGACATTTAGGACAAATTAGTGAAACATGCCAATATTTGCCCCTGCCCTGCTTCTGCTAGAATTTCAAAGATTTTGTTTGTCAGAAAAAGATATCTTTGTAATTTCTAGTAATAAAGACAAATTAACAACAACAAAAAAACTGCCCAAAAGAGTGAGAATAAGTTTTCTTGTTCTCTTTTCACATTTCTTTTTCGCTTTCACACAGTAAAATACAGCAAAATTCACTCCTTATGGCGTATGGGTTTTGACAAATGCAGAACATTTTTCTTTCTTTTTTTTTTTTTTCTGTTGCCCAGATTGGAGTGCAGTGGTGTGATCTCAGCTCACTGCAACCTCCGCCTCCCGGGCTCAAGTGATTCTCCTGCCTCAGCCTCCCAAGTAGCTGGGGTTACAGGCATGCGTCACCACACCCAGCTATTTTTAGTATTTTTAGTAGAGATAGGGTTTCGCCATTTTGGCCAGACTGGTCTTGAACTCCTGACCTCAGGTGATCCTCCCGCCTTGGCCTCCCAAAGTGCTGGGATTACAGACGTGAGCCACAGCGCCTGGGCCGCATAGCATTGTATTTCTATCACCACGATCATGCTCGGAAGAGTTCTATCATTTCTCAAATTCCACAATGCCGCCTGTTTGTGGTCAGACCTTCCATCCTTCCCCAGCCAGCAACCACTGATCTGTCCTCCATCTGTACAGTTTTGTCTTTTCCAGAATGTTAAATAAATGGAATCATTTTGTATGTAGACTTTTAGTTTATTAATTGTTAATTTATTAACTTATTTTTGCCAAACTTCCCACTGATATCATGTTACATGCAGAGAGAAGAATACCAGAAGAAATATTTGGGGCAGGGGGTATCTTAAAAGACAAGAAGGAGGAAGTGGGGAAGTTGCTGTGCTCAACTGCAAAATTATTTTCATTTGTGCAGAGAAGTTATCTCAGAGGTAGTCAGAACCAATGAAAAAGATTTATGCATTCAAACTTAGACTTTCTGTAATACTCTAAGGAAGAATTGATGAGCTTAGTCTTTGATTATCTTTAACCAGCCTTGGGATCTGACCCAGGGCTAGGTAATTAACAAGAGTAATTAGCTCCTGTTGCGGTTGTGGTGTATGCTTGTGGAGAAAAGTGCGCATTAACTCTGTGTGCCCCACAGCAGCCTCCCATATTATGTTCCCCATACCCCTGCTTTCCCTCCTTAGAATAATTGCCTCATGAACAATGGCTCGTGTCAGCTTCATCCTGCTTACTAGGGGAACATGATTTGCCACTACAAGTAAACCTGGTGGCAGGCAGGGCAGCTGGCTAGACTCATATTTAGGTCTTGAGATTGATATTAAGTTTAAAAAATTAAGTTAAAAAGTTAAGTTAGATTTGCTCTACTAGAGATTCTTGGAAGGCCCACTCTAAGTCAGGCTCCTGCTGGATCCATCCACACACTTATTTTTCAGATGAGGAAGGCTGTGACCCAAGGACTTCTATCCAGCCTCTCTGGCCCCACACTTTCCCCAATCTTTGCAGGCTCTGAACTGCCGCCTCCCTCAGGAGCCTTGATAGATCCTGAAAATGGCGGCCGTGGCCAGCTTCTATAAAGAGGAGATGGGTCACATACTCTGTGCAGGCTATGTGCTATGTTCTGTCAAAGTTAATCTGCCCGGGAAAACTCCTGAGAGCCTCCCAGTCACCCTACGAGGGACACAAAGGGTAGGGAAGCCAAGTCCCAAGAGCTCTTTGGGGCCTGTTTAAAATGGCCACTCCCCCAGCCTCTTCGTGGGCATCTGCAGCTGCTGTTTGCAAGGAAGTTTAGGGAAGATGGCTGAGCTCTTCACCGACCGTCCTAACAAATAAGCCATTGGCCTCAACTCAGACCCTTTAGAAGAGACCTCAGTGCCTCATAACTTGGAGCAGTGAGTGGACGCCCACCTGTGCCACTTGAAACGGGCTCTGTTGCAGCCGCAACAGGGTCTGAAACCCACATTGGTAGCGTCAAATGCAAGCAGTTATTTCATGAAGACTCCGTGTGTGTGTGTGTGTGTGTGTGTGTGTGTAGCACACCAGTGAAAAGTGGGAGGTAGAGAAGGTACAAGAAAAGGGAAAGACAGTCTAGGCTGTTGCTTGGAAGAGCTTGCTGGGAAACAAACCATCATCATCTCAAACAGCTTGGTGACATGGGTCCTGAAGATGTACACATCCCCACAGTCATATTCTTGTCGGAGTGGTGGAAATAACCTGGCAGGAGACTTTTTAAAAACCCAGGCTCTGGAGTCAGGGAAATATGCACTTGGTTTCCAGCTTTCACTTTCTGTCTTCGTGACCTACGGCAAGTTCCTTCACTTCTGCAGGCCCCTGTTTCCCTATCTGTTAAAATGGAGGATATTCTACCCTCAGAGGGTTGTTATGATAAATCAGATAATGCAGCTGAAGCAAATCAACTGAAGACTATTTGGCTCCAAAATCCACACGCCTAGGCACTGGGCATTACTTGTGTATGTGCAATGATCGTGTGTGAGCATGTACTTCTATTGCAGTGAGCTCAGGGGTGGGTGGATCATGAGGTCAGGAGTTCAAGACCAGCCTGGCCAACATGGTGAAACCCTGTCTCTACTAAAGATAAGAAAAATTAGCCAGGCATGGTGGTGCGCACCTGTATTCCCAGCTACTCAGGAGGCTGAGGCAGGAGAATTGTTTGAACCTGGGAGGCAGAGTTTGCATTGAACTGAGATGGTGCCATTGCACTCCAGCCTGGGCGACAGGGAGAGACTCCATCTAAGTAAATAAATAAAAATAAGAAATCCATTTAAGGTTAACTTTTTCGGTTTTGACAGTCTTACAATAGAGCTAATAGGCTGAATGGGGGCAGGTAAGGCCATTTAAGAACTGCTAATAAGTGCTAGCATCTTGGCTTTGCTGGGGATTCTATCTACTGGGGATGAAAGGTGATGTCTTGGAGTATTGTGATTAAGTGATTTCCACCAAACCTCAGGCAGCAAGTAGTGCACATAGAGTTATCCGGACTGAGTATAAAAGCCTGGTTATGGAGGGGTTATGTGTTCTGGTACCAGCCAGCTATTATCTAGTGGGTTTATTTATGGTTAAGTGAGAATAAGAACTGGAGAACCATCCTTTATGTGGTTGATATGAGCTTCTCAGACACTGGGCAACTCCTAGCCCTCTTGTACATTGCAATAAAGTGATATAGCAACAAACAACATACATGCCTACCCCCATTTTCCCCCTACCCTCCAAAACTCCTACAACTGTGGGCTTTCAATATTTGTTTACAGGAAATCTGAGAGATGCTCATTTCAAAAATAGCTTTAAAAAATTATCCAAGTAGGCCAGGCATGGTGGCTCACACCTGTAATCCCAGCACTTTGAGAGGCCAAGGTGGGCAGATCACCTGAGGTCAGGAGTTCGAGACCAGCCTGGCCAACATGGTGAAACCCCGTCTCTACTAAAAATACAAAAATTAGCCAGGTGTGGTGGCACACTCCTGCGGTCCCAGTTACTTAGGAGGCTGAGGCAGGAGAATTGCTTGAACCTGGGAGGTTGCAGTGAGCAGAGATCAAGCCACTGCACTCCAGCCTGGGCCACAGAGCAAGACTCCGTCTCAAGATAATAATAATAATAATAAAAATTAAATAAAAAAGAGAAAATGTGGTGAAGCAAAGAAAAGGAAATAAAATAGTCACCTACAAGCCCCCTCCTGCTGTCCTGCAAGATAACTGTTGTTAACATTTTGGTGTGTATCACTTCAGTATCTTTTAAATGTATGTACACACATACACACACAGACTATATGTGTATAGACGTATGCATATGTTTATTTATAGAAATGGGATTGCACTGCACAGTTATATAACCTGAATTTTTCACATACTATCTCATGAACATTTTCTAAGTTATTAAATCTTTGAGGCACTGTGTCTTTTTATAAAGGAACACTTGCTTCCACATTAGACATTTACAGCGCCTCAGCAGTGTGGCCCTCCAAAGAGGTCTGGCCCCTGTGTCTACCCCTTGGGTATATTGTGATTTCAGGAAGCTTGAATTGGCTACTGGAGCTCCACATGTAAGAAATCAGCTTTCAAAGGCACTAAATAGGAACCAGAGTTATTGTGGCTTCTTCATAAAAGTGAACTGGAATAACAAATGCTGTCTGACATCTCAACCAGCAGGGACGCTTTGCTGTGTGTGTACATTTGCAATCCAAATAAGGCATAAAAACATGCAAAGAGAACGGACAGCAGAGCCCGGGGGGCCTGGAAATGCTTCCTTGTCACTTCTTTGGCAAGGAGAATGATCTTCCACCATCATCTTACCTCCATCCTACCATAAACCTGCCACGGAGTTCCCTTAGAGGGCTGATAGCAACCAGACCTCCAGCCTGCGGATAAAAGACTTGTGCCCTCGTTTCACCAGCAACCTCGAGATCCCTCTGTTTTGAAGTGTATTCATGCTGGCTCAGATCAGTGAGCCTTGGTGTGCTGATTCAGACACAAACTAATCCTTGAGGCTTCAGTAAAAAGGGTTTTGATGGCATTTCAAAATAATGTTAATGGAATCAACCACAATTTATTAACCAAGGCTAGAGATTTCAAAAGTTGTTACTGATAAATAAGGCTGGATGACTTCTGAGATGTGGGGTGTCTGTCTGGTTCCTGGTGGGGGTTCCTCTACCTCTTGGTCCATCGCTTAACCCCAAACAGGGAATTCTTGTGCTCTGGCACCATCTCATTGTATGGCAGGACTCCTGGTGGCAGGTGAGTCTTAGGCTTAAAGGGGGAGAGTATATTTGGAAGCTTCGTGTACCCAAACCACAGGAAGGACAGTGGTGCAAGTGGGCCCCTGGTGGGCCTTGGGAACCATGGGGTGCTGCCACTCCCTCTCTTTCATCTGCTGCCTTCTGAAGGCCAGTTTCATTCCCTCCACAAGAGCATTTCTGGAATGTCTGTCAACGAGGGTTGCTGGAGGCATGCTGACCGGCCTGGCTGGATTCCCATGCCATTGTCGTTAGGTACCTTGATGGTGGCCCCTCCACTGCCTCATGGATGGAATGCAGGAGAGGTCCTTCAGCAGCCAGAGAGTGCATTTCTCAGAAGTGGGTACATAAAAACATAGATATACTCAACCCTTCCCATCCATTTTCATTTCTCAGTCCTTTCAGCCATCTTCATGCTGGGCTCTTCTCCGTCCCCCTCATCCTCTGAACATCTCTGCTCACTTGCTTTTATTCATGCTGGTTCCCAGGCATATGCTCCTTCTTCTCTGTTTATCTAAATCTGGCTCATTATCCAAGGGCCAAACCTCATCAGGGTTCTCCCCACTGCTCTAGCCTCCATTTGAAACTCGTTTCCCCACATCTGCGATTGTAGAACTGCCTTGTATTTTCTTCCGTCATGTGTCCTGAGTTAAGTCTTGTTTCTACATGCTTCCTTTCTCCCCTTCCTGGGAGGAGAGTTGATGCTAACCCATTTCAGTCTGGCTTCTACTTCTTTCTCTTAACCAAAATGCTTTTGGTAGACTCACTCATAGCATCCACACTACCCCATGGCCATTTCTTAGTTTTTATCTTACTAGACCTTCAGAGGTATTCGATACCACTGACCACTTTTACATCCTTAAACCCTCTCTTCTCTTGTATTTTGTGACACCAAGCTTTCCTTGTTTCTTCCCACCTTAGATACTCCTGCTCCGCCTTTTTTAAAAAAAAATAGATTCCTGGTCTTCTTTCTACCTGACCAGTCCGCCTGTCCTTTTTCTGTCTATAGTCTCTCCCTGGTTAATCTTCACCATTTCCATGGTTTTATATGTCAGTTAAATGCCATCAACTCCCACACTTATAACTTTTTCCAGCTCTTCTGAACTCCATGCATACATCTTACTGTCCCTCTGGCATCTCTACATGTATGTCTCATAGACATCTCTGAGTTAACATGCCCAAAAATGAACTAATTTTCCTTAGAAATGGAGTTCTTTCCTCCAGCCTTCCCCAAATGGCAGCTCTATATTCCCCATTGCTTTTGGCAGATCAACCCTGACAGTTTCTTCTCCCTCACTACTCAAGTTCCATTGATTACAGCTATAAAACATCTCATAGACATCGATTCCTCTCCGTCTCCACTGTCACCTCCTTATTCCACACTACCGTGTCCTCCACCTAGCCCAAACCCTAACGCCTTTCTCTTTTTCCACACCCACCCTTCTCCAACCCCTTTCCTGTTGGGCAGCCAGGGATCTTAGCATATCATCCCTCAGCTCCACACTCTAATGGTGGGTTATTGCACTTAGAAGAAAATCCAAATCCAAACTCTGTCCTACTCAGACATGATTGGACTCCTGACTCTTTCTCCAGCTGGCACTTCCAGACACACTGACAATCTTCATGCTCCTTAAGCCTGTCACACCCCTTCTGTCCACCCACAGTTCCTCTGTCTGGAACTTTCTTCTCCTCACTCTTTGCCTGTCTCCTTCAGGTTCCAGCTTCGGTCACTCCTAAGAGAGCCCTTCTCTAACTTCCCCAAACTAAGTTGAGATTATGTGTGATACTCGATCACAGCAATTGTACTTTTCTACATAAAATGTATTATAATTTTTATTTTTAATTTTTTAGTATTTTATAATTTTTTATATTACTTGTGTGATTATTTGTGTCCCACTAAACTGTCTGCTCCACAAGGACAGGTACTGTATCTGGTACTTCCCTGTCTCCCTAGGAACATGGTGTGTGCTCAGTAAAAAATTATTGACTGAGGGAATGAATGCATAAACTAGATTTTAATATCCCCAAAGGACAGAGTGATTTTTTATTCTTTTCACCCTCAGCCAGGAGCTTAATAAATACTTGTTGACCTCAATACTGTATTGTGAAAAAATAAAAATAACAACAAGAAAGAGAATTACAGCATTATAAATCAACGTGGCAGAATGAAAGTTATGTACTCTAATATAATAAGTCTCAGCAAATAAGGGACAGAATTACACCCAGAGGACCCCTGCATTTGTGAAATAGCAATGTGCTTAATAATGCAAGTTTATTATATTTTGAAGCAACAGATGAATTGGACACACACATCTGGATATTTGGCACCATGTAGACAAAAACAACTGGATTATGGGCCAAATATTTCAATTTAACTAATGTGTTTTGGAGCTGTATAAACAGTCACAGATTACTCTGAAATTATACTTCTTGGGATGTGGCCACATGAATAAGTGCAGAAGGGGATTTCTAGTTCCAGAAAGATAATGGACTAAGAAACTTGAAATCATTCCTGCCACAGATATGCGGAAATTCGGGATACATGTAACCCTTTAAAAATTGCATAGCAGAGATTCTGAGCCTTGGAAATGAGGAGGAGTTGAAAAATCAGAGCAATATGTCTGTGACTTGACCTGGGAATTTATTTTTGTTCCCAATAAACCTAGGGGCTTGGGTTTTGACACCCATATAAGGACAGGAGATAAAGTCTTGTAATCCTGAGAAGTATAAGTCAGGGACTTTGGAAGAGTTGAACCCCAGTGGGAAGAGAAATTGGAAGAAATCTGTCTATTGGCACAGGAAGAAGACAAGGAAGCTGTCCCAGCTTGAGGTTAGGAAAACAATCTCTTTAGAGAAAATTAAGCCCTGGGCTTGCCCTTAGGTTTTGGGTCCAAAATATGCCTTTAATCCATTCAGAAAGCATTCAAATATCTACATGGCTCAGGAAACGTGTAGCAGAGAAATAAACATAATCTGTTCCAAAGTGGATGTCCCTGGAATGCCTGAAATCCCAAATCACCCTGAAGTGACATTCTAACAACATAGGCTCACTGTATTTTCTCAGAAAATAACCCCCATTAAAGATGACCTCATGATTTTTAAAAAAAGAAATATGTAATGGAATAATTCACTGTGATGAAGAATCAGCAGACACAACAACAGTTAAGGTTCAAGTCCCCTGAACTTGAGGTAACAGAATGACCATCAGAGAGGGGAAAAGTATGCTAAGAATGCCTAAAAATATAATAGAAGGAGTCAAATACTGGAGGAAAGATCAAGACACTAAAAATAAAGAAAGGAAGGTAGAAAAACTAGCTAAATAGACCTTATAGATATGACAAATACACTCAGTGAATGAAAAACTCAATGGATAGGTTCTGCAGCCCCTTAGCATAATTAAAGAGACAATCACTGAACTGAAGATTAGAGGATTTTACCCAGAATCCAGCATAGAGAGACCAGATGGAAACTGTGAGACAGAGTTTAAGGTGAGGAAAAATCCAAGATTTTACAAATCTAACAAGATTTCCAGAAGGAGATGATAGAGAAAGGATTAGAGAAGATATTTGAAGGAAAATGGGTGATAACTCTGAGCTGATTAAAGACATGAACCTTCAAATGAAAGAATCCCAGGGCATCTCAAGCTGGATGAGTATTAAAAAAAGACGCCTAGAGAATTCCTAGTGAAACTATTAAACATTAAATAAAAAGAGAAATTCTGCAAAGGAAAGAGGGAAAAGATATCATACACAAAATAGCAAAGATTAGAATGACAGCAAATTTGTTAACACCAACATTGAAGATCAGAGGACAATATAATATCTTCTTAGAGTTACACTATTAATCAAGAGTGAGGGAAAAAAACAAAGGGAGTTTTAGTTAACAAATACTTGGAGAATTTGCTGTTCACAGACCTTCATTTAAAGAATTAAAAAAAAATGTATCTAAGAAGGAAACAATTCAGATGAAAGGAAATAGGATACAAGAAGCAAAGTTGACAAAATAAATCTGGAAACTGAGATTTGATTGAAGTTGCCTTGCATTCATAGAGAAATTCAGGGAAAATTGACATTTAAACAACATTGAGTCTTCTGATCCATGAACATGTTATATCTCTCAATGTATTAGGTCATCTCTAATTTGGCAATGTCTGGCATTTTTGGTGCACAAGTCTTGCAAATATTTTGTTAAATGTATCCCTAAGTACTTCATACATTTTATTCCATTATCAATGATATTGTTATTAAATTTCCATTTCCAACTGTTAGTTCCTATATTTTGTATGTTGGCTTTCAATTCTGACACTTTGCTAAAATTATTTCTAGCAACTTTTTAGTAGATTCTTTAGTTTTTTCTCCATAGATGATCATATTGTCTATTTTATTATTTTTTATTGTTTAATTGTTTGGCTATGTATTCCTACATAATATTGCACAGAAGTAGTAAAAGTGAACATTCTTGTCTTGTTACCAGTCTTAGAGGTAAAGCATTCAGTGTTTCATAATTAAATGTGATATTAGTTGCAGATTTTTATAGATCCCTTTTATCAGGTGATGAAGTTTGTGCAAAATGAGTATTGTTTCTTCCTTAAAAATGCGGTAGCATTCACCAGTGAAGTCCTCTGAGTTGAAGTTTTCTTTGTGAGAAAGTAACTACAAATTCATTTAAAAACAAATGAATATGAAGGCTATTCTAGTGATCTTTGCTTTTCAATGAGGTTTTGCAATTTGTGTATTTCAAGGAATTTGTCTATTTCATCTAAGTTGTCTAATACACTGGCACAAATTGGTTTTAATATTCTTTTATTATCCTATTAATACTGCTGGATCTGAAGTGATGATTCCTCATTCATTAATAACATTGGTAATGTGTCCTTTTTTTTTAAATCAGGTTAGCAAAATGCTTACCAATTTTATCAATCTTTTCAAATAACAAACTTTTGGCTGCATTGAGTTTCTTTGTTTTTTTTTTTTGAGACGGAGTCTCACTCTGTCACCCAGGCTGGAGTGCAATGGCGCGATCTCGGCTCACTGCAACCTCTGCCTCCTGGGTTCAAGTGATTCTCCTGCCTCAGCCTCCCAAGCAGCTGGGATTACAGGTGCCCGCCACCACGCCTAGCTAATTTTTGTATTTTTAGTAGAGACGGGGTTTCACCACGTTAGCCAGGCTGGTCTCGAACTGTTGACCTCGTGATCCACCTGCCTCAGCCTCCCAAAGTGCTGGGATTACAGGCGTGAGTCACCATGCCCAGCCTTGAGTTTATTCTTAAATTTCCTTTTTATTTCAATCTTACTATTTCCTAACTTTTACTTATTTTAGATTTAATTTGTTCTTGTTTTTGCATTCTTAAGGTGAATGCCTAGTTAATTGATTTGAGATCTTTCTTCTTCTTAATATAATCATTCAATACTATAAACTTTCCTCTAAGCCCTTCTTTGGCCATATCCCACAGATTTTGCTATGTTGTGCTTTGGTTTACATTTAGGTCAAATATTTTTTCTTTGACCTAAAGAAGTGTACTCTTTAAATTCTGAATATCTGGGCATTTTACAGATATGTTTTTGTTATTGATTTCTAGTTGTGGAGAATTACATTATGCTCAGATAATGATAATGTATTTTGTATAATTTTAATCCTTCTAAATGTATTGGGATTTGTTTTATGGCCCAGAATTAGCTTTATCTTCATGAATAATCTATGTGCCTTTTAAATGAATGTGTAATCCTATTGTTGGGTGACTGTTCTCTAAATGTTGATTAATCAAATTGATTGATACTGTTGTCAAGTATTCTAGATCATTACTAACTTTTATTTGTTCCAATAATTACTGAGAAAGGAGTGTTGAAATTTCCAATTAATAGTTGTGAAATTGTTTATTTTCCCTTTCACTTCTACTAGCTTTTGCTTCATGTATTTTGAAGCCCTGCTAATGGGTGCAATCACATTTAGTTTTTAACATTCTCGTCAATGACTTTACCCCTTTATTGTTAGAAATGTCCTTCTTTATCTCATATGACCTGATAATATTTTTTCCTCTGAAATCTACTTTTTTGTTTGACAGTAACATAGTCACTCCAGCTTACTTTTGATTATTATCTGCATGGAATATCTTTTCCATCCTCTTAACTTACCTGCATCTTTGGACATGAAGTGCATTTGGGTTTCTTGTGGAAAGGATGTAGTTGCATCTTGCTTTATTTTTCAATATGAAAGTATCTGCCTTTGAAAGGCAGTATTTAGACTATATACATTTGGCATACGTTAATATGTCACTGGATTTACACATATCATCTTGCCATCTATTTTCTGTTTGTTTCATCTGTTCTGCTCCTTTTTTCTCTTTATCTGACTTCTTTTGGATTGAGTATTTTTAGTGATTCCATATTATCTCCACAATTGGCTTATTATGTATGCCTCTTTGCCATTTTTTCAGTGGTTGATCTACACTTTACAATGTATATCATTAACTTATAACTGTCTAAGTTCAAATAATATTAAATCATTTCTTGCGCAGTGTAAAAAATTTAAGACAGTGCATTTCCCTTTACTTTCCCATCCTTTATGCTGTTGTTGTCATAAATTGTCCTACATGTTATAAACTACATAATACATTGTTATTACTTTTACTTTAATCAATCAATTATCAGTTTAAAAAATGGAAAATATGGGAAAAAGTATCTTCTGTATTTTACCCATCAGAGGCTGTTTCACTCCTTTATATTTCTAAATTGCCATCTGGTATCATTTTCTTTCTGCCTGAAGAAGTTCCTTTATACTCTCTGTAATGCAGATGTGCTGACAATAAATTCTTTAGTTTTTGTTTGTATCAAATGAGAATTAAACAAAAAATGAAAGTGATAAAAGTAAATCCCAATACTTTACTAATTGTAATACATTTTAATATATTTTGCCACCAGCTACAATGCAGAGGCTTAGACTGGATTCTTTAAAAAAAAATTGGTTATATGCTGTTTACAGAAATTTATTGAAAATATAATGACACAGAAAAGCTCATAGTAAAAGCAAATACTAATTGAACTGCTACAGCTATATTAATAGCAGATAAAATACATTTTAAGGCAAAAAAGCACTGTCAGGAATAAAGAAGTTTGTTATGTAATGGTCAAAGGAAAATTCAACACAAGACATAACAAGTCTGAGCTTTTAATTACTAATAATTTAGCCTAAAATCATAAGAAATACAAAAGAAATAGAATAAGATAAGAATAAAACCTAAAATGATTGGAAAAGAAAAAATTCTAGTCATATTTCAAGATAATATGTTTATCTGCTGATAAAATAATAGGTAAATGAGTGAAACTACAGATAAACTAGTAGGAGAATTCAGCAACATTGCTAAATATAAGGCCAATGTAAAAAAAATAGTTCTTCGATATGCCAGCAAAAAACTATTAATAAAAACAGTTACAAACACCATTTTCTGTAGTTACAAAAAATTGCAGTAGGATGTAATGTGTCAAAAAATGTGCTAGGTCTTCATTAAAAAATATGGAATGTATCAAAGGTTATTAAACAAGACCCAGATCAATGAAAAAATATGTTCATGATGGAAAGGCTCAATATATAGCTAACAGTTCTGTTAAATTAATTTATAAATGCAATGCAATACAATTCCTGACTGGGAATTTTCCAAATTGATCCTAGAATTATTACGGTAGAGTAGAAAAGGCAAGCATAGCCAAGGCAGATTTGTGAAAGACTAGTAATGGAGGGAGGGGGTTGTACCAGACACCAAGACTTATTACAAACCTATGATGATAAGGATGGTGGAACTAGTGATAGACAGATAAACAGACCAATGGGCCCCATATCTGAAAATCTGCCATTGGACAGAGGTCTCATTACATTAACAGAGAATCCATGAACAGAGGTCTCATTACATTAACAGAGAATCAATAAACAATGCTGGGACAACTGGCTATCTACAGATGAAAAGAAAAATAGTTTTAAAAATCTTACTTCATTCACAAATATTGAATTCTGGATAAATTACAGACTTGTATGGAAACAGAAAAACTTTTAGAAAAAAATACAGCAGGATGCCTCTATGGCGTTGGGGTTGGAAATCAGTTCTTAGGAAATAAAAACTATAAGTAACAATAGACAGACTTGATAATTTTGATGGCATTGGTGTTAATCTACATCACAAGAGACGCCATAGACAAAGTAAAAAGACAAGCTACAGAGGTGGGGAATACATCTGCAGTTCCCGTAAATGAAAAAGGACTAATCCACACTATGTAAAAGAATTATAGAAGTGAATAAAATTAAGACAAACAATCCCATAGAAAAAGGAGCAAAGGATGTGAACAGATAATTCCAGAGAGGAAAACTACGGGGTCCACATGGAGATGCTTGGTCATGCTAGTAGTCAGGGAAGTAAAAATTTAAAAAGCAACAAATAATCACTTATGCCTTTCAAAAAGGCAAGACTCAGAAATCCGAAAAGAACTGGCAAGTACACAGGGAAATAGGAATTCCAATACACTCCTGGTGGGAGTATATATTGGTACAATGGTGTAGGGAGGTGGTGTGAAAGTGACTGAAGATGTGCATATGGTATGATTCGGTCATTCCCAACGGAGCAGTGAGCAAGGACACTTTTGTTTGGAGCAAAAGTAATGGCGGTTTTTGCCATTAAAAGTAATGGTAAGAACCACAATTACTTTTGCACCAACCTAATACATTGCAGCCAGCCCTCTGTGCCATAGTCGTCACCTCCCCAGAGATCATACCATGCATCGGATAACCTGAAGCAACGTGGTCTGTCTCCAATGCCAACCGCACGCTCCGCTTACATGCACACACTCCCTATGCTCTTTTCTTCCTTAAATGATCTCCTTAGCATTTACCACTGCTATAGTATGTTTTTCATCCATACTATATTTCATTTGTACCATAGCATATATTTTACTTATCTTTTTTATTGTCTGTCTCATGAGGGGTTTTGTCTCTGTCTTTTTTTTTTCCTCAATGCCACTTCCCCTGTACCTAAAACACTGCTAGCCCATCATAGGCACCCTATAACTATTTGTGGCAAAAATAAATAAATGGAATCTCAAAAACATGATACGGAGTAAAAAAAGCAAGATGTAAAAGGATATGGATTCCATTCATGTCAGTGTTAAAGCACATCACAGCACATAGATTATGGAAAGATAATAAATATGTAGTAAAAACATGCATGTTGGCTTCAAGAAAGCAGTGATTTCTGGGGAAAGAGAATGGGGGATGTTTGGGGGCAGGGTTTTAGTTGCATCTATTACATTTTATTTCTTAGATTTGTCAACCCGATGGACATCTGGCAAAATGTTAACATCGATTATTTTGAGTGTTTGAAATATTTCATAATTTTAGAAAAGTTGCAGATAAATAAATAAAGAGGAAAAATATTGTAAGGTTATCTCCTTGTATTAAGGCTATTCCTCCAGTTCTGACCCAAAGGCCACCTTGGGCATTCAGAATTCTTCACCTTAACCCTATTCTCCTGAAGGTCACTTATTCCACCCTAGGCAATTGTGCACAGGTGTTTCTGGTTCTATTTTTGTTGAGAAATCTAATTCTGCTGTGTTTTATTCAATCAGGGTTCCTATTTTCCTGTGGGGATTAGGTATCAACTACTGGAAATGAACCCTTCCCCACAATCAGCCACAGCATCACATCCACTAAACAGCAGGAAGAGCAGACATGGGCATTTCGTTTATCAGACGATGGGTGAACACCAGGCAGAACACACTCCGAGCGAGGCTGCAGCAGACACAGACATGTATTAACACAGATAAGTTTTTATTGAATTAAGAGGGAGCACTTAGAAGGAAGACCCTAGAGAGTAAAAGGATTAAGTCATTCTGAAACATTTTTCTCCTGTCAAGGGAGCAAATGGAATATCAGCGTGACCGCCGGATTCTGACTCACCAGAGCCACGTGGAATGGCAGCCTCCCAAGGGGAAGGAGAAGCATTCACTGGCAGTTCCCAAGAAAAGCCTCTACCAACAGGAGTTGTCTACACAATATGTTCATGAACAGAATATCCAGAGAATATATTGCTTTGATAACAAGGGAAGGTGACATGCAAGATACCAAGATGCTTTTTTATTATTTAAAATACTGTTCTCCTAAGCGGTGTTGCTGGGCTTTCCTTCCTTGATACATTGCACTTTCTTTTTCTTTTTTTCTTTCGAGACAGAGTCTCACTCTGTCACCCAGGCTGGAGTGCAATGGAGCGATCTTGGCTCACTGCAACCTCTGCCTGCTGGGTTCAAGCAATTCTCCTGCCTCAGCCGACCAAGTAGCTGGAATTACAGGCGCCCGCCACCAAGCCCAGCTAATTTTTTGTGTTATTACTAGAGGCGGGGTTTCGCCATCTTGGCCAGGCTGGTCTCAAACTCCTGACCTCAGGTGATCCACCCACCTTGGCCTCCCAAAGTGCTGGGATTACAGGCACAAGCCACCGTGCCCAGCTGGCTCTGTCTTTTTTATGTAAAGAAAAAATTTATTTATAACTGCTAGGCTTGGAGAACAGGAGAGATTCAAAGGATAAACTCCCAATATTACTTTGACCCAAAGCCTGAAAGCTGCTGTTAATTTTCAAAAATTCTTTGAACAGAAATAAATGTTTTGTTTAACTATTTTTCCCACCTCCTTTTATTTTTCTTTCACCTAAAAGTAGAACACAGAACATTTTCCACTCCCTGTGGAAAGTCTAAATTTCTGAAGGTATTGGCAAGATGGTCTGAATTTTTTTCAGATTTTTATGGTAGTACATTCGAATGGGTGGGGTCTCGCCCGTTCCTGTATTAAGAGGACTGAAAATTGGAGGAAGGGAGGGAGGGGGTAAGTGCTGCATTCCATGCCTTATCTTTAGCATTTACGAGAACCATAGAAATGTATCCCAAATCCCTGAAGCAGGAAGCAAGTAGTAAAACCCATGTGTTCATAGGAAATTCCGTGGCTTTTTTGCTCCACGGTGCTTTCTGGGAAGAGCCAAGAGGTAAAAATGGCCAGAGAGAGGTGACCTGAGGGCCACAGGGCCCCCGCCAGGCCAGCATGCCCGGCCACCCCCACTGGCTTCTCCTGGGGGCCTGAGTGAGAAGGTTTGGGAGCCAGAATGTATTGGTGGTCTCCTCCTCCTCCTTTTTCCCAGCACTGGCCTCGCTGGGTCTGCGGAAAAGGGTCTTAGGGCTTGGAGGCGGTACGAAGAGTGTATTCCTACCCAGCCACCCTCCACCTTCCCTAATGAAATAGACAAAACATCTGAGTCTGCCCATACAGTGTGGCAGGAATGGTGCAAAGGTCAGGAGAAAAACCTGCACTCAATGGCCTTGCAACTTACGCTGCTCCGTCTTTCCAGAGCTCAGGGTGCTTGGCTAAACATGAAATGAAATCCGAAGTCCCCGGCCCTTGTGAAGGGTCTTGCAGAAATTAAACAAGGATATAAAAACTTATCACAGGTAAGTACTCAATACAGTGTTATTCTTCTTCGCATTATTTCATCATTTGAGACCATCAAGGCCAAGGGGACTCCATTAGCAGGCAAATCTGCAAGCCCACATTTTTGCTCCTGGGCCAAGTTCCAAGAACTGTACTATCCCTCCCCTACTCCCAAGCCCAACCCCAACAGGGACACTCTTGCAAGTGAATGCCATAATTTCCAATAGATGTCTATGTCTCTTAAGGTTTCTTGGGTCTTGATTTCTACTCCCATCCCAAGAATGCCACTGTTTGCACAAATGTCAATTAAAGAATGCATCTCTCCAGGGGCTCCAATGCCTGGTTGGGAGGCAGCAGCGAGGGCTCTGAGGCTCTGGGTGAACTGGAGTTTCTCCACTCTTTACCTTCCCCCAGCAACCCACAGAAAAAAGATGCCACCCAAAGGAACCACTAGAAACCACTAGTATTTGCCGGGCCTGCACTGCATCTGGGGCTTCGGGCTGCCTCGGCTGCCTGCCCCACCCACTCCGCCCTGGAGGAATCAGGTGGAAAACAGGATATTGCTTTTCTCCTCACAAACCACAATGAGCTGTGGGCCACTGTTTTTAATGTAAACTCTGTTCAGGAGAACAGCTGTAAGTGTGGGTTGGGAAGATTTGTGCATATTTTAAAACAAATTTAAGCTATACTTGTGCTCCAGGAATGTAAATATGATTAATTTTCAAAATGCCATTAATCTTAATTTAATCGGTTGCATTTTTCCATTAACTAATTATTGCTTCTCTGAGTTGATTAGCTACCTTTATTTCTCCTTGAGTCAAAAAGCCATTATTCCTAGTCAAACATAATGTTTTAGAGCTAATTTTTGCACAGGTTTCTCAAATTCTCTAAAGATCCTCCAGCTGTGCTGCAAGGGATCCTAGCATTCCCAGGACCAGGGCAAACAGAGAAGAGGAAGAGACAGAGAGGGGGCAGATGAACAAGTTTACCCTCTCTTGTTTTAATTCAATCAACCCAAGTTTTATGTAATATACTAGACTTTTGCATGAGATTTCACTTGAAGGAAGAATCCTACTATTCCCAAACAACTATTCAAATGCATTTTTTTTTTTGAGATGGAGTTTTGCTCTTGCTGCCCAGGCTAGAGTGCAGTGGCACAATCTCAGCTCACGATGACTTCCCCCTCCCGGGTTCAAGCAATCCTCCTGCCTCAGCCTCCCGAGTAGCTGGGATTACAGGCGTGCGCTGCCACACCCAGCTAATTTTGTATTTTTAGTAGAGACGGGGTTTCCCCATGTTGGTCAGGCTGGTCTTGAACTCCCAACCTCAGGTGATCCGCCTGCCTCGACCTCTCAAACTGCTGGGATTATAGGTGTGAGCCACTGCGCCTGGCCTCAGATGCATTTTATATGTGCCCACACCTAGCAGATCATTGAGTGTGACTAAAATTATGTAACTATTTTAGTCAGAGAGAACTCACGCATTTATGTACTTATGTGAGTGGGTCCCCTTTGAAGTTGTCACATTAAGACACTATAGACATATCCCTATGATGCTGCCATTTCTCAAAAACTTCTTGGCATTTTTAAGTAATTGATTTCAAAGCTAAATGTGTATTTCTTTGGCTATTTTCACTAGAGACAAAAATTACATACATAAAATGGGGATTAGAAATAACACTTCTGTTTCCTGAAGAAGAAAGAAAGCACTTGTAAAATGTACTCTGCAAAATGTGAAACTCTAAACCAATTTTATGTTTTTAAGAATTCTCTGAAAGTGGGTTTAGATTTCTGAAATGGTCTAAAGTCGTTCTGAGTTAAAACTATCAAACAAGATGGATAATCAAGCTTGGTAATATAGTAAGAGGTGCAAAGACAAGGGTGACTCATATAATGGCATTGACTTTCTTAGTGGTTTAAACTTCTTGCCAAAGGCAATTCCAGGAGACGCAGCCTTCAAGGTTGGGATCATTCTGCAGGGTGATCCCTAGGAAAGGCGCCTTTCGTGGAACTGCTCTGCCTGTCAGTGTTGTACCCCACTCTTGGTATGGGGATTTGGAAAGCATGGGCCCTGTAAGGAAGTGAATGTTCCTAATCATCGTTCCCAGAATCTGGCACAGTGGCTGGCAGGAATGCCACTGATGTTGGTTGAAACAAAGCTTTCTCAGGGTTTCGGTACGGAAATATTGAAATATTGATTCCTAAAAGATCAATTTTTGAATAGCAAACTAGATTTGAAGCCTAACATTTCCCTCACACCTTTGTCTTAGGTTTTTTTCAGATGGGGGACCTTGACCCAGAGAAACCCAGTGACTTCCCCTAGTAGTACAGCAAGCACGTGGCAAGGTAAGGACCAAACCTGCAGCTGCTGACTCCCAGTCCAGTGCTCACTGCACCCTGCCTGGTTGCTCAGTCCTCAGGCTGGCTTAACGGGCATGCGACCTGTGCAGCAGCCCCCTCTTTGGTTTAATACTCTGTTGTCATCACCTTGAAATTCTTAATACTTTTTCAACAAGGGTTCTCCACATTTTAGTTTTGCACGGGGCCTCACAAATTATGTGGCTCATCCCGCCAGTACCTTTGTGGATATGATTCAAGCATTAGGCATGTCTCCCTGGAGAAGCATGTTCCAGAGTCATGTTCCAGATCAAAGACAGGGCTGACAGGCCGGGTGCGGTGGCTTAAACCTGTAATCTCAACACTTTGGGAGGCCAAGGCCAGAAGGTTGCTTGAGCCCAGGAGTTAGAGACCAGCCTGGGCAATACAGTGAGACCCTTTCTCTCTATATAAAAAAAATTAGTCTGGCATGGTAGAGCATGCCTATAGTTCCAGCTACTTGGGATACTGAGGTGGGAGGATGACTTGAGCCTGGGAGGTTGAGGCTGCAGTGAGCTGTGATGAAGCTGCTGCACTCCAGCCTGGGCAATAAAGCAAGACTCTGTCTCAAAAGAAAAATAAAGGCACAGGACCAAGGTTAGGGAGTCCTGGGGCCCTGGGTCACCCTCTTTAACTGTTAACTGTTAAAGAGGGTGACCCAGGGCTCCTTAGCCTTGGCCCTGAGTTCTCTTTGGTGCCTCATTCATGGTAACTGCTGACCAGTTAGCTTGTTCCAAGCTGAAGCCATGTCTCTTGCAGCAGATCCCTGGGCTGGGAGGTAGCCCTGAGTTAACTCTAGCCAGCACTGACTGAGTCAGCCCACATCAAAATAGCTGACTGAAATGGGGAAGATTCTCTCCTTAGGCATAATCACTCGCTGTTTGGTATATTGCCTAGAGAGGTTAGCTATTGTTTTTGTGTATTTGTTTATTTTCCTACTGAACCAATTGATCTTTCAGAGAATTGCCTGAAAGGAACAGTTGTTTTGATGTTGTGTGGGACAACTACTGGCTTTTGTTGTGTGGAAACAGGTTGCTTTTCTAATAGGACCTCTTCAAGTCACATGCTTAGCCCATGTGAGTAAGTGAGGAGCCAGCTCATGAAAGCTCCTTTACCAGCTTAATCACCCCCTGCCCGCCAAGGCTGGTCCTTGGCCATGCTAGGATATGAATAATGCCTGTTTGATGTTCCCCTCCTTTCCTCTGGGCATTCTCTGACATTCTTCTTCACCCACAAAGTACCTAAATGTTCACGGTCACCACGGTCACTCCTCTTTGCCTAAGACATTGCTCCATGTTCTCAGTCTTGCTTCCCAATCACTGTCCACCTGTCCTGTCCACATTCCCTTTTCCATTATGCACTCTGCTACCTGACCACTAGCCACCTTCAGCTGATGTCGTTTACCCCAGTGCCTGCCTCGTATTGGCTTACTGATGTGTCTCTGCACAGATGAAGATATGCCTCAGCTCAATTAAATGCAGTAGCTGTGATGGCACCACTGCACTCCAGCCTGGCAACAGAATGAGACTGTCTCTAAATAAATAAATAAGTATGCACATGCAGTCTATAGCAGATGCTGTCACTGACACGCCCCAGGAGCTAGTGGGGGTTGGAGGATCGATGCCCTAGCCTCCTCACCTTCAAGGCATGTTCCATGTCATCTCCCAGAGATTCCCGACAAGGTGGAGCCCAAGTTGCTGACAGTGGTAAATTGCTATGAACCCACATTTAGCACCTCCTGCTGCCCTTCCCTGTCTCACTTCCCATTCCCTTGCTGGTGTTTCCTGTACTACCAGCCAAATAAAGATTCTCTCCTTAAGCATAATGACTGGTTGTTTGGACCCAATCACTTGCACCTGAATTTTTTTTTTTTTTTTTTTTTTTGAGGTGGAGTTTTGCTCTTGTTGCCCAGGCTGGAGTGCAATGGTGTGATCTTGGCTCACAGCAACCTCCGCCTCCCAGGTTCAAGTGATTCTCCTGCCTCAGCCTCCCTAGCAGCTGGGATTACAGGCATGTGCCACCACGCCGGGCTAATTTTGTATTTTTGGTAGAGATGGGGTTTCTCCATGTTGGTCAGGCTGGTCTCGAACTCCCGACCTCAGGTGATCCACCCACGTCAGCCTCCCAAAGCGCTGGGATTACAGGCATGAGCCACTGCACCTGGCCCACTTTCACCTGAATTTTTGTCTCCAGGTCTGCTTGTGGGGGAATCTGCCTAAGGCCATTGGTGCCAGGAGAGGCCTTGGAGGCAGATCTCGAGCATTGCAATCTGGAGTTGGATCACTTGCCACCAAGTGGTGATGATTTCCAGGTTGCTGCAGAATCACATTTACTAAGGTCTTTACTTGCTGAGGATGGAGACAGTTACAGACAAAAAGCGGGGTGCACCGGCTTATGCAATAGCTCTAATGATTGAACAATATAGGGGTGATCATCACTTTAAGGATTGGTTGTAGCTGCCATAAAAACCCAGGAGAAAAAAATAACAGGCTCAGTTCAGGCAATTGCCAACTCAGAGGGCACCACGTGAAAGCTGGAGACTTCTGTGGAAGTAGTTAAAGAGTTCCTCCTCTCCTAGACAAAGGGAGATGCTGAAAACCAGGCCCAAATTGGATTGTAAAGATGTGGAGGCACAAGGTCCTGGTAGGTCTTCTCTGCTACAGTCAGGACCCTGTTAGGGAAGGAGTGGAAACTAGAGCCTGTGATGAGGCCTTCTGGGACTGGCAGGGGTGAGGGTGGGGGTTCCCTGCTTGATAGGGGAGGGCACTGTCCCATTGCCTGGAGACCTTGTAGCCCTCCCCAGGGCCAGATGCCTTGTGAGATGATGTGTACTTTCCCCATGATCTCTCTTGCCTTCCCTCATAGCTTTATGCCAGTAACTGGCATCTTTACACAGCCTGGGCTGAGCAGAAAAGCATTGTCCCTGCTACTGGAAGAAAGGAGTTATTCTCCTGAGTGCTGCAGGGCCTGCCTCACGGATACTGACAGGGACTGGGTAGAATGTGCCTGGGAATGGATCGTGAGGGAGGTTGTGAAGACCAGGGAGGAAGAAGGATAAGCCTGGGCAGTGGAGAGCTCATTGATATGGTGCCACACTTCTGTGACTGAGGATTTAACCATCTGGCAAAGGGGTACCTGGACCAGGCCCTGTACACTGCTGGGAAGGCTTCTTGAATTCAGACCCAATCATGGCCCAGAGTCAGTGAGGTGGAGATGCTGGAACTGGACTGGAAGAGCCTAAGAAAGGGATAAATATTCCCAGGGAGGTAAGAATGTTAGGATGGATTTGTTGGATAAGACCAGAAGCCTGAGAGGGTGCCTCTTTCACTAACGTGCTAAGAACAATGGCTTAATGGTGACTGTCCTCTGGAGGCCTTGGTTGATGGGAGGAGATGCTGTTATAAAATTGAGCTCCCCAGTATTAACAATTGGGACAGAAGTCCTTAACAGCAGAGCTCAGAGAGCAACAGGTAAACATGACAGGCAAGTCATCACTGTAACAGATAGCAAGGACAAAATGGCCCTTGGGGGAACTGGCCCACAGAGATCTGTGATGACAGTGAATAAACCACTGAGTCCCAGTGGCAAGATACACAGGAAACCAGTAGGATATCACTTGACTTATGATATCAAGTGAGATCATGAGAGATTAAGCAGAAGATTAATGTCGGCTACAGTGTGAAAAATGGCAGTCCCTTGCCTAGTGAGGACTAAATGCTGACCTTTTTTCTGTCTTGCCCAAATTCCTATCTAAGGAGTCTAGGGAGGCATTTTATGATTTTACAAACCACAAAATCTCATCAGAGGGTTTCCTGGCATAAGAGCACATGACATATAAAAAAGGAAGTCCAAATATTTTACCCCAAAATGTGTTTCTTTGCCATAATTTGAAATGGCCCTGGAAGAAACCATCTTTCATGAGGAGAAAATTTGTATCTGTAAAGAATCTCTATTAATATAATTAGATCTTTTCCCTTCCAGAGCCTCCAAGTGCTAAAGAGATTAACTGAGAGTCTAGCACCCTTTAAAAGTCGGAATCAGACTAACAGCGGATCTCTCTGCAGAAACTCTACAAGCCAGAAGAGTGGGGGCCAGTATTCAACATTCCTAAAGAAAAGAATTTTCAACCCAGAATTTCATATCCAGCCAAACTAAGCTTCATAAGTGAAGGAGAAATAAAATCCTTTACAGACAAGCAAATGCTGAGAGATTTTTGTCACCACCAGGCCTGCCCTACAAGAGCTCCTGAAGGAAGCACTAAACATGGAAAGGAAAAACTGGTACCAGCCACTGCAAAAACATGCCAAATTGTAAAGACTGTCGATGCTAGGAAGAAACTGCGTCAACTAATGAGCAAAATAACCAGCTAACATCATAATGACAGGATCAAATTCACACATAACAGTATTAACTTTAAATGTAAATGGGCTAAATGCGCCAATTAAAAGACACAGACTGGTAAATTGGATAAAGAGTGAAGAACCATCAGTGTGCTGTATTCAGGGGACCCATCTCATGTGCAGAGACACACATAGGCTCAAAATAAAGGGATGGAGGAAGATCTACCAAGCAAATGGAAAACAAACAAACAAAAAAGCAGGGGTTGCCATCCTAGTCTCTGATAGAACAGACTTTAAGCCAACAAAGATCAAAAGAGACAAAGAAGGCCATTACATAATGGTAAAGGGATCAATTCAACGACAAGAGCTAACTATTCTAAATATGTATGCACCCAATACAGGAGCACCCAGATTCATAAAGCAAGTCTTTAGAGACCTACAAAGAGACTTAAACTCCCACACAATAATAATGGGAGACTTTAACACCCCACCATCAACATTAGACAGATTAACGAGACAGAAAGTTAACAAGGATATCCAGGAATTGAGCTCAGTTCTGCACCAACTGGACCTAATAGACATCTACAGAACTCTCCACCCCAAATCAAGAGAATATACATTCTTCTCAGCACCACACCGCACTTATTCCAAAATTGACCACATAGTTGGAAGTA
The DNA here is from genome assembly GCF_000001405.40 of Homo sapiens. Taxonomy (NCBI): domain Eukaryota; kingdom Metazoa; phylum Chordata; class Mammalia; order Primates; family Hominidae; genus Homo; species Homo sapiens. The sequence continues at coordinate 31,641,220 of NC_000010.11, read as the reverse complement.
AAGCACTCCTCAGCAAATGTAAAAGAACAGAAATTATAACAAACTGTCTCTCAGACCACAGAGCAATCAAACTAGAACTCAGGATTAAGAAACTCACTCAAAACCACTCAACTACATGGAAACTGAACAACCTGCTCCTGAGTGACTACTGGGTACATAAGGAAATGAAGGCAGAAATAAAGATGTTCTTTGAAACCAATGAGAACAAAGACACAACATACCAGAATCTCTGGGACACATTTAAAACCGTGTCTAGAGGGAAATTTATAGCACTAAATGCCCACAAGAGAAAGCAGGAAAGATCTAAAATTGACACCCTACCATCACAATTAAAAGAACTAGAGAGGCAAGAGCAAACACATTCAAAAGCTAGCAGAAGGCAAGAAATAACTAAGATTACAGCAGAACTGGAGGAGATAGAGACATAAAAAACCCTTCAAAAAATCAATGAATCCTGGACCTGGTTTTTTGAAACGATCAACAAAATTGATAGACTGCTAGCAAGACTAATAAAGAAGAAAAGAGAGAAGAATCAAATAGATGCAATAAAAAATGATAAAGGGGATATCACCACTGATCCCACAGGAATGCAAACTACCATCAGAGAATACTATAAACACCTCTATGCAAATAAACTAGAAAATCTAGAAGAAATGGATAAATTCCTGGACACATACACTCTCCCAAGACTAAACCAGGAAGATGTTGAATTCCTGAATAGACCAATAACAGGCTCTGAAATTGAGCCAATAATTAATAGCCTACCAACCAAAAAAAGTCCAGGACCAGATGGATTCACAGCTAAATTCTACCAGAGGTACAAAGAGGAGCTGGTACCATTCTTTATGAAACTATTCCAATCAGTAGAAAAAGAGGGAATCCTCCCTAACTCATTTTATGAGGCCAGCATCATCCTGATATCAAAACCAGGCAGAGACACAACAAAAAAAGATAATTTTAGACCATTATCCCTAATTTACATTGAGGCAAAAATCCTCAATAAAATACTGGCAAACTGAATCCAGCAGCACATCAAAAAGCTTATCCACCATGATCAAGTTGGCTTCATCCCTGGGATGCAAGGCTGGTTCAACATATGCAAATCAATAAATGTAATCCATCATATAAACAGAACCAACGACAAAAACCACGTGATTATCTCAATACATGAAGAAAAGGCCTTTGACAAAATTCAACAGCCCTTCGTGCTAAAAACTCTCAATAAACTAGGTATTGATGGGACATATCTCAAAATAATAAGAGCTATTTATGACAAACCCACAGCCAATATCATATTGAATGGGCAAAAACTGGAAGCATTCCCTTTGAAAACAGGCACAAGACAGGGATGCCCTTTCTCACCACTCCTATTCAACATAGTGTTGGAAGATCTGGCTAGGGCAATCACATTCTTCTCAGCACCATATCGCACTTACTCCAAAATTGACCACATAGTTGGAAGTAAAGCACTCCTCAGCAATGTAAAAGAACAGAAATTATAACAAAATGTCTCTTAGACCATAGGGCAATCAAACTAGAACTCAGGATTAAGAAACTCACTCAAACTCACAGGGCAAGAGAAGGAAATAAAGGGTATTCAATTTGGAAAAGAGGAAGTCAAATTGTCCTTGTTTGCAGATGACATGATTGTAGATTTAGAAAACCCCATTGTCTCAGCCCAAAATCTCCTTAAGCTGATAAGCAACTTCAGCAAAGTCTCAGGATACAAAATCAATGTGCAAAAATCACAAGCATTCCTATACACCAATAACAGACAAACAGAGAGCGAAATCATGAGTGAACTCTCTTTCACAATTGCTTCAAAGAGAAGAAAATACCTAGGAATCCAACTTACAAGGGACAGGAAGGACCTCTTCAAGGAGAACTACAAACCACTGCTCAACGAAATAAAAGAGGATACAAACAAAGGGAAGAACATTCCATGCTCATGGATAGGAAGAATCGATATTGTGAAAATGGCCATACTGCTTAAGGTAATTTGTAGATTCAATGCCATCCCCATCAAGCTACCAATGACTTTCTTCACAGAATTGGAAAACTACTTTAAAGTTCATATGGAACCGAAAAAGAGCCCACATTGCCAAGACAACCCTAAGCCAAAAGAACAAAGCTGGAGGCATCATGCTACCTGACTTCAAACTATACTACAAAGCTATAGTAACCAAAACAGCATGGTACTGGTACCAAAACAGAGATAGAGACCAATGGAACAGAACAGAGCTCTCAGAAATAATACCACACATCTGCAACCATCTGATCTTTGACAAACCTGACAAAAACAAGAAATGGGGAAAGGATTCCCTATTTAATAAATGGTGCTGGGAAAACTGGCTAGCCATATGTAGAAAGCTGAAACTGGATCCCTTCCTTACACCTTATACAAAAATTAATTCAAGATGGATTAAAGACTTAAATGTTAGACCTAAAACCATAAAAACCCTAGAAGAAAACCTAGGCAATACCATTCAGGCCATAGGCATGGGCAAGGGCTTCATGACTAAAACACCAAAAGCAATGGCGACAAAAGCCAAAATTGACAAATGGGATCTAATTAGACTAAAGAGCTTCTGCACAGTAAAAGAAACTACCATCAGGGTGAATAGGCAACCTACAGAATGGGAGAAAATTTTTACAATCTACCCATCTGACAAAGGGCTAATATCCACAATCTACAAAGAACTTAAACAAATTTATAAGAAAAAATCAAACAACTCCATCAAAAAGTGGGCAAAGGATATGAGCAGACACTTCTCAAAAGAAGACTTATGCAGCCAACAGACACATGAAAAAATGCTCATCATCACTGGCCATCAGAGAAATGCAAATCAAAACCACAATGGGATACCATCTCACACCAGTTAGAATGGTGATCATTAAAAAGTCAGGAAACCACAGGTGCTGGAGAAGATGTGGAGAAATAGGAACACTTTTACACTGTTGGTGGGACTGTAAACTAGTTCAACCATTGTGGAAGACAGTGTGGCAATCTCTCAAGGATCTAGAACTAGAAATACCATTTGACCCAGCCATCCCATTACTGGGTATATACCCAAAGGATTATAAATCATGCTGCTATAAAGACACATGTGCATGTATGTTTATTGTGGCACTATTCACAATAGCAAAGACTTGGAACCAACCCAAATGTCCATCAATAATGGATTGGATTAAGAAAATGTGGCACATATATGTCATAGAATACTATGCAGCCATAAAAAAGGATGAGTTTATATCCTTCGTAGGGACATGGATGAAGCTGGAAACCATCATTCTGAGTAAACTGTCTCAAGGACAGAAAACCAAACACCGCATGTTCTCACTCATAGGTGGGAATTGAACAATGAGAACACTTGGACACAGGGTGGGGAACGTCACACACCAGGGCCTGTTGTGGGGTGGAGACACGGGGGAGGGATAGGATTAGGAGATATACCTAATGTAAATGATGAGTTAATGAGTGCAGCACACCAACATGGCACATGTATACATATGTAACAAACCTGCAAGTTGTACACATGTACCCCAGAACTTCAAGTATTTAAAAAAAAAAAAAAGACTGCCATGTTAGGTGTTACCGTGCCCTGTGATTAATGTCAGTAGAAAACTACAACGGCCAATCCAGGCAGGACTACCAATGACCCAGACCTTTAGGAATGAAGGCTTGGGTCAGCCCACCAGGTGAACAACCATGACCAGCTGAGGTGCTTACTGAAGGCAGAGGGAAAACAGAATGGGTAGTGGAAGAAAGTAGTTATAAATACTAGCTATAACCACATGACTGGTTACAGAAACAAGGATTAATTGTCATGAATATTTCCTCCTACTTTATTATGAATACGTGTGTGTGGATATATGTGTGTGGATACACACATATATGTATTATATGTAGGTTTTCTTTACTCTTATTCCTTTAACATGTAACATAATATGTACTGATTTTGTGTCCTGGTATTTAAGTATTATTAGTTTTACATTATAATTCTGAAGTTATGGGATATTAAGAAGAGTAAACATCACCTGAAGGCTTTACCTTCTCTCCTGGGGAAGGGCTTAGAGTATTTTCTATTGCATGCAGGATAGTTATATCATGATAGGTGGAATTATGACCTTGCTATTGTCTTTATTTGGGAATTAAGTATGGTTTAAGGAAATGTATACGGGTGCCAAATTGACAAGAGGTGGACTGGCAAGATGCTTAATTTTAAGTGTGAACTTGACTGGGCCATGGGATGCCCAGTAGCTTGTGAAACATTATTTCTGGGTGTGTCTCTGAGGGTGTTTATGGACAGGGTTAGTGTTTGAATTGGTGGAATAAGTAGAGCAGATGGCCCTCCCTAGTGTGGGTGGGCATCCTCCAATCCATTGAGAGACTGAATAGAATAAAAAGGCAGAGGAAGATTGGATTCATCTTCCTTTTGCCTGACTGCTTGAGCTGGGGCATCAATCTTCTTCTGCCCTTGGCTCTCCTGGTTCTTTGCCCTTCAGACCTGAGCTGGAATCTACACCATTGTTTCTCTGGTTCTTAAGCCTTTGAATAACAACCTTAGCTTTCCTGGGTCTCCAGCTCGCAGATCATGGGACTTCTTAGCTTTCATAATTCCATGAACCAATACCTTATAATAAAGTCCTTATATATTTTTTTACTTTTTAAATTAAAGAAAAAATATATATCCTATTCATTATGTTTCTTTGGAGAATGCTGACTGATACAAGGTCCTACTGTAGGCTTCTGTGACTCCTTGCCTTAGAGCTTCCTCTAGGTTTTTTTTGTGTGTGTACCTTTATGTGTGTCCCTGTGTATGTCTTCGTGTGTGTGTGTGTGTGTGTGTGTGCACGTGCACACGTGCACACGGCACTCACTCCATCTCTCATCTCTTTCCTTGCACCAGTTATCCTTCAACCCTCTGCACCTCCATTCACTAGTTTGTAAAACAAGATAATTCAGTTGTACTGTCTCCAAGATCTCTTCCAGGGCCATCACTGAAAATCAGGCAGCTTGGGTTAGGCCTAAATATGGGGATTTGCACTTCCCAGGAAGATATTTGAACCAAACCATGAAGGGCAGAGAGTGGGAAAGCAGGCCCTGGCTGCTGAGCGGTGGGGTGGCTGCAGAGAGTCATCTTTAACACCCAGAAAAGTAAGAGAGACAGATATGGGGTGATATTGTAAACACTCTCTTCCCATCTCTTTGCTGCTAGTTTTCTCTGCACCCAGGACTTTGCAAACTTCAGTGAAGGGATCTGAGCTATAACACTGGCTAAGGAGCTACTTCCAGTGTCTTTGAGTGGCCCAGGAGGCAGCTGGACAGGAAGGCATACCTTGGAGATACTGTGGGCTCTGTTCCAGACCACTGCAATAAAGTGAGTGTCACAATAAAGCAAGTCACACAAATTTTTTGGTTTTCCAATGCATATAAAAGTTATACTTACTTTATACTGTGGCCCATTAAGTGTGAAATAGCATTATCTAAAAAATGTACATACCTTAATTTAAAACAGTTTATTGCTTAAAAATGCTAACAATCATCAGAGCCTTCATTGAGTCATAATTGTTTGCCTCAACGTTGATGTCTGCTGACTAATCAGGGTGGTGGTTGTTGAAGACTGAGGTGGCTGTGGAAATTTCTTAAAATAAGACAACGATGAAGTTGACCACATTGATTGACTCTTCCTTTCACAAAAGATTTCTCTGTAGCATGTGATGCTGTCTGATAGCATTTTATCCACAGTAGAACTTTCAAAGTTGGAGTTAATCTTCTCAAACCCTGTCACTGCTTTATCAACTTATGGAATGTTCTAAAGTCTTCATTGTCATTTCAACAATGTCCATAGCATCTTCCCCAATAGAAGATTCTATTTCATGAAACCACTTTCTTTGCTCATCCATAAGAAGCAATCCCTCATCCTTTCAAGTTTTGCCTTGAGATTTCAGCAATTCAGTCATATCTTCAGGATCCAGTTCTAATTTTAGTTCCCTTGCTCTTTTCACCACATCTGCAGTTACTTCCTCTACTGAAATCTTGAGCTCATCAAAGTTATCCGTGAGAGTTGAAGTCAACTTTTAAACTCCTGGTAATGTTGATATTTTGACCATGTTCCATGAATCACAAATGATTGTAATGGCATCTAGAAAGGTGAATCCTTTCCAGAAGGTTTTCAATTTGCCATGTCCAGATCCATCAGAGGAATCACCATGTATGACAGCTATAGCCTTATGTAATGCAGTTCATAAATAATAAGGCTTGAAAATCAGATTTACTCTTTGATCCCATGAGCTGAAGAATGTATGTTGTGTTAGCAGGCGTTAAAAAAAGAAAAACACATTGATCTCTTTGTACATCTCCATCAGAGCCTTGGTTGACTGGGTGCATTATCAATGAGCATCAATGTTTTGAAAAAACTGTTTTTTTTTTCTGAGCTGGAGGTCTCAACAGTGGGCTTAAAATATTCAGTAAACCATGTTGTAAACATAAGTGCTGCCAACCAGGGTTTGTTTTCTAGAGCACAGGTAGAGTAGGGTTAGCATAATTTTTAAGGGCCCTAGGATTTTCAGAATGGTCAACAAGCATTTGCTTCAACTTCAAATCACCAGTTGCATTAGCCACTAACAAGAGAGTCAGACTGCTTTGAAGCCTTGAAGCCAAGCATTGACTTCTCATTAGTTACAAAAGTCCTAGGTAGCATCTTTTTCCAATAAAAGGCTGTCTACATTGTCTCCATTGAAAATCTGCTGTTTAGTGTAGCCACCTTTATCAATGATGTTAGCTAAATCTTCTGGATAACTTGCTGTAGCTTCTCCATCAGTACTTGCTGCTTCACTTTGCACTTCTTTGGTGTGGAGATGACTTCTTTCCTTCAACCTTATGCACCAACCTCTGCTAGCTTCCAACTTTTCTTCTGCAGCTTCTTCACCTCTCTCAGCCTTCATAGAATTGAAGAGAGTCACAGCCTTGCTCTAGATTAAGTTTTGGCTTAAGGGAATGTTATGGCTGGTTTGATTTTCTATCCATACCAGTCAAACTTTCTCCTTATCAGCAATATGGCTATATTGCTTTCTTATCATTTGTGGGTTCACTGGAGTAGCACTTTTAATTTCCTTGAAGAACTTTTCCTTTGCATCACAATCTGGCTAAATGTCTGGAGCAAGAGACCTAGCTTTCAGCCTATCTTGGCTTTTCACATGCCTTCATAACCAAGCTTAACCATTTCTAGCTTTTGGTTTAAAGTAAGAAATGTGACTTTTTCTTTCACTTGAACACTTAGAGATCATTGTAGGGTTATTAATTGACCTAATTTCAATATTGGTGTCTCACAGAATAGGAAGGCCCAAGGAGAAGGAGAGAGATTGGGGAACAGCCAGTACATGGAGCAGTCAGAACAAACACACCATTTACAGATTAGGTTTGCAGTATTATATGGACACAGCTTGTGGGACCCCAGAATAATTACAATAGTAACATCAAAGATCACTGATTACAGATCACCATAACAGATATAATAATAATGAGTTTGAAATATTGCAAAAATTACTAAAATCTGATAAATAGACATTAAGTGAGCACATGCTGTTGGAAAGTGGTGCTGATAAACTTGCTTGAAGCCGTGTTGACACCAACCTTCAATTTGTGAAAAACACAACATCTGCTAAGCATAATATAATGAAGCACAATGAAACTAGGTGTGCCTGTATTTCTGGGCCTCAGTGGCGGCATCTGAGAGTAAATGCATTGCAAAGCCACCCACCTGCTCCTCAGCAGTGCCAGGGCTGTGGTGGGGGTGGGGGCTGGGGAACCCTGCTCTGGGTTGGTCTCTGCAGGTGCATGGAAGGAGGGAGGAGGTAGAACGAAGAAGTGGATGACTGCAAAATCAGTAATGCCCAGCACTGAGGGCACTGAGGAATGTCATTGGCACTGTGAGCCCTCATGGTGCTTGGGTTAGTATCCTAGTAGGCTGGTCAGTGTTGCTTCAAGTTGCATCAGTAGAGCAGTGGGGTGGGTTTGACTACAGGGACTCTTTCTGGGGCTTGGAACTTCGTGATTGGCCTTAAGAGCTCATAGCCTTGACCGCTGGGTTATCTGCTTGACCAAAGGGACAACAGCCTCATTGGTTTTTGGCTTTGTGGGCTGAAATTTTGCTTGGGCAGGCCTTTGGGTGGGGGTTCAGCCCCCTGGTAAGAAACCAACCAGGGGACTGAGTCATATGGGTCCCAGGGAGACCAGGGAAGTCCTACATGTTGGAGATCAGGAATGGGGCAGGGAACACCCAGGCCTTCAGGTTCAAGGGCCAGGAACCGTGATATCAGTCATACCTCCCTCCTTGGTAGAAGCTCCTCAATATTGGAGCTTCTTTGGAAACTGGTTAAAAAACTGCTTTTGGAATCAGACCAGATGTCACTATGTACTAGCTTTGTGACCTTGGAAGAGTTATTTCGTCTCTCTGGGACTATCATCTCATGTCTAAAGAGAAGGTGACAGTATTATTAACCTCTTGGAGTTGTTGGGGCTTAGGTGACATAGAGCCTTGGCATATGATAAGTGCCCCACTGTATCACCATGTCTTTTATTTTTGTATTTCAATGCTTTGGCATCTGGGGTCTCACTGACCATGGAGGGGACCAACCCTTCCAGGGTTAGACAATTCCCAGATAGTAAACAACTCACCTGTGAATGCGTTCTTTGCATACAAACCAACCAATCCAGAGCCCACACACCCAGCCAAATCCTTTATGGGGCCACTATCCACCTGCCCTAATAAACCCACGACCAGGTACCAGGCAACTGGGTACAGCACTGATATGGCTTGGTTCTGTGTCCCTACCCAAATCTCGTCTCGAATTATAATCCCCACGTGTCAAGGGAGGGACCTGGTGGGAGATGACTGGATCATGGGGGTGGTTCCCTCATGCTGTTCTTGTGATAGTGAGGGAGTCCTCACGAGATAAGATGGTTTTAAAAGTGGAAGTTTCCCCTGCAGTCTCTCTCTCTCCTGTCACCATGTAAGACGTGCCTTGCTTCCCCTTCACCTTCTGCCATGATTGTAAGTTTCCTGAGGCCTCCCCAGCCATGTGGAACTTTGAATCAATTAAACCTCTTTTGTTTATAAATTACCCAGTCTTGGGTATTTCTTTATAGCAGCATGAGAATGGACTAATACAATTGGTAAGGGACTTCAGTTGGGAGGATGTGGGAACAGGGTCTCTTTAATCTTTCTTATTTCTGTCTTTTCTCACCATTTCCCACCACCAGGGGTAGCTTGATGGGTAAGGGCAGAGGGGAGGTGGCAGACCTGAAGACCTGCCTCTAAACTTGGGGCGTGGTTTCCCCCTATTACTGCTGAACGGTGGAGGCCCTGCAGCCTAAATCAAGGAGTGATGATAGGCCTCTGGGTAATGATCCTTCATAACATGTCCTGACAGTGTTGGAGGCTGAGTGCAGTGACATGCAAGCTGGAAATCAGGGACTGCCTAGATACTGTGAGGGTCCAGAGAAGGGCCTTGAAGCCAGCCAGACTTGGACTTGTCTTCCATCTGTGTAATCTTAAACATGCTTATTAACCCTAAGATTCCTCAACTGTAAAATGGGACCAAAACACCGACCTTCCCAGGTTATTATTAGCATTAGATGACACAGTAATAAGGAAATGATGAAGTGCACACTAAAAGGAAGCTGTTGCATTTCACAGGACAGTTCTACAGAAAGGTGACAGTCTCCCAGAAGAGGCCTCCAGCACGGGTTGCTAATGTGAGGACTGCTGGTGTCCTCCTAGTACCCTGGGTATAGGATCACTCTAAACACTCAGCCTGAGAGACAAGGGGGAGGAGAGAACTGCAAGTCTTGACAAACTTGCAGAGTCCCTCCTTCCCTGAACTGGGAGATCTGCCAAGAGAGGCCAACGCTGACCTCTCTGTGTCCCGTGATATATCCTGGCACATAGGTGGGCTGGTCAACTGCTGGCATCACAGTTAATGGGATGTGCTCAGTTCCAGGAATCTGATAGTCAACAAACCAACCAGACAAACACTAAACAGATTTTACTAATCACCTACTGTGTATAGTGTACTAGGTTTACAGAATCTATGTTTATCCCTGTTCATGGACCAAATGAGAAGCTGAACTTTCTGGGTAGCAAGCAGGCTGGAAACTACCTACTTCTGTCAAGGGCTGAGGTTTCTCAGAGCACTGTGGAAGACAGTCATTGTTAACCTTTCGGTCAGTGGCTATTTTGGACTTTCCAATACAATTCAAACAAAGGTCATTGTAAAACATAAGGAGGAAAAGTTAGAACAATGTAATTTTCAAAGCTATGAGTTTCTGAGGAGAAAAACAAAAGTAACTGCATTGCTTCAATCTCACAAAGATGTTATTTCATAAAGATAACCATCATTCTGTTGAATTAGTGACACAAATAATTTTACATATTATTTTCTTGTTTATCTTAAACTTTAAAAGTAATATGTGCACCTTTACCTTGCACCATGTAAAAAAATTTACTCAAAATGGATGAAAAACCTAAATATAAAAGTTAAAAGTATAAAACTCTTTGAAGAAAATGTAGGAAGAAAGGTTCATAACAATGGATTTGGCAATAACTCTTAGACCTCACACCAAAATCATAGGAAACAAAAGAAAAAATAAACTGAATTTCATCAAAATTAAAAACTCTTATGGATCAAAGGACACAATAGCAGAGTAAAAAGGCAACCCACAGAATGGGAAAAAATATTTGCAAATCATGTCTGATTCGAGATTAACATCCAGAATATGTAAAGAGTTCCTACAACTCAAAAACAAAAAATCAAATAACTTGATTTAAAAAATGGACTAAGGACTCTAATAGACATTTATTCAAAGAAGAGATACAATTGACTAATAAGCATGTGAAAAGATATTAAATATCACTAGTCATTAGGGAAATGCAAATCAAAGCCAAAATGAGATATCACTTCACACCTATTAGAATGACTCTTATTATAAAATCCAGAAAATAGCAAGTGTTGGCAAAGAAGTGGAGAAATTGGAACCCTTGTGGGGTTCCCCCTCACTGGTGGGAATATAAAATAGTGCAACCGCTGTGAAATACAGCATGGCAGTTCCTCAAAAAGTTAAGTATAGAATTACCATACAATTCAGCAATTCCTGTCCTAGGCATATACCCAAAAGAATTGAAAGCAGGGACCTGAAGAGATATTTGCACAGCAGTGTTCATAGCAGCATTATTTACAATAACCAAAAAGTGGAAACAAATGTCTATAAACAGATGAATGGATAAACAAAATATGACATAAACATACAATGGAAAATTATGAAGCCCTAAAACGGAATAAAATTCTGACACATACTACAACATGGATGAACCTTGAAAACATTACACTAAGTGAAATAAGCCAGACAGAAAAGTACTAATACTGTACAATTCCATTAACATGAGGTACCTAGAGTAGTCAAATTCATAGAGACAGAAAATGGAATGGTGGCTGCCAGAGGCGAAGAGGAAAAGGGAAGGGGTAGTTATTGTTTAATGAATACAGAGCTTCTGTTTGGGAAGATGAAAAAGTTCTGGAAATAGATGGGGTGACAGTTGTACAACAATGTGAGCATACTTAATGCTACTGAACTGTACAGCTAAAAATAATTAAAATAGTAAATTTTATGTAATGTTGACTTTATCACAATGAAAAGGGAATAAAGTTTTGATACATGATATGACATGGATGAACCTTGAAAACATTCTGCTAAGTGAAATAATCCAGACATGAATAGACAAATATTGTATGATTTCACTTATACGAGGCACTAGAATAGGCAAATTCATAAAGACAGCAAGAATAGTGGTTACCAGGGGCTGAGGAAAGGGAGAAATTGAGTTATTTTGTTTAATGAGTTTCCATTTGGGATGATGAAAAAAGTTGTGGAAATGGATATTGGAGATGGTTGCACAACGCTGTGAATGTACTTAATGCCACTGAATCATACACCTAAAAATGATTAAAATTGTAAATTTTATGTTACATGTATTTTACCACTATAAAAAAGTAATAGGTGCATAAGTTAAAAGCATCACACACCAGAAAATTATAGAAAATGAGAAGGGAAACCTCCTTTTTCCTGTCCTCCTCCCCTTAACAAATACCAAGTGTTTGTAGTGGTTGTCTCTGTAATTCTAAATCATTGATGTAACTCTCTATACCTTGATTGTTCCTCTGTAGTGTCTGCAACCTCCTCTCAAAGGATGAGGAATTGACTGCACTTCCACTAAGTCCTACCAACCCTCTGCTTCTGTCTCTTGATATTTGATAGTTACATCATACTTTGGATTTTCCAGTGGTTAACTTTTAGCTTTAAATAACATACTTAGGCTTTTATCTCCTTAAATTTTTTAAATATGGAAATTTTCAAGCATATACAAAAGCAGAGAAAAGACTACAGTAAGCCTCTATATACCCAGCCTTCTGCTTCTATTACAAACTCATAGTCAACTTGCTTCATCTGTATCTCCACGCACTCCCCTCCACCAATTATTTTGAAACAAATCTTAGACATTGTATCATTTTATCTACATATTTCAGTATGTATGTCTTAAAAAAATAAGCATTCTCATCTAGGTCAATGCCATTGAGAAAGTCTTCAAAGTGTACAATGAAGCTGGTGTGACCTTTACATAGATGGATCGTGGCTGACTTCCTCACTACCCTCTTCACCTGTAACTTCTGCAGACCTATCACAAGTTTACATGTAACCACAGAAATCCCTTTCCCTCCTGACTCATTAGATAATGGATACCATTCTCAACAAGTCAATCCAAATCAGCCCCTTAAGGAGAAACAAATTAAGGTTAGGGGATCATGTAAAAGCTGAGTGTGAAAGTAGAAATCACCTACACCAGAGAGCCATTTTGGTATTTTGCCTTTAAACTCTCCTCCATCTCCATCTGGCTGTGCAGTCTTGCTCTGTGGCTTTTCCCAACACAATCAGTGCTATTGCTGGGGAAGGGACAGTCAAGAGCAGTCAGTTGCTCTGGACAAGTCTGGGACATGCTATAACTTTAGCATATTTAAGAAGTAGGGGTGTGGCATTTTCGGAAGGTGGCATAGTCCTCAAGTGAGTTCTTAGTATTTTATATCAGCAAAATAACTCAATTTTACAGGTTGCAAACAAATATAAAAGCTGTTTCTATTTATGAATTTTATCTTTCAGAATAAAATAAGTACATGCTGCTGTAATAAAATTGCCTTTAATCACTTAACAAGCCTAACCTTGACTCAAACAGTGAATGCCTATAAAAATAAGAAATTTTAAAAACTAGTATTTTTATATCATAAAACAATGTCATTTATAACTTATCAGTCATGCATTGTTGTCCAGCAAACATTAAAAGCCCTGTGGATAATTATCTTCATACTTGCAAAAATGATAGAGGCTATTTTTGTTAAAACTGTCAGAATTTGCTAACTATGACACATGGGCCAAAGAAAGCAGTAACCTCCTTATCATGTTAACCAATTGTTCTCTTTTGAAGATCTATTGTTGACTAATTGAACAATAATCAAGTGGAGTGTCCCAGAAAGAAACCACTTGGGCTCCCTGTTTGGAGTCTGGCTGGCTCTGAGCATTGCCAATGGCCCCTACTCGCCTGACTTTGTGTCCTCTCCTTTTAGAGGCCTTGCGTTCTGCAGCTAGCTTCATTAACAGTGGGCTGAAAACAACTTTGGGTTGAGTGTTTCGTTTGGGAGTTATTTGGCCAGGGCCTTTAGAGCAGTAGTGTCCCAATGAAGTGCTAGATAATAAATGTGTACAAATCAGTTCTTTTTTTTTTAACTATAACTCCCTTTCAGAAATTTCTAACTACTTTGTAACTGCATTACTTAACCTGGTGATAAAAGCAGTTATTAAAAGTCTACATTTTCCAGGCCAGGCACGGTAGCTCATGCCTACAATCCTAGTGCTTTGGGAGGCCAAGGCGGGTGGATCACCTCAGGTAGGGAGTTTGAGACCAGCCTGACCAACATGGTGAAACCCCGTCTCTAGTAAAAATACAAAAAATTAGCCGGGCGTGGTGGTGCATGCCTGTAATCCCAGCAACTTGGGAGGCTGAGGCAGGAGAATCACTTGAACCCAGGAGGCGGAGGTTGCAGTGAGCCGAGATCGCGCCATTGCACTCCAGCCTGGGCAACAAGAGCGAAACTCCATCTCAAAAGAAAAAAAAAAAGTCTACATTTTCCAAAAATAAAAAAACAAAAAAAAGGATGCTCAAGAAAGCATAACCTCAATGCCATTACCACACCTAAAAAAAATAATTCCTTAATAGCCAGTGACTATTGAAATTTTACTCTCTTTTTCTCTGTGTTCAAAGATGTATCTAAATACAGTCCTTATACTACAATCAATTTACACGTCTCTTTAGACTCTTAATCTATAGGTCCTCACTCTTCTTTTTCTTCCTATGGCAATATTATTTATTGAAGACACTGTGTTATTTGACTTGTAGAGTTTCCACCATCTGGATTTTGATAATTGCAACTCAGTGGTGTCATTTAACGTGTTCTTCTATCCCTCAGACTTCCTATAAATTGGTAATTAGCTCTAAAGACTTGCTGAGATTGAGATTTAATTTTCTGGCTGGAATACTTTATACACAATGCTGTTGCCTTCCACCAGGAGGTACGTCATGTCTGGTTGTCTCTCTTTGAATTATTCCAGCAGCACTTGATGACTGTTGCCTTGATCCTTTCATTCATTAAGGGTAGCGATACCTGCATACCTATGTTTACTGCAGCACTATTCACAATAGCAAAAACATAGAATCAACCTAAGTGTCAACCAATGGATAATTGGGTAAAGAAAATGTAGTTTATGTACACTACATTTTCATAGTATATGAATGATATACTATTCATCCACAAAAAATAATGAAATTATGTCTTTTTCAGCAACATGGTTGGAACTGGACGTCATTATCTTAAGTAAAACAGGTCAAACACAGAAAGACAAATACCACATGTTCTCACTCATAAGTGGGAACTAAATAATGTATACACATGGAAGTGGAGGGTGGAATGATAGACAATGGAGATTTGGAAAGGTGAAGGGGTGGAAGAGGAGTGGATGGAGAGAAATTACTTAATGGGTACAATGTACGTTATTTGGGCGATGGATACCCTAAAAGCTGACTTGACCATTATGTAATCTATGCATGTAACAAAATTGCACTTATATTCCACAAATGTATACAAATACAAATAAATAAAGAATGAAAAGGGTAGTGATCTTCTCTCAGTCCTTATTTCTTTAATAGTTGAAATGCTTCTCTAGAAAGAATTTCTCCTTTGATTATTTGGTTATCCTAAAATACAGAAAAAGCAGAAATAATTGCTTGATTCTTAATTCCTTTAAAACTTGTTTCATTACCGGTTTTTAAATGATGAGTTTGTTCCCTAGCTTCCTCTAATGGTTATTGCTGAGTTCCTTTTTCATTTAGTATCACGATGAACTCATGTTTGATGTGTTTTAGACCCTTGCATTTCAATTCTTATTGATGTTCAAATTGTCCCGTCTTTGGCCAATGAAAGCGTTTTCAAGTCATTCCCAATTCCCTCTGACCTCAGGTCTTTGGCACTTTCCTCATTTTCTGGTATGAATAGATGGTCCAGGCTCATGGGATACATTTGTGGGTGCCACAGGCCTGGATTAACTATTTCTCCAAGAAGTTATGTTTACTTTTGGTAGAAAATGGTAGTGAGAGATTATAATTAGGGCATTTAAGTGTCCATTGATACTACTTTGTTAAATTTTAAAATTTTCAGTTTCTAAATTCATTGTTAAATTTTTATTTCCAAATTCATAACATTCAGACCATATTTATTCACTCCTTTCCCTAAATAAATAAGAAATTGACACACCTTCATTTTTCCTACTTTCTTCCTTAACTTTCTCAGCTTCTATCAGCTGTAACATTAATTTTAAATCTTCAAGATTTGTAACCTTGACACTTTGTTCTGTGACTATAAATCTCCCTCACTTTGTCTATATGCTGATTATAAAGCTATAAAGCAAAAAATGGCATTTGCAAGGTTACAGTGATATAAATGTCATCTGCTGATGAACCCCCCAAAAGTATGACTATGTTCATAGGAAAAAAAATGTTATCTTATTTCACTAAACTGGGCCACTTGGAGGAAACTTTGTAATCCTCACGGCCAAATGGATTCTTTTTAAAATTAAAATCAAGTGCTCAATATTGGGCCACTTTTAATTCTGCTTCATGTTTGTACTCTGATGTTGTACAGCTACTTATGTTCCCTGGAGTTTCTAGCTGTTCTACTTTTGTTGCTGTTGTTGACAGAAGAAACATATGCTCTCATCTGATCAGAAATTTCTAGGTTCCTAATAATAGAATTGCATAATGAAACCCACTTGCATTTAAAGACATACATGGTGAGTCTTTTGGTACTTCTCATTTTAGTTTTGAACTATTGTTTTCTAGACCTGCTGCAGAGTTTCCAGCTAAGATTTATTTCCATTGCATTTCTTGGTTAATTTCACTTTTTGCTGGATCATAGATATTCCTCTTTCTTGGATTCCTGTTTTGCTGTGATGGAATACATCATCAGATACTTTTTTTTATTCTTCAAAAAGGTTATGGAAGACAAATTTTCTGATTTCTTCCTACCTGAAACTGACTTTATTTTTCTCTCCTATTTGATAGTTTGGCTGGGTATAGCTTTTCAGGTTTGGATTATTTCTTTCCTAGAACTGTAAGTGAATGTCTCTGTTGTCTTCTGGCTAGTGTTGTCACTTATAAATTTCATATCCATCTTTGTGACAGTTCTTCCTAGTAGGCTACCCACCATCCCATCTTTCCTTTTTCCTTCTTAACAAATGCCGATTTTGTTCAAGTACCAACACCACTGTTTAGAAAAAGGAAGGTCTCCTTCCTAGCCCTAGACAGGGATTCATAAATCATTTCACTGTAAATCCATTCTTCTCATCTGTGATTGATTTAGGAATATGCTTTTGGACATTTCTGCTTGAGGATGTGATGATTCTAAATCATTGCAGCCATCTTGTGACCATGAGAAGAAGGGCAAAATGTTAGACGTAGCAGAGAAACTAAAAGAATCTAGGTTATTGAAGATATAACTAAGTTGAATTAAATAGGCCTTAAAAATAGTTTATGCTGTAAAATTTTTATTTGTGGATAGATCTTAGATGGTCTTACTTTGAGGATTACTTTGCCTCTTGAAGAGGTTATTTTTATTATGATTCATAACTCTTATTTTGAATCTTTGGCACCTGAACTTGGCTGATCTTTATGCTAAAATAATTCAGGCCAAATGTTTCTCTGATTTCATTTTCATGGAGGGATAAGAAACTACAAAAAAAAAAAATGCCTCTCTACAATAAATCTGATAGACTTGCAGAACCGAAAAGGCTGTCAAGAGTTAATTTAGTCTATTGCCTTGACTCTGAGCAGGCCTGATGAGAAACTACCCCATAAAATTGCTTCATATGCTTTTCATAGACACAGAAATGTCATCACCTCCCTTGCTGTGGTGCATTCCAGCATATCGATGCCAAAGAGGGAGGCCACAGCGTCAGAGATTTATCCTGAAATAAATGTGGTGGAGTTTGTCCTAATAGGACCAGTTTTCACTAGTGAGTGGAGGCATTTCTTGCTTCAAGAAAATCAACTAATGTGGAAATTTATAAAATAGAAAGATACAAGGAAGCAAGAGTCTGAACTGCAGAATGACTTTGTTTTACAAGTTTTCCTAGAGTTTTCGACACAGAGCTTACCTAATGAATTAGAACCACAACTTAATTAAATCCAAAAAACTACTTATCTAATGGAAAATTCGTTTTAAGCAACAGTGCTATCACTGTTACAAAACCTCTTTATATGCAGCGGCTATGGGGGAGCCTTGACTTAGGGAGTGGCATTTGCCTTAAGTCTACACAAGGACTTTCCTGAGATGAGGACATGCTCAGATATCCTAATTCCTTCCACATGGAGGCTACGGCCATCTGCGGTTGTAAACCACGATTCTTTGGCATGCAAATCCCAGATGGTGCTTTGAATTTAAGGACCATATTGCATCCAGATTTCTATCACATGTGGTTTAATTTTTGTTCTTATTGTTACTCAACACACGGAGAAAAAAGTAGATAAATACATAACTAAAAGAAAAAAAGTCACTCAGAACCCCAAGACTGTTAATATTTTGGTATTTGTCCTTCCAGATGTTTTCTAGGCATATTCATTTGAATGTGGATGTTTATTTTTTCTTGCAAAAATGGGATTGTACACTATCCTTCGTGTCCGTGCTGTGCATGGCATGGCTCAGGGGTGACCTGGACATACGTATCTCTCTGACCAGGCTCATGGTCCTAATGCCATGGTTAGCTGCCATTCACCATCGTTAAGGGAAGGGCAAGGAGGCCATGGGACCCCAGAGTGAGCAGGTACTGCTCACCGAGGCTCTGCGCACATCATCTCTGCTTCTCACACCAACCCTTGGGGGTGATTCTTTTTTTGTTGTTGTTGTTCCCAGATGGAGTCTTGCTCTGTCACCCAGGCTGGAGTGCAGTGGCACAATCTCGGCTCACGGCAGCCTCCACCTCCTGGGTTCCAGCAGTTTTCCTGCCTCAGCCTCTCGGGTAGCTGGGATTACAGGCTCATGCCACCAGGCCTGGCTAATTTTTGTATTTTTAGTAGAGACGGGGTTTTACCATGTTGGCCAGGTTGGTCTCGAACTCCTGACCTCAGGTGATCTGCCTGCCTCGGCCTCCCAAAAAGGAGTGATTCTTTACTCTCACTTTGCAGATGAGGAAACTGAGACTGAGGCTGAGACAGAATTTAAACTCCCATTGATTTGGCTCCAAAGGCAGTGTTTTCTATGGCGCCACAGCTAGTCTCCAGCTAGTCAGCTGAAATGACTTCCAGACCAGAGGCATCTGAGGTGGAGACATCAGGGAAAGGAACATGCTGCTCACAGGACAGAGATGCTGGAGTTTTGCTCTTTAGTTCAGCTAAATCCGAGTTCTTGTCTGACGACCAGGAAAAAATTAAGCATGCGGACACATTGAAGGGTGAGGAGGGCAGAATTTATGAAGCAAAAGAAAAGCTCTCAGCAAAGAGAGGGGGTCTTGCAAGCAGGTTTCCAGCTCCCAAATTGAATACCAGGGCCCCCCAACATGAGCTGAAGAGGCCAGGCTCCTCCCCCTGCATAAGGTGACAATTCCTGGTGACTCCACCCCATTACCCCAGCACATGTGGGCCTCCAGTCTGCTGTGGGTGGACCCAGGCAGGCCCCTTGTGCAGGTTCCCTTACCTGCACAAAACTTCTGGTGTAAACACTTTTGGGGCAGGTCAGAGATTCTCTGGGGACCCTTCTCTATTTGCCTAGGCCTTTGTCTGCCCCCTGCCTCTACCAAGAGGAGCTGGAGATGGGGAGGGCCTATACTTACCTGCAAGGTACCTGGAGGAGGTGTCCAGGGCTGCTTTCTGTAATGTCAGGAGGCAGACACCAATGGCCAGGTTTTAAGCCTCGGTGGGAGAGGAAGGGCCTTCAGTAGATGAGTCAGGGGGCAGAATGGGTTCCCTTGTGCAGGGCTGGGCTGGGGAAAGCCTAATGAAGGGTGGTTTTTGCCCTCTAGCTTGCCCAGTCCCTGTAGCTGTCTCAGGAGTCCCAGCCCCACGGCAAGACTCTATCCTAGAGCACAGGTTTCCTTCCCGTCACATCACAACTCCCACAGCCCAGAAGTGGATGTCTCCAAGTATGTTCTCTGCTAGAGCTAACTAAATAAATGCATTCATATTGTTGGTTTTGGAGATTATTGGTTCAAGGGGTTTCTCCCAAATATTTGCATTTCAACAGCCTTGTTGATACTGGGTGCTGAAAATACAAAGATTAAGCCTCCTTCTCTTAAGCTCGTTAGAGTGGAAAAACAGACATTTCAATGAATGAGTGAGACACAAGGGGTTATGGTAAGATGTATGTGCAAAGGGTTCTGCTAGGTTTTTTTTTGCCCACGGAGAGAAGTGGATGAGTATAGGCCCTGAAGGAGATGTTCAAATGGGTATTTGAGGGATGAGTAAGAGATGTATACCAGGCTGAGGGGTCACTGGCAGGGAAGGCAGCATAATTGATGCCTGGAAACAATGATGGTCATTCTGCTCTGGCTAAAGTAGGCAGAGGCCAGGGGATTGGCCTAGTAGGACATCATAAGACATTTGGGCTGTTTCCTGTGGAAAGCTGGCGCCAAGAGATTTGAAATTGTTTGAAGCAGGGGAGAGGCCTAATCTGATTTGTGTGTTGGAAAGGTATTTCTGGTAACAGTGCGGAGGCTGGATGAGTCACTTGGAGAAAAGAAGACCACATTCCAGAGGGTTCCATGATGTGGACACTTTCAGCAGGTGGTGAGGGTGAGTTTGGGTCAAAGAGGCCTCTTCCCAGGATTCCAAGAAAGACTAGCTCTGGCCTTGGGGAAAGGAAGACAGCTGTAAGGAAATGCAGGACGTGGTGTCTGATCCTTGGAGAGGTTAGAGGGGGCAGTTTCACTCCACCACGCCAGCCCTTTGGTCCTCGGAGTCTCCCATTGGCACCCAAGGCTGGGGGTGACAGGTGGTTGGGGGGGGTACCGCCTTCACAGCTGCCTTAAAGAAACCTGTTATTCATGATCTCAGTAAATCCTGGGACTGGCCGGTGGGGGGCGTTGGCCTTTCCTGTGTTTGCTTCATAGGGGCCGTCAAGCTTTGCATGACTCTTCCACTTCCCGAGGTGGGGAATACCGCAGGAAACAGGCGCTGGGGTGATTTGGGGCCAGGAGGGGGTGTTTAGCCCGGAGAGAAAGCTGATCCCAGGCTTTGGGGAATCTTCCAGGGGTTGAGAGCCAGCTGGGGCGGGGCATGACTACTGAACATCTCTTGGGCCAAATAACTGGTTTTAAAATGCAGTTAAAGAGACAGGGGCATGTCCTGGTTAAGGACAGGGACTTTGCAGCCAGACTGGGAGTTCAAATCCTGGCCCTGCTGCTTCCTTGCTGTGTGCCTTAGGGAAGCCACTTTATTTCTCTGTGCCTTGGTCTTCTCATCTGTAACATGGGGGCAATCAGGATACCCACTTTGTAGGTTTGTTGCGAGGATTAAATGAGTTCATGCATCTGCAGCATTTAGTGCCGTGACAGCATCTGCCTCACTGCAGATGGGGGTGGCCTGAGCTCTCAGGAAGTCAATCCACCCAGGCACACCCTGGCCAGAGGCTCTTCCTTCCCTCCTCCAGTGTAGGCGGTAGCTGCACCCAGGAGGCCATCCTTCTCTCCCCCCAGTTCCTGCAGATGTCAGGACAAACAGGTGCCCAGACACACCCAATTAGAGTGCAAGGGGCGGCCCCCGCCCAGAGCCCTCACTGCCCAGACCATCCAACTGGACCCGAACCCCACCCCCACCAGATCAGCCCTAGCCTGGGACTTCAAAGTGGTTTATTTTGTTCCTTTTCCATTTGGATTCCAGGAATAGTTAATGGCGTGTGTTAGAGCAAAACAGCCATAACTTGCAGGCAGCGTTTCTCTCCAGATTAAACAGGTGCATAATCCCTCTTTAGCCAAGCTAAAGAGGCCGCAGCAGCTGGGGGCTCCCCATCTCTGTGGGCCCTTGCAGGGGCACTTTCCTCCTGTCTCTGATGCTCCCCAAATGTTCCTCTGTGCGGGGCCTCCCTGGCACCCCCAGTTGTCCTGGGCCACTGCAAACACCGTACTCCCTTACCACACTGAGCAAACCCACTTTGGTTGTGAGAGCCTGAGGTTAAAATAAAAAGTATTTCCCTGTTGGTATTGCTTTGGCTGCATGCACATGATTTCATGGGGGAATGTGTTAAGCCCAGTGGAAGCCGGGCCGGGACAGGTGCGTGGAGCCATCTAGGTGAGCTCTCCCTCTTCTCCCTCCCCTCCGAGGTGGCTCCCGGGTTAGGGAATGTTCCTGCATCTCCACAGGGACCATCTGGCGGAAAACCAGCCCAGCCCCACCCATGAGGGGCAAGGGTGAGACCTTGAAAGCCTTCTGCCCTGGTGTGGGCCGGGCGGCTCTCCTGGCCTGAGTTCTTTGCCAGCCTCTCTCTTCTGAAAGTTTCACAATCATGCTCTAATGGAAACAGCATGGTCAGAGAGGCTGGTGGCCCCTGAGATTGTGGCCGCGCAGTGATGGATGGGCCTGAGGACGGAGCGGTGGCCCACCTCCTGCTTGGCTCCAAAACGGAGCTGTTAGCACAGCCTGACTCAGATCATTTATCTCCAAGTCCCAGGGGATTTTTAAACAGCTGTGGAGTCGACCTTTTCCAGAGGGATCATGGTTCTGGCTTGTGGTAAGAAAAACACATACTGTCTGAACCCCAAAACCCAGGCCTGGATTCCTGGAGCTTTATTTCAGCATGGGGATGCTCCCATGCTGAACCTCCTCCCCAGTGTCTGGGCCATTCAAGCCGGCGCGGGGCTCAAACTCGGGACACATGGAGGTAGAAGGCATTTTTCTCTTTCCCTCCTCCCCACTGCCTCGTTTCTGTTAATCACCCAGGGGAGCAGGGCTTGGCAGCAACACATGGGCCTATCCACACCATCCCGCTGGCCAGGCAGCATCTTTCCACAGATGCAAAATCATTTTCTGTTCTTTCCCAGCTCTGCCCATGTCCCATGTCCCTATCTTGCCTCCCGCTTCCTCCCCTGCCTTATTTTCTGCTCTCCTTCCCAGGAGGTCTTGTTCCTGGGATGGCAGGAGTCCATCTGGGGTAGGTGCCCAGTCCCTGGTGCTGGCCTGAAGAAGACAAGTGCAGAGTGCACCGGCTGTGAGAGCAGCCCCTGCGCCTGTCCCTCTGCAGCAAGCATGGGCACATGGCGGCCTCCTCCTTGGTGTCCTTCTGTGACCTGCTGGAAGCCCAGCATGACCCTCGAGCACCTCATGGAGAGAGTTGGGGGGAGGAGAGGCTGGGTAGGAGCAGGGACAGGGCCTGGCCCTGCAGGAAGGGTGGGAGGTGGGCCTTGCTCACTCCGACTGGGAGGCCCTGGGTTCCCAGAGAAACCTGAGTGGGGCCAGGATGGACACAAAGTTCATAGTGAGGGAGACACAGACACAGGTGCCAATAGATGGCAACAAAGCAAAGACAGAGGAGGAGAGAGTCCAAGTACATGAACATCAGCACATCAGAAGGTGATCATCAGTGAGCCACAATGGCCAGAGAGGAACTGAGAGGGAAGTGGGAGAGTGGAGACACAGGGATAGGGGTGCAAGCCGCAGAGAGGCTGAGTGGGAGGGAGGAAGAGGGCGGAGGCTCCAGGGCCCCACACCCCCTGCCCAGCACCCCAGAGCCAACCTCACCACTGCCTGATGGGTCTGGACTCTGGGGAGGGACCTGGAGGCTAGGACCCCCCCAACACACACACACACACACACAAACACACACACACACACAAACACACACACACACACACACACACACACACACACACCCGTCCACACACCAACTTCCAGAAATGCCAGCCCAAGTTGGAGCCAAGGGAACAATGCTTTCCCCATCCACCCTGCCCACCTCAGGGCCCACCTGCAGAGAGGGGCCTCTTGGAGCTGGTGTGGGGGCCTCCCAAGCAGTTGTGTCCAAGTGAGTGGGAAGATTCTAGAGTTCATTAGATTCAGCTAAGGGCTCCCAGCATGCAGACATTGGCCTTCAGAAGATTCCCTGCTCTTCCTGCCTGGTCTGGATCCAGGTGGAGGGCACAGGGGCCTCTGGTGGACAGAGGACCTCAGGAAATCAGGACTAGCCTGGGGTGGTCCCAGCTGTGTCTGTGAAACTGGAGTGGTTTACCCCAGTAGGAGTTATGGAACCCAGTTGGGTATTCACTTCTGCATTGGTCTCTGAGCTGCCGCTACAGGGAGAAAATTTCAGTATTTCAATCTTGGGACTGTCAGGCCAGGTGTGATCTCCGAGGACAGCATAAGCAGGCTTCTTGGGGACATACTGCTCCTTGCTGGGACTTCCCTGGTCACCTCCTCAACTGAGTGACACCCCTGGTGAGGCCCAGCTGCTCCCCTCCCCTCAGCCTCCACCTCCATTCTTTCTCTGCCCCTCCCTTGTTCCATGTCCCTATGTCCCCTCCCTCTTCCTCCCTGCCTGTTTTTCTGTATCTCTTCCCTGGGATGCCTTGCTAATGGGAGGGCAGGATTGGGATCTGGGGTAGGTGCCCAGCCCTCAGTGCTGGTCTGAAGGAGACAAGTACCGAGCCCACAGGGTGTGGATGTGCAAAGAGAGGACCCAGAACTTAGCTCCTTGCACATTTACACAAACACATACACAAACACACTTACAGTCACTGTGCAATCATAACCACATTACAGAACATTTAGAAAAAAAGAGGAAAAAGTCTCCCCATTCCACCTAATAGAGCTGCTGCAACTATTTCCCTTTTCATATACAAATGCAATTTTAAACACAGTAGTAGTTTTATTCTCTATAAAATTGTGTGCCTTGTTTGTCTTAGTATGAAAATAAGATTTCATAAGAATTTTAGATGTGGTTGTATAGTCTTAACAATTATCATTTAAAATGAGAAATTGATATTCTAGGAAATCAATGTATCCTAGATAAGAGTCCCCCATTTTGTTTTGGACATTTGGGTGATTGCTGTTTTGTTGTTGCTGTTGTTGTTTTGCTGGCCCACAGAGTACTGCAATGGAGCTTCTATCGTATTTCAAATTTGTCTCTGGGACAGATGAACTACAAGTTTCTTGAGTCCTAACATGAGGCCAATGGGGGCCTCCATCTTCCAGCCCTCTGCCATCAGCCACAAGGGAAAGTGGTCCAGAGAGTGTGGGTGGAGCAGTGTCAATCCACCCCAATGCTGGGTCAGCTCAGCCCCTTCCTAGATGAAGGATGCTGCAGTCATTATGTTGTTGTAGCTTCTAAGTCATTGGGTTAACCGCTGAAGTAAAGCAAGTAATAGGCACACCATTCTCAGTTAGCTGAGCTTTGGTGATGTGGCCTCAGCTGGGGCTACTGAGATGGGTTTTAGGGGACATTTGTGGAGCTTTTTCAGTTATTTATGTTCTATTTTAGATTCCAGGGTACATGTTACATGGGTATACTGTGCAATACTGAGGTTTGAGCTTCTAATGATCTTGTTGCTCAAGAAGTCAACATAGTACCTGACAAGTATATTTTCAACCCTTGTCCCTCTCCTTCCATCCAGGGCTTCTGAAATGCATCAGGTGCCTCTCCAGGTGAACCACCTGCCTACCTTTCCCCCAGTTCTTAAACAGGAAGCAAAATTACAATGACAAAGGTACAAGCACAACATCTAACCCTTCCTTGAGTCTCACATTTTGTATGGCTCCTGTGCTTACGCAAGTTAATAAATGTGTATGCCTTTTTCCCTGTTAATCTGCCTATTGTCAGTTTAGTTCAGTAAACTTGAATCTTCAGGGGGGGAGGTGGCAAGAATTTATTACTCCTCGTTTGCCTGATAATCTAGGATCCCACATAAATATTCTGAAAACAATACCCCAAACTATGGTGCTTTGGGCTACTGAGCACTTTGAACTGAAGGAAATCAAAAGGCCTTAGACTTCAAGCCTCAGAACAAAGGATCTTTTAACCTTCCTCCCCTAAGCACACGGAGGGACTCTCTCTCTCTGGAAGTTCCCTTATCTGACTGAGAAAAATCTTCTTCCAAAAGAAATACAACTGTCTTAAGATTCCCTCCCTAGAAATCTTATCAAATAACCAGGAAAGAGTGACCACAAGAGAAAAGACCTGAAGTCATCACACCCAGATAGATATGTCATCTGTTCTTCTGAGGAAAACTCCTGGGAGACTTTATCTGCATAATAAGACAACCTCTGTTCACAGTGCAGTTCTGCCCCTTACCTTCCCACTACCTCCCCAGAGCTCAGAGGAACACTGTCCCAGGCCATTGTCTGTTCTTTGGGCTCATTCAATTCCCTTACAAATCATTTACTATTTCTCAAAATTGCCTATATCCCCTTTCTTCCCTCTTCCCTATGAAGAGGGTAGTTAAGCCTCAACCATCTGACCCTTCCCTCGAGACTCGTATTTTGTACAGCTCCTGTGCTTCTGCACATTAATACGTTTGTATGCTTTTTCTGTTAATCTGTCGATTGTCTGTTTATTTCAGTAGATTAAACCTTCAGAGGGGAGGGAAAATTCTCTTTACTCCTACAGTTCCTACCAGCAGCCGTGAGGGCACAGGGCCAGGTCTGGGTGCTGGCTGTGCTGTGTGCCCCAATGTAAGGCATTTCTCAGCTCCACATCTTTCACTTTAATTTAATTAAAACCCATAAGGAGATGTAACTCCCAGCAATGTTTGGCAATGTGGGACATTTGAAAATGACACAACAATCTAACAACAGAGGACACTCTGTGTCAAAATAATAGTGTAGAAACAATTTAGTGATGTGACATGCTATTTGTAATGCCTATTTGTGGGGAAAGCATAATCTGATTTTTAAATGAAAAATTACACACACACATACACACAAGCCTGGAAAGCTAACAATATACAATTAAATGTTAAGTGTTTCTTCTGGATGGTGAAGGGATGGATGGCTGATGGGTGAGTTTTATTGTTCTCTTTTTGCTTAACTGTATTTTCTCCTTTGCTATAATTAGCCTATATTCATTGTATAATTGCTTAAAAGATGCTCTTTATAGTACAATAATATCATTCATCCATGTTTTCTCACTGTCTTTCATAAATATGATTGTATTTGGTATCACAGTAACACAGGAATAAGGCCAGAACAGTATATGTTCTTGTGCTTTATTTTGTAGATGAGGAAAGGGAGGCTCAGGGAGTTGTCATGCCTGCCCATGGTCACCCAGCCTGTGGCTGGAGGAGCTGAAGTCCGGCCGGGACTCCTGATGCCTGGTTCAGGACTTGCCATGGCACCACGCTCCTTTGGGTGGAATTCTCACCCTCCAGACCCTCAGCTCACTGGCTCCAACAGCCATCCCTTAGACAAATTCCACTTGAAAGAAACAGCAGTTTCCTAATTTCTCCAATATTGACAAGACATCTGAAAATACATCTGACTCTTTCACTGCCCTGCCTAGAAGCTTCAGGGGCTCCTCCCGACTCCAGGGCAGGGGTTCTCAACTTTGGACATTCCAAGTTGGATAATTCTTTGTTGTTGGGGGCAGTCCTGTGCATTGTAAGATGTTTAGCAATATCTCCGACCTCTTTCCACTAGATGCTGGTAGCACTCCCTTGGTCCTCACCTACATACCGAATTGCATCAACCAAAAATATCTCTAGACAAAATCTCTCCCTACTGGAACCAGCCAAAACTCTTGGGCCTTCCACCCTGGCCTCTGGTTACTCCCACAGCATCTCCTTCCCCAGGCCCTGTCTCATGTCTGTTTGCTATATTTCTCCTTGACCCTACAGCCTCCTGTGCCAGCACTTCACTAAGTGTGTGGAAATCACCCAACATATTCTGTCTCCCCAGCAGAGTGTGAGCTCTTGAGAGCAGGAACTGTGTAATTCT
Organism: Homo sapiens; assembly: GCF_000001405.40. Lineage (NCBI taxonomy): Eukaryota > Metazoa > Chordata > Mammalia > Primates > Hominidae > Homo > Homo sapiens. The sequence goes on along the minus strand of NC_000010.11, from coordinate 31,613,657 downwards.
CAGCTTCAAACCCCTCATGGCCTGGTCAGGGGACACTGTATCTACTGTAAATACTTCACAGACACCTGGGCTGGAAGGAAGGAGCAAAGGAGGAAAGGAAAGAGGGAAGGAGAGACAGTTACTTATTGTGGTGCAGTAATTTATGGACATTTTCATGATCTAGTGATCTAGTTCAATATATTTGTTTTGAAAGGTGTGTTTATGCTTGGCCAAGTCTTTTTTCCTTTGAATTATAAGGGGGCTATTAAAGGGAGCCACAGCCAAACTTGTCTCCATCAACCAGGGAAATGAAGAGAGTGGATGATTCTGTACTTACAGCAGCAGCAGCAGCAACAGCAACAGCAGGGGCCATGGCAATGTAACAGTTAATGACAGTGTACTTCCCAGGCCTCTCTCTCTTTGAGCCTATTTCCTAACTTTAAAATGAGAATAATAAAAATGCCCATTTTCGTATTAGTAAACTGGTACATGTGGCTCACCCAGGACAGTCCTGTGTACGTAAAATGTTCAGCCCAGGTTAATTGAGTCCAAGTCAAAATCTGAACACTAACGTCTGTAGGACCCTGTCCAGAATCCCTGAAAAATGGGCCATCATCTAACCAGCTAACCAGCCACTGAGGCACTGCATTTCTGCATTTCTCTACCCAAAGGCAGAAGCACAGGAGACAAATACATCCAGCGTCCATCTAGAAAGGAGCTGCCAGGTCCTTTTCTCTTATTGCTTTCTTTTGTTACAACCATTAGTGGCTGCTTTTCTTGAGTTGACATTTCTAATATCTCAGGGGTGTTTTGTTACTTTCTACCTGTTTCTTCCCTGGGTTATTCTTTGGTTCATTCAGGGCTTTCTCCCAGGTGATTGGATCCTTCCTGTGCCGGGGTGTGTTGGGTTGACTTGGGCCATGGGGTGGCTGAAGCTATGTGTTGGGAACAAGATCTCCCACAGTGGCACCACATAGGTGGCATTTCATTTTGGAATCCACTGCTACTCCTCTGATTCTGGGACTTGGTTCTGAGGAAGTGGCAGTAATGGTAGCAGCCATAAAAGCCCCTCTGTCCGGCAGGGTATCAGTGATACCTTTGGGTTCCTTTCCCTCCGGGAATGCTGCCATTGCTACTGCTGTGGGTCTGAAATCACCAGCGTGGAGTCCAAAGACATAAACATGAAATTTCCTGACTGTAGCACTGCAGGATGCTCTTGAGGAGACTGGCCCAGAAAAAAATATCCAAGGTTTCAGCCTCTGAAAAAGCTGTGCTTCCTCTGAACAAGGGCTTCGTTTTTGTCCTGTGGACAGGAAGGCTCTGGCAACTATTTTCCTTATTGCTTATGCTGCTAGGTAGCTTAGAGTCAAAATCGAGTGCCACCTCTCTGCATGTGAGCCATATCATTTGGTATGCATTCCTGTGAGGTCATCTAACCATTATTTTCCTATTCATGTTCCCCTTCCATTTCTCAATGGTTTTTAACGTTATTATTCCGAACAAAATCTCCTTGTGTGAAGTTCACAGAATTGTTTCTGAACAATCAGCAACCTGGGAAATGAGCATCCCTCTGCCCCATTGTCTCCACACCATAGCTGAAGGTTGCAGGATTCAGCAGCCCAAACAGCTAGGATTGCTGATGTTGTGTTCTCTGTGTTTGTTTAAAATCCTGCCTTTGGTTTATTTTCTTTCAGTCCCAAGTGAGGCTGCGTCTCATAGCCCTTTCTTAAGGCCCTCCCTCCCTTTCCTCCTTCCTTCCTTCCTTTCCTTCCATCCCCTGCTAATTTGGGGGCAGAGAAGAACTGAGATCCCACTAATAATGAGCAGTTGTTGAAATTCTGGGAAAGGCTGGGGATTGCACACTGCTTTATCTTCTAGAAACCCTCAGGAGGCTGCTTGTATTCATTCTCATTTCCCATTCTTACCCTATTTTTGGTATCTTCCTCTTTTTGCCTCTGAGACCCTCCTTCTCTGGTTTGGGGTTACCTTTGGGGCTCCCAGACCTTGACCATACTCTAGCCTGGGTACTTCCCAGGACTGAACTCCACTGTTCATCCCTACCTGGGCTACTTCAATTGTCACTACCCTTATGCAAATCAGCCTAACAAAGATGGGTCTCGGTGTTATATTTGCCCACTTTTTTTCCTAATGGTGGCCCGATTACTCTAGGTTCCTCTCTGCTTTTGTGAACCTGTTGTCCCTCTGGCTACCACAGACTCTAAACACTCTTCATTCATTGATGCCATAAGTGATTAATCTCTGGCTCATTTCCTCCCATCTCCCCCAGAGTGTGTGCAGTGCCCATTCATCAAGATGCCCAGATAATTGAAGCAATCCACCTTCATTCGGGCCATGCTCTGGGCAGTGACGCCAGCCTGGCGATCTGCGGTGCTCAATGTGATTACTGTTTCTTAGTGAATCCCTGGGGCTCCTCAGCCTCCTGCAGAACCGCATCACCTTGAATGGCTTTTCTGTAAATGCCTCCCCTTCCTCTCCATCAAGTCCTTCTGTGGATTTTAATCTTAGGTTGGCTTTAGCAATACACAGTCCTGACTTACATTTTTTGACATTACAATGGTGCAAAAACAATATGCATTCAGTAGAAATTGTACTTAAATTTTGATTTTTGATCTTTTCCCAGGCTAGCGATATGTGGCGTGGTACCCTCTCTTGATGCTGGGCAGTGGCGGTGAGCACAGCTCCCAGTTAGCCATGCGATCATCAGGGTAAATGACCAATACTGTATTCTACAATGTACTGTATTCAATAAGTTATATGAGATATTCAACATTTTCTTATAAAATAGACTTTGTGTTAGATGACCTTGCCTAACTGTGGGCTAATGGAAGTGTTCTCAGCATGTTTAAGGTAGGCTAGGCTCTGCTATGATGTTCAGTAGGTTAGATCTACTACATGCATTTTCTACTTAGAGTGTTTTCAACTTGTGATGGGTTTATTATGAGGTGACCCCATTGTAAGCGGAAGAGCATCTGTAGTCTTACCATGACCCTGAGATGAATTGTTGTCATTGAAGAACCAGGCAGATAGGATGGGCTTAAACTGTGGTTTGAGGGAGTTGAGTTGGCCATTAGAAAAAATTTTTTCTCTGAAGGTGGAGAAACTGAAATATACTACTAAGAAGGGTGGTGGTATCTTTTTAAGAAAACTCTAGGGAAAGGGGATAAAGCCAGTCTCTCTTGAGAGACTGCCATTAGAAAATTGAATGGCCTCTTCCCCGCCTTCCTCAACACAAGGAAAATTCTTAGAGCTGGAAGAGAGCTGCGCAATCATCTATTTCAACCTCCCTCTCAATGTCAATCTTGGAATATCTTAACCTATCATGAATCCTTCCTAATTATTCATGTATTCACTCATTTTACAGATATGTGTGACTCAGGACACCATGTTGTCAGATCTTCACCATCCTAAGCACAATGTAACAACCCATAATGGCTAAGTAGTGTCCCGGTAACATGGAGGAATGAAAAAGTTGTGTAAATGGCATCAAGATTGTCTTAAGATTATCAAGCTAATAGAAGCAATAAACATCACCAGTTGTTTTAGGATTTATTCTTCAAGGGAGGGTTTGCACTTAAAGGGACATTATCTCTTCCAACTAATACCAATGAACAAGAGTAATGAAACAAAGAGGCATAATTTCTACCACCAGAAAACTCTTACATATGTAGTTTTTAAAATGTACACTATGCAGTAAAAGATACGAAATCCAATATTAGACTAGGTATGTAAAATCAGAAATATTTTTCTCCAGAGACCCAGAGAACTTGAGGTAGTCATTGTCCTCAAAGCCCTTTGCACATCAAGATATGCAAGGTCCAACTGCTTCACTTGGAATTCAAGTCTTCCAAAATATAGTCCCAGCTTTATGTGCTACTAAAGATCTGCATTCAACCTTTCAAGGTCCTTAACACTGATATGATTATGATGTCTCACCTCTATCCTCCATAAATATAAAACAGGATCACAAGCATAGGCAACAAAAACAACACTAGACAAATGGGACTATGTTGAACTAAATAGCTTCTGCACAGCATCTACACACAATCAACAGTGTGAAGAGACAGCCTGGTGAATTGGAGAAAATATTTGCAAACTATTAATGTGACAAAGGACTAATATCCAGAATGTACAAGGAACTCAAACAACCCAACAGTTGAAAAAAAACCCATATAATCCCATTAAAAAGTGAGCAAAGGACATGAATAGACATTTCTCAAAAGAAGACATACAAATGGCCAACAGGTACATGAAAAAATGCTCAACATCACTAATCATCAGGGAAATGCAAATCGAAATCCACAATGAGACATTTTCTTACCCCTGTTAGAATGGCTACTATTAAAAAGACAAAAAAAAAATAGTAACAGATGCTGGCAAGGATCTGTTGGTGAGAATCTAAATTAGTACAGCCATTATGGAAAACAGTACGGAGATTTCTCAAAAAACTAAAAATAGAACTACCATATGACCCAGCAATCCCACTATGGGGTATTTTTCTAAAGGAAAGGAGTTCAGTACATCACAGCATACCTGTGCTCTCAGTTTACGACAGCACTATTCACAATAGCAAAGATAGGGGATCAACCTAAGTGTCCATCAATGGACAAATGGATTAAAAATGTGATATAAATACACAAATAGAATACTATTTGGCCATAAAAAAGGAATAAAATCTTGTCATTTGTAGCAACATGAATGGAACTGGAGGTCATTATGTTAAGTGAAATAAGGCTGTCAGAGAAAGACAAACATTGCAAGTTCTCACTCATATATGGAAGCTAAAAAAAGTTGATCTTATGGAGGTAGAGAGGAGAATGATAGATACCAGATGCTGCGAAGGTGTGCTGGTGGGGAAGGGGATTAAGAGAGTGCTTAGTTGGTGGGTACATACAGTTAGATAGGAGGAATAAGTTCTAATGTTCTATACCACAGTGGGGTGCTATAGTCAGTAACAACGTATTGTCTAGTTCAAAATAGCTAGAAGAGAGAACTTGACATGTTCCCAACATATAAAAATGATAAATACTTGAGGTGATGTCTACCCTAAATACCTTGACTTGATCATTCCACATTCCATGCATGTAACAAAATATCACATGTACTCCATAAATATGTACAAATATGTGTATCAATTGAAAAAAGGAAAAAAAATAACATAAATGTAAGGAAGTCCAACTGTGTTCTGATTTTGCCCATAATGTTTTCTTGATACGTTTTTAAAACATCAAATAATAAATTTATAAACAAAATATTTTGTTAAATGAGCACTGTCCACTATAACCCTCCACTTGGTCCAGTCTGATTTCTATCCCAAGCTCAAGATTTTGTGAGCTCTTGGGCTTTCTTCACGCCTAGAATCTCCCTCTCTCTCTCTCTCTGTCTCTCTCTTTTTCTACTCTGGAAATACAGCTCCTAACTTTTACTTAAGGCCTTGGTCAATTTTCAGACCAGCATCTACCACCAAGACCCTTCCCCAACAAGGATGCCTCCATTGATTACTCCTACAGGGAAAGCTCTGTGATCTCCTGGAGAAACTGGTATCCACATCTCTTAATAACATGCCACTGGCTGGGCGCGGTGGCTCATGCCTGTAATCCCAGCACTTTGGGAGGCCGAGGCAGGCAGATCACCAGGTCAGGAGTTCGAGACCAGCCTGACCAAGATGGTGAAACCCCGTCTCTAATAAAAAAATACAAAAATTAGCTGGGCATGGTGGTGGGCGCCTGTAATCCCAGCTACTCAGGAGGCTGAGGCAGGAGAATCACTTGAACCTGGGAGGTGGAGGTTGCAGTGAACCGAGATCATGCCATTGCACTCCAGCCTGAGTGACAGTGTGAGATTCCACCTCATAAAAAAAAATAATAACATACCACTTTGTGACATACCTCACGCTGTTACTTCATGCTTGAATTTCATTTTTTAAGTGTTTCTGTGTTGTTTTTCCAATGAGCATGTGGGTTTTTGAAGGCAGGACTTAGGTCTTACATTTCTGTGTCTCTCCTCTTGATGCTGCCAGATACATAGACAACACTCGCATTCCTACAATGCCTTAAGTACTTAAGTTAGTACTTCCCAATTTGAGGAACAAAGCAATTCATGTTAGAAGAAAAAAATTATCTGAATCTTTGAGATTACACCCCAGTTTTGAAATATTGCACCAAAAGTTGGTGATTACTTGGGTGCCAGTGGAATGGCAAATTAAAATGCATGATCAAGCACTGATTAACATTAAAGTGAAAATACAAAAATTAAATGTCTCAAAAACTCTTAGACTCTCAACAATATATTCTCAACCCTTTCTTCCATCCTATACCGGCTCCCCACCACTCCCTTCCACTGTAATCCAACTTTGAGAGATACTGAGCTAAGTCTTGAGAGCTGTTATTAAAATATCAAAATAACTCACCTGTGAATGCCTTAGCTCCAGTAATCTCATTAGATCAGTCAGCCCTCCCTTAGCAGTGCACCAGGAGAGGAGACACAGGCCAGTTGCATTTTTATGGCAATGAGAGGCAGGTTGGAAAAGTCTAGAGCTTTAGATCCTGATTGCTTCTAGTACAGCTTCTGCAGGTCAAGCTTTTCTGCATCAGGTCAAGAACCAGCAGGAAAACCATCAAGTGCAGTGGGAGTTTTGAGAAAGAGGAGGTGGTTACTGATGCCAGATGCTGCAGACAAGTAACATAAACACAAGAAATTGGACATATTCTGCAATGCACTCCCTGTCAAGAGAGTAGCCTCAGGAAAATGGGAAGAAGAAATGGAGCAAGATAGCAGCAGCAGATTGGGCATTAAGTAGGAGGTGAGAAAATAGAGATAGTGAGTAGAAGGGAAGGGCAGAAGTTGAAGAGGGTCAGAGATGAAAGAAAGTCTTTGCTTATTCAGTTTTTGGGCAGGAAGATGAACATATGTATTGCTGAAATGACTGAAGATTCTAGAGAAGTGGTGGAAGTGATGGAACAAGGGTCGCCAGGTGAGGCTGAACCAAGGGTGCAGGAGAAGGAATTAGCCACAGGCAGGCGGAGGGAAATTCTCTGAGAAGCAGGTAAAAAGGCCTTTGACTGTACCTGGCAGGAACCAATTTAAATCTATTAAAACAAAACAAACAAACAAACAAACAAAAAACAAACAAAAAAAAAAAAACAAGAGCATGGCTGGGCCCCAGGACCACCTGGACCCAGGACTTTTCTCTTCACATCTGTTTCACTCCAGTCTCAGCCCCCGCAGGTCCTAGTTTCTTCAGCCTGGTGGAGAAACAAGGCTGCCATCAATTCCCAAATGTTTATCTTCACAGTGACAGCCATGGGAGAAAGGCTGCACTAACCTTCTTGGCCTCAAATCAAAAACTCTAGAGAAAGGCTGTCACTGGGCCATCTTGAGTATTTATTTATTAGCTTGTTTGCAGATTTTAACTGAACATTCATTACTTTCAATTTTCCAGCTTTATTTTTTCAAATAAATTTTATTGTGCATATTTGACATTTACAACATAAGGTTATGGGATGCATTTGATAGTTACTATAGTAAAGAAAAGTAACATGTCTCTCATCTTGAGTATTTTAGGAGTCCAACCATGGGTCAGTGAATTCTGGCTAATTCTGGCTGTGGACAGGAAGTCCTATGTAAGCACATGTCAGCATCCAAGGGTGCCTCACAGATGGAGTGGAAGGAGAGGCAGTTTTCATTGAAGAGGGAGGGTCTGGTCAACAGATAGGTATCCATCCACAAATTTAGTCTGGAGGTGGAGAGTTCAGAAAATCTGAGAGGTTCGTATCTTAAGTATTTTTTTGTTTGTTCAGTTGGTTTTGATTGTTGTTGCTATTGGTGAAGTTAGGGTCTTTTCCAAGAATTAGGGGATAGATGACGATTCGGGCTACAAAAGGTTTGGAACTCTATCATGTGAAATGAGAACACCAACATAAGGACTGAGCAATGTTGAGAAGCAGCAGAGGGTAGAAGGCATAACTGTGTCACAGGATCAACCCAGACTTATTCATGTAATGAATGTTACTGATGGCTATCTCTAGTATCATCCAGTATCCTGGACATAGTAGCGTGAAAACACAGTTGGGTTGATCCAAGGTTGGAGAGTGGAAATATAGGTTGTTCTGGGCATGGCAGCGGGAACAAAGGAGCTGAGGTGGGAGGAAGGGCTGAAGTAGGGGGGATCTACCTGCAGAAGAAGACTGTGAGATGACCAGCACAGGGAAGAGGACAGAGAGCTTGGGACACAATTGGGAAATGGTGACAAAAGCTGTTGTGTCTCAGTGGTGCCTCTTACGATGCCCAAGGGAGATGACCCCTCAGGAAGAATGAGCACACCCTGGTGTGCTCAGGAAAGTTCCACGAAATTATCAATGGCACCTCTTTCTGTTATTGAGAGATCTCCAATTTGGATGCTGAATCATGTGGTCTGTCCACCCAATGCCAGGTCTGAAGCGATCGAGGAAAATGGCCTTTCGGGATGTCAACTTTGTGTGCTGCAGCCCCAGACCCATTGGCTGGAAGGAGTAACCCTGGCTTTCCACCTGCTTGTTCCTACCTCTTGTTTCTACCAAGGGAAACGGAGACTCCTTCAAAGTCTCCAGCACCTGCAGATTTGGAGTCTGAAGAGAAAGGGTCAGAGACAGAAACAAAGCCACCCTGGCCTGGCCTGCTGGCTGACTGCAGGGAAAGCCCACATACACTTGAGGCAGAAGGGAATGGCAATGGGCATGAAAATACTGCCCATACCCAAACTGTGTTCCCTGAGGCCATCCGATACACCCAGGGTGCTTCAGGGCAGTAAGTCCCAGAAACCACATGCAATTTCTGACCACACACTTCAGCTTTTCTTGGCATGAAAAAGGCAAGGGCCATGCCTGAATGGTTTTTGTATCTCCCACAGCGAAGACCAATGTCTTGCCCACAGTAGATTCTCAGTACATACTTACATGATCAATGGGATGTCCTTTTCAGGGCAGATTAGAATGGTCCTGTCTCGGGACAGGTGCCTCAGTTGGTGGCCTTGAACCTGGCTTGTAGACCTAACTGTGCAAGAATAGACCACAGGAAATGGAGCAGCTGAGGATGGGGGAGCAAGTTGGAAGGAGCTGGGGTGGAGTTTTTTCCTGACCCCAGCTGGTGATCAGCTTATGCCCTAAAGCAGAAGGATTAATAACCAGGGTAATTTTATCCCAGTCAGAATGTAACTACAGATGTGGGCTTATTGGGTGAAACAGCTAATCCCTTCTCCATTTGGCTCACTTGTGAAATACGATGAAATACGATGCCTGGGGCTATCAAAGCACGATTTCCTCCTGGGCCTGCTGCTGTGTGCAGCCCCACTCTCCTGGGCGAGAGGACAGCTGTCCGTGGACAGTCTTTTGGGCTCCTGCCTATTGGATGGACTGACTCTGCCGCTGACTGAGGGTGGAGGGGAAGGGAAGAGGCGTGTGGGTGGGTGTGTGTCTGTGGACTCGGGGAGGGGAGGGTGGAGTTGAAGGAAAATGTCAGGTGTTGGAGCGGACAGGCGCACGGAGACGCTGGAGGAATAAAAGACTCCTGGAAAAAACCTAAGATTCATTGCAACCCCAAGTCCCGAAGGCTAGAGGGATGGGGAGGCAACAGGAGGAGGGCGTGAGGCTAAGGGGGCACACCTGGTTGTACACGTGGCCCAGATCGGAGCCAGCAGGCCTCGGGTGCTGGCCACGGGAATTTGCAGCATGACCATAGTGGGAGGCTCTAAAGCCAGGAGAACTCAATCAAAGAGCTGCTGCTGATGGAGCAAAGATGAAAGGGTTTCCAGGCCAGCCAGTGAAACCCTTGGAGTTTTTCCCCGGGCAACCACCCTGGGGCGAGTAACAGGAGATACGGTTGGTGCCGAGGTCTGGGAGTCCAGTGCGGCAGCGGGAGGGAGGTAGGCTGGGAGTCCCGTGGGGCTTGAGGAGTGGGCGGGGCCCCGGGCGACGGGGCGTGGCCCCCTGAGCCGTCCGGAGGCCGAGCGCGGAGAACTCGAGAAGGGGCGGGGCCGCTGAGCGGTCCGGAGGCCTAGCGCGGGGAATCCGGAAGGGGCGTGGCCCCCTGAGCAGTCCGGAGGCCGAGCGCGGGGAGTTGGGAAGGGGCGTGGCCCTGCCCGAGCTGGCGCCAGGGAGGCTCCCACCTGCCAGGGGTTGTACATGGCCGCCCTCCCTCCTCCCGTGCTTCCCCGGGCGGGTCTCTGCGCGCAGTCTCCTGCCGGGCGTGGCCAGCCTTGCAGCTCATCCCCCGGGGTTGGCCGGGTGGTCTCCCCCCGCACGTCCCCGACTCCCAGACGCCTTTCCGCGGGGTGCGCCCGGGGCGCTGGAAGCCTGGATCACTTACGCCGAACGGCCCGGGCTCCCCGTGCCCCACCTCTTCTTCGCCCCTCGCGTCTTTTCCGTCCCAGGCTGATGGAGCAGGCGAGGTTAAAGCTTCGTTCCAGACACTTTAAGAAATGTTCCGGGGTTCTTGGAAGTTGTTTAGGAAAAGCAGAGTGCCTGGCATCCTCATCCAACGCTCCCGAACTAGAGACGGCATCTGGCTTGAGGGGTCGTGGTGGGCGGGCGGAAAGGCAAGAATGACCAGGGGCTTTAAATAAAATCTTTCCCATTTTTCCCTTTTCCTCTGACCTTGCCTCCATAATTAATCCTCCCACTGTCCCCAACCCCCAAGCCCAAAGAATATAGAGACTAAAGCCCCTTATCCCAGAGGGCTAGGTGAACCCCCGGGGTCCTCCGGCTCAGCCTGGGAGCCCAGGCAAGGATTTCGCTTCCAGGGCGGGCTTCAGGGTTGGGAGGCGCACATCGCCATGGCAACGAGTTCTTCCCGTGGGAATAAGAAACTCCCGAATGTGGAGCAAATTGGAAAGGGACCTTCCAAGAGCCAGCTGGGGCTCCAGGCAGGCAGGGTAAGGGGAGGTGGTCTGTAGGGGGTGGGGATGGGGAGGCACAGCTGATCCCAACCCGCGACCCTGATTATGGCGCCAGAGCTGTGCGTGTTGCCTCTGAGTCAGATGGGGCCACACATGCTGGACACGTGACATGACATGCTCTCCCATGGCTGCCAGTTGGCAGATGTGTTTGCTGACTTGCTTAGAACAGCCACTGCCTGGCTAAGTGGGACAGTTCCCTTCTGTGGGTCTGTTCCAACCTCCCCTTGGTGGTGAGACCAATAGCTCCTGTTGGGAGAACGAGTTTGAGCTATGAAATTCAGTTCTCTGGCGCCGAGGCCATTGATTTCTAATTACAATTTTTTTTCAAGTTTCAAAAATTTTAAAGTCCCAAGTTATATATGTATATATTCCAATTCAGAAAGGTGTAAAGAAGAAAAGGAAAGTGATCCACAACCCCCAATCCTTCTTCCCAGACATAACTATTGTTAACATTTCGTTGTCATTCTTCCAGATTCTTCATGTGCACATGTAGCTATATGTATGTAGGTGTATTTATATAAGCACCACAGACATGCAAAGCTGTCTAAAAATCTGTATCATCATTTCTTTTTTTTCTTTTCCTTTTTTTTGAGACAGAGTTTCACTCTTGTTGCCCAGGCTGGAGTGTAGTGGCGCGATCTCGGCTCACCGCAACCTCCGCCTCCCAGGTTCAAGCCTCAGCCTCCCAAGTAGCTGGGATTACAGGCATGCGCCACCATGCCCGGCTAATTTTGTATTTTTAGTAGAGACAGGGTTTCACCATGTTGGTCAGACTGCTCTTGAACTCCCGACTTCAGGTGATCCACCCGCCTTGGCTTCCCAAAGTGCTGGGATTACAGGCATGAGCCACCGCGCCTGGCCTATATCATCATTTCTAATGGCAACACGGGATATACCATGATTAACCTATTTGGTATTGCTGGACATTAAGTGGCTTCCCAATATTACCCTTCTATGTGATGATATGCATCCTTAGACAGTTTTGCACAACCAGTGTGCTAATTTTCTTAGGTAAACTTCTAGGATTCTGGGTCTAAGGGTATATGCATTTAAACTTTCAATGCACATTCCTGTAATCTGGGTCAGTGGATTTTTTAGGAGCCAGTGGGCTTTATTTTCTCCCCTATGAGTAGTAGGAATCAAAGGGAAAGGTCCCTTATATATGGTGTTTGAGTTTGGATTCCCCTTGAAACAAAATGTGAAACAAGAATCTGGGCATGAGTCGTATTTTTCAGAGGTGATACAGAAAGCGCTCTGAGCAGTGAGCAATAAAAGGTACATTATTGAATGGGTTATTGCTGGAGCACTCTGAGAGACCATGAGAACACTCCTCAGGATTGTCCTGCATTAGTTTCTGCGGGGCATCACCACTCCTGGTCTTCTGACTGTCCCCACTGTTATTTGAAAAATGTCTGCAGGTAAATGCTAAGGGAAGCCAAGGGGACACAGCTGGAACACCTACAGCTTCAGCCACAGAGGAATTACTACTCCTTTCCCCAAAGCCAAGCCAAGGGTGAGGTTACTCCAGGACAAAATTGCATAATGGGTTAAGTTTTGCATCAGTCTCTCCACCTTCTCCCCCTATTCCCTAAACCATCTCTTGATGCCAACCCCAGCTGGCCAAGGTTCCCAAGGCACAGCAAAGAGGTAGTTGGTCTTCTCAACAATTATTTAGAATGTTAGAAACAAGATTTTTTATTTTTCCAGGCATATTAATATTTTAAGACAGAAACCAAAGGAATTGATGACAGTGCTGGCATTTCAGGCACTGTGGCAGCTAAAGGTGTTTTTGGCAGGGGGCACCCAAGCCTGTGGTTGGTCCAGCAGAGAAATTCTGTGTGTCTTCTGAGAAGCAGGAGGTGAGAGGATGCAGGATGAAGGCAGAAGCAGAGTGGGAAGGAAGAGGCTGGTGACTTAGTTCCCTCACATGGATGACACTCGCTGGCCTGGCCATTTTAGAAAATGAAGCAATAAAGAGGATATAGGGCTGGATTTGTGGCTGGAGGGAATGAGAAAGAAGAAGTGAGCCATTCAGGTAGATCACCTGAGGTCAGGAGTTCGAGACCAGCCTGGCCAACGTGGCAAAACCCCATCTCTACTGAAAATACAAAAATTAGCCGAGTGTGGTGGCAGGCCCCTGTAGTCCCAGCTGCTCGGGAGGTTGAGGCAGGAGAATCGCTTGAACCCGGGAGGCAGAGGTTGCAGTGAGCCGAGATCATGCCACTGCACTCCAGCCTGGGTGACAGAATGAGACTCTGTCTCTTAAAAAAAAAAACAAATGAGCCACTGAGGCAAGAAGGAGTGAGATGGGTTGTTAAGAGAGGAAGAGAAGGCTAGGTGCAGTGGTTCATGCTTGTAATTCTAGCTGCTTGGGAAGTTGAGGTGGGAGGAGTGCTTGAGCACAGGAGTTCGAGACCACAGTGAGTCATCATAGTGACACTCCAACCTGGGTGACAGAGCAAGACACCATCTCTAAAAAAAATAGAGAAGAGTAGTTGAGTGGGAGAAGAGAACAAAGAAGAACCTCATTTGGGCTCAATCAGCTACTAACTTCTTCCCTTCCTACAGTCTTGGCTTTCTGTCTTCCCCTCTGGCCATTTCTGCTCAGAGTCCATTAGGGGTTCACTTTTTTCCTGCCTATCCCCTAACTGCTGAAGCCACTTAGAGTTCTCCAGCTGCACGTGATCTCTGAGAGATCAGTGTGCCACCATGGCCTCTGCCGCTGTCACGCACAGATGCTGCACAGATGGCTGGCCCAGCTTGCTCTCAGGAGCTCAGTTCCCACCCATCTAGAAGTTGGCAGAAGTTGAGGCAGTGGGAGGAATGTCGGGGCACACATTCCCTTTACCATGTGTGTTCTCTGGTTGTCTTCATATTCGAAAGCTAGTGTCCCCAGTTAAGTTGTTAGCTGCTTGAGCCTGAAGGCTGTGAATTTTACTCCCCAATCAGCCACATGCAGTGACTGTCAGACACTGGCTGAGTTGACCCTGTAGGAGTTTCTCTACAGGAGTACCATTCTGGGGACATGAGAAGGTGAGGTCGTGCTTCTACGCAGACACCTTTATTTTCACCAACACAGCCCCCTTCAACGGTCCACAGCTGCTAATTATCATCTGCTCCCCAAATCTAGCAGTCTCTTCCCAGTTCTCATTTTCCCTGTTCTCTTGGCGGCATCTGGCACTGTTTCCGGTTCCACCATCTTGAAACTCTTTCTTCTCTTGGCCTCCGTAACATTACACCCTCTGATGGTTCTTCTGTCCAAGGAGCTTTTGCCTTTCATCTCCTAAACATAGTTCTACCCTAAGATTCCATCCTTCAGAGCAGCATGAAGTAGTGGAAAGAATGCAGGCTTTGGAGCCAGAGTAACTGTATTTGCTCCTGGGATGCAACATTTATTAGCTGGGGACCTCTCTGAGCCTCAGTGTTTTCAACTGTGAAATGCTGATGATCGTAAGTGTGTTAGGCTGTTTTTTGTACTGCTATAAAGAAAACCTTGAGCCTGAGTAGATTATAAAGGAAAGAGGTTTAATTGACTCACAGTTCTGCAGACAGTACAAGAAGTGTGGTGCTGGCATCTGCTTCTGGAGAGGGCCTTGGGAAGTTTACAATCATGGTGGAAGGCAAATGGGGAGCAGAAATGTCACATGACGAGAGAGGAAGCAAGAGGTGGGGGGAGGTGTTACACCCTTTGAAATAACCAGATCTCATAAGAACTCCCTCATCACCAAGAGGATAGTGCTAAGCCATTCATGAGGAGTCCACCCCAATGATCCAATCACCCCCCACTGGGCCCCACCTCCAGCACTGGGGATAAGCTTTCAGTGTGAGATTTGGAAGGGACAAACATCCAAACGTTCAATGAAGTTTGAAGATACTGTAGGTAAAAGGCTTGGCACAAGGGAATTGCTAAATGCATGGAGGTTCTAGGTGTTCTTGAATGACTTTGCAAAAGATGACACAACCCCATATTGACTTGCTACTCACCTCAAGTGCAGCATGCCAGCTCTCCTCCATCCTTTTTTTGAGAAATGGTTATGCTCTGTCACACAGACTGGAGTGCAGTGGTACGATCATAGCTCACTGCAGCCTCAAACTCCTAGGCTCAAGCAATCCTCCCACCTCAGCCTCCCAAGTAGCTGGGACTGCAAGTGTGCACCATCTCAGCCTCCCAAGTAGCTGGGACTACAAGTGTGCACCACCATGCTCAGTTATTTTTTTTTTAAGTTTATTTTTTGTACAGACAGAGTCTCACTATGTTGACCAGGCTGGTCTCCAACTCCTGGCCTTAAGCATTCCTCCTGCCTCAGCCTCCCAAATTGCTAGGATTAGAGGCATGAGCCACTGTGCACAGCCCATCCTGGCTTCTCTCCCACATTCTGTGCCCATCTCTATGTATCTGCTCAGTGTTTCCACTTTTGATGCCCTACCGCGACCCCAGCATCAGCCTGCGTGAACTAGCCTTGTTGTCCTTCCTGCTCTCAGCCCGTCCTGCCAGGATTTCCACACTGCTGCTTCCCAGATGCTCCGTTTTGAAAACTTGGAGTCATCTTTAATTCAGCCATCTCCTTTGCCTTTCCTTTTGGAAGTAATGGTGATTATCAACAGGGTGCCTCCACGTACATTTCTGCCTTACTCTCAACAGTATGGTGAAGTAGGCTGTCATACAAATGACGCCTGGAGAGCCAAAATAATCAGCCTGAGGAGGGAGTGGGCTTATCTCATTTCCTGGAGATTCTCTCCATGGAATGACAGGCTGGTAATTCAAGATGCTGAAGTCTCTCCACCTGAAAAGCTAACTGATAAGCCTCCCCTAATGTCTCCCTTCAGCTCTCAGCCCTCTCTTGACTCCCCTTCACAAACCCAATTTGAAACTCATAGACCCTTCCAAGCTTGACTTACTCTCCTGTCTCTGGTTCCTCAGTCACT
Organism: Homo sapiens; assembly: GCF_000001405.40. Classification (NCBI taxonomy): domain Eukaryota; kingdom Metazoa; phylum Chordata; class Mammalia; order Primates; family Hominidae; genus Homo; species Homo sapiens. Next base: position 31,597,804 of record NC_000010.11, on the reverse strand, counting down.
GCAATGTCACTTCCACCCCAACCACTGGAATGGCCTCACCAAAGTCGTTTATACCAAGCACACTTTGTAGCCCTCCCCACATGTGAGTCCTATTGAACCCTGCAGACAAACCCCTCTTCCTCAGAACAACCCTTGTTCTCTTAGTTTCTCTCCTAGATTTCCTTCTACTCTGGCTGTTCTGCCCTGGGTCTTTTTTTCAGCCCATCACTTGAATGCTGATAATCTTTGGGTTTTTGTTCTATGACATCTTCTCTTTTCAAACTACATCTTCTCTTTTGTTATCTCATTTACTCCCATGGCATCAGTTACCACCAATGTGTTGATGACTCCCAAATGTCTCTCTCTCTCTAGCCCAGATATTTCTGAAGATCTTATCTTAAGGTCTTCATATCCATCTGACTGTGAAATTCAGATCCTGGATCTGCCACTTAGCAGCTGGGTGACTGCAATGGTTGATTTTATGTGTTAGCTCCTTGACCGGGACATGGGGTACCAAGACGTTTGGTCAAACATTACTCTGGGTGTGTCTGTGAGGGTGTTTCTGGATGAGATTAACATTTGAAATAGTAAACTGAGCAAAGCAGAGTGCCCTCCCTAATGTGGGTGGCCCTGCTCCAATTTGTTTAAGGCCTAAATAAACAGAAGAGCTGAACCTCCTGCAAGTAGGCAGGAACTCCTCCTGTGTGACTGCTTGAGCTGGGGCATTAGTCTTTTTCTGCCTTTGGGCTTGAATGGAAACCTCAGCTCTTCTTGGGTGTTGAGCCTATGGTTTTTGGACTGGAACTCACGCCATCTACTGTCTTGGTTCTCAGGCCTTCAGACTTAGACAGAAATTACTGAGAGACAGAAACCACCACAGGTGGACCCACTTTGAGTTGGATAAGGGCCAAGAGTCCCTTTATTACTAGATCTTTACATAACACTACTGTAACAGGATCCCGGGGTGTGTGCATTAATTCATGCTCTGTATCTAACAGCCCTAAAAATATCTGGGTATTCTCCTGTCCACACTGTATGGTTACCTGGGCAAATGGCCATAGGTCCCTTTGGAGAAGGACTGAGGCATCACTACTGACTCACCCTTTTCTTTAGTTGATGGATATGGGTCTGAGAACTGGCTTAGGTCTGGATACTGGACAAGAAATTCTTATTATCCATTGGGGCTACTGATAGTTTTCTGCTAACCTATTCTTGATCTCTTTTGTTTATATATATTAGGCAGTACCTTTATTGGATGCCCATCTCTCTTGCCTCTGGAACTCCATGTCCTATTAATCATCCCCATGGCTCACTGTAGGTCAAGACCCCTGGCTGCCATCCTAAATTTGTTCCCTATTACAATAATTGTGCCTATATCATTTTTGACAATTAAGTGCTGCCATCCCCCACTGTTATCCCAGGATGCAGTATTGTGCTCATTACTACTAAAAAAGCCTAGTCTGTAACCACATCCCCTACCATCAGCCCCAGCCTTCAGAGAAAGTCACTACTTACTAAAATTTTTTGTTCGTGCTCCTCTTACCAGCACTCTCCTGAGCACCTTCACAGATATTTGTCCTCTAGGTTCTCTTCAGAAAAATAAAGTCAGGTCTTGAGTTTTCTAGTCTTACTCAGCAAATTTGTTCCAGCACATTCACTTCTGTGGCCTTTGATCCCTTCTTCCATAATCAGGCATGATGATTCTGGCATTGTTTTCTCTCAGCTTCTAAGAGCCATCTCAGTAGCATATTGGGACTTCCCTCTTTTGTGGGTCTCCCCTAGGCCCTTGCCGTGATGTTAAATCCATGTCACAGAAGAGTACTCCCGTATCAACAAACTTGTCTATTTTCAGATTCTTTCCCCCTTGATCAGCACCTTAAGATGCACCCCAGGCATACTTCTCCAGTTCCTGCTAGCACATATCAGTTGAATCCTGCAGCTCCTTTGGTACATAATTCTCCTCCTTTAGTAGGCCAAGCATTTGCCACATGGGCGATCATGGACTGAATTCTAGTCATGGACTGAATTCTAGTTATTGACCTGGCGGCCAGGAAAAAAATGGAGGGAGAAGATCCTAAGAGAGCAAGCATTGATCTGTAGGGCATTTTCACTGTTTGAGGCTTCTTCTAACGTGGTGGAGTGAACCACTTCTGCAAACCCAAAAAGTGCAGAGACAGTCGGGGACTTGAAGGTTCTCAAATGCATCTTCTTACACTTTGCTTCGAATTGGTAACTGATTGCCCAGAGCCTGTCATTTTCTCTCTTTAATGCATCAGTGGTATTCAGCAATAGTCATCACTCCTGCAGTTCTTATAATTACAATTTGCCCTATATCACCTACCTTCCTTCCTTTCTCTCTCTCTTCCTCTGTCTTTCCTTTCTCCCTTCCCTTCCCTTCCCTTCCCTCCCCTCCCTTCCCCTCCCTTCCCCTCCCTTCCCCTCCCTTCCCCTCCCCTCCCCTCCCCTCCCCTCCCCTTCCTTCCCTTCCAGACAGGGTCTTACTCTCACCAAGGCTAGGCACAGTGCTGCAATCATAGCTCACCACAACCTCAAACTTCTGGGTTCAAGCTATCATTCTGCCTCAGCTTCCCAGGACTACAGGTGCAAGCATTCAAGCCTGGCTAATTGAAAAAAAAAATTTAGAGACAGAGTCCAACTATATTACCCAGGCTGGTCTTGAACTCCTGGTCTCAATCAGTCTTCCTGCCTTAGCCTCTCAAGTAGCTGGGATTACAGGCATGAGACATTGCACCCAGCTTAACCTGTAACTCCTTTCAGCTCACCACAGGTGGAAGTCTTAGCAGTCGCATTGCTAGATCAGGCTGAGGCCTTTCAACATTCCACTCTACCACCAATAGTGGGGTTCACATTGGCAGCTAGCTGGCAAGCAATCAACTCTGGAGTATCAACCTTTAGAATTTACTCTGAAGAATATTCTTGGAACCAACTGCCTTAGGGTGGGTTTCCTAAAAGCAGAATCTGAGGCAGGGATTGGGGTGCCTGTGATTTACTGAGGGAGTGCACTTAGGAGAAAGAGAGTGAAAGGAGCAGGATGGGCCAAGCAAGTAACTTAAGCAGAGAGGTGATCTCAGCTGGAGTCCAGATACAGCTTGACCCCTCAGGGAGCTCTGGAGCATCACATAATCAGTCTCCCCTTGCAGCAAAGGAGCCAGCCCTCTGCACCCTCCTGGCAGTTGGTCATCAGCTGCAGCTTGGGGAGTGGGGGTGGGGCAGTGTAACCTCCTGTGCAAAGCAGCTCCTGGCTCCTATTTGGCTGAGGGCAATGCTCTGGTAGTTGGCAAATGGGTATACTGGCCTGTAAAGTGATCTGGGCAGAGCACTTGCAGCTCCTAAGATGATTTCAGTAAATAGCACCTCAGTCTACCAGTTGCTCAAGCTAGAAACCTAGGGATCATTTTTGTCTCCTTCCTTTTTCCAACCCTCGATCCAGTCCAATCAAGCTCCATAATATGTATTCAGTCTCTTAATTATTCCATTCGGTTTTTTTCCCTATTCTCATGGTCACTATCCAAGTTGACATCACCACCTTCTATTGTCTCCATTACTGTCACAGCTCCTAACTAACCTTGAGTTTATTATCTACAAGGCAGCCAAACAAATCTTTCTAAAATCCCTGTCCTTTCATGGTACTTCGTTTATTAACCCCTCAGGGCTCTACATTGCTCTTATGATCACTTCTAACTGCTTTATATGGCTTAAACCTTGGTTCTACTCACAATTCCTGGCTCTTACTACTCACAACCTTAAATAGCTGGACCAAGGGGGCTTGTTTTAGTTACTTAAATATGCTGTACCCTCTCTTGACTCTATGCCTTTGCACATATTTTTCTTCTGCCTGAAACACATTTATACTTCCCCTGATTACCTCCCATTCATCTTCATCTGCCTAGTTATCACTTGCCACCAATGCTGAGAAGCCCTCCTTACTCTTAGCCCTTGATTCCTGTAGCCCCCATACTTCCCCATCATTTCCCTCGTCCCACGGCATCATAATCTAGTCACCTATATCCTCTCACTACAGTGCTATTTCTCCAACTCCTCTTCCTCTCCTTCCCTCCCTGCTCCCATTATCTGTATTTCTTTATACAAGTTTCCTTCCATTTTCTCTCCTCTAAGTAGCTTGGCAGTAACATATCTGATTTCTACTCTTTAATGGTTTAGCAGGAACTGATCACTACCTAACCTAAATTTACTTTGTGGCAGCATGGTGCTTACATTATTTCTCACTGTATTGCCAGTGCCTGGTTTGTAGATGGAGCTCAATAGATATTTATTATATGAACTAATAAATGAATACAAACATCCCATCTCTTTTTCTCCAGGCTGCTTTAGATGCTAGCACCAGTAACTATGCCCGGCATATAGTAAGTGCTTAATAAATATTTATTAAATTCAGCAATAAACTTAGTTTTGTCCATTTGCATGACAGCTGTCCTGTCTGATTCAGGTTCTCAGCACCTGTGTCCAGAGTCATGTTGCCAAGAGTGACATCAGCAAAATGGCATGCGAGAAGGCTCCAAGTTCTCATTTCCCCACAGATGCATCATAATAAACAAAAGCAAAAACAAAATCTCAGAAGCTATCTTAACCAACTTTGTAGGAGTCCTGGAAAACAAAGGTTTAGCAAACAACCAAATGCCCAATCAAAAAGAAAGCTATCTTCAGAATGGAAAGAAAGTGTGTGAAGTTTTTACTCATCCTTGCCACATCCCCTCAACATCTCCCAGCACAATAGTGGTTTTGGTCTTGAGTAGACAGCAGCCCAGTTCCTAATTATACCCTTGAATAGGAGGGAGAAAACCTTATTTTGAAATTATTGTGGATTTCTGTTCTGAGCTGTCTGAGGGACACCTCAAGGAGTGATGTAAGGTGCTAGTCTGTGTTCCACATAACTCAAAATACAGATGGGAAAATCAGCAGGCACTGCTTTTAAAAGCTACATGTCAATCACAGACCCAGAGATGTCTGGGGCAAGAGATTCTAGGTGGAGACATATGGTAGATCATCTAAGGCCTGGAGGAGAAGCTGGTGTTAAACTCTTGGGAATTAGTACATTCAAAAGTAGTCATGCATACAGGAGAACTTAGGGACTCATGGACATGGCAAGGCAAGATCCAGGCTTGGAAAAATCCTGAGAAGATCTTAAGCTGTCACATTGAGGTGGACTCTAGGCTCAAAGCAAGCCTAGGTAAGTCGTAAAGGGGTTCTTCTAGCACAGAGCCAATCTGCAAAGACTGGGAGAGGTGGATGTTCTCTCATTTTGGTTTCTTTTGGTGGGTACTCTTTGTTTGTTTGTTTGTTTTTTTTAGCTCCTAGTATTTCAGAAAATCTCTGTTAAAACATTACCTGAACATAAGCTAAAGAATAAAAACTTCAGTAATCATACATAACAAGCCATAGTCTTTGCGAAAATTGCTTGAAAAAGTCTTAAAACAAATGTACTAATACAGCCTTCAAGCCTCCAACAACAACAACCAGAAGGAGGAAAGAAAGAGAGGGAGGGAGGGAGAAAGAGAGAGAGAGGGAGCATGCACAGGTGAGCACAGGATCAAGGGAAGGAGTTGAGAGGGAAGGAGGAGAGGGGAAGGAGGGAGCGAGTCAAAGAAAGAAGACAAGACCCCAGCAAATCCTAGGAAGGTGGGATTTCAATTTCTAGAGTTACCACATTATAATAATCAAATACCTAATTTTCAACACCAACAACACAAAATAACACAAGGCATAAAAAGAAACAGGAACACATGGATCATTCAAAGGAATAAGATTAATTGACAGAAGCTGCTCCTAAGAAAGCCTAGACATCAGAAGCACTAGACAAAGACCATAAAACAACTGTCTTAAATATGGCCAGAGAGCTAAGAGAAAACATGAACAAAAAACTAAATAAAATCAGGAAAATGATATATGTACAAAATGAGAATATCTACCAAAATATAGAAATTACTTTAAAAAGAACCAAACAGAAAATCTGAAGCTTAAAAATATAATGATTGAAATGAAAAATTTACCAGAGAAATGCACCAGCAGATTGGAGCAGATAGAAGAAAGAATTAGCAAACTTGAAGAGAAGACAATTGAAAATATTGATTCTGAGGAACAGGATAAAAAAATGAAGAAAGGTGAACAGAATATAAGAATCTTGTGGGACACCATTAAGTGGTTCAACTTATGCATTATAGAAGCTACAGAATAAGAGAGAGAATATCAGAGAGATTATTTGGAGAAATAATGGCTGAAAACTTTCCAGATTTGAAGAAAGACATGAATTTACAAATTAAAGAAGCTCAACAAACTCCAAGAAGTATAAGTCTGAAAGATTCATACTTAGACACATTATAAGATACACATAAATAATAAAGCAGTTACAATAGTGAAGCCAATTAATATATATATTATCTCACATAGTTACATTTTTGGTGACAAGATCAGCTAAAATTTACTTATTTAACTAAAACCCTAATACAAAACAAATGTATTAACTTTAGCCCTGAAAACAATACACTCTTAAAACAACTAATGGATCAAAGAAGAAATAAAAAGGGAAATTAGAAATACCTTGAGAAAAATGAAAACAAAAACTCAAAATACCAAAAGTAATGGATGCAATTAAAGCAGTATTAAAACGGAATTTTTTTTTTTTTTTTGAGACAGAGTCTCACTCTGTCACCCAGGCTAGAGTGCAGTGGCACAATCTCAGCTCATCACAACTTCTGCCTCCTAGGTTCAAGCAATTCTCTTGCTTCAGCCTCCTGAGTAGCTGGGATTACAGGCACCCAGCACCACACCCAGTTAATTTTTGTATTTTTAGTGGAGATGGGGTTTTACCGTATTGGCCAGGCTGGTCTTGAACTCCTGACCTCAAATGATCTGCCCACCTTGGCCTCCCAAAATGCTCGGATTACAGGCATGAGCTACCATGCCCGGCCTAAAAGGGAAATTTGTAGCATAAACACATATGTTAAAAAAGAAGACAGATCTCAAATCAATAACTTAGACTAACTTTACACCATAAGGAATAAGAAGAGTAAACTACACCCAAATATAGGAGGAGGAAGGAAATAATAAGAGCAAATATAAATAAAATAGAGAATAGAAAATGACTAGAGAAAATCAAAATCAAAAGTTGGTTATTTAAAAACAACACAAAATTGACAAACTTTTAGCTAGATTAAGAAAAAGAGAAAAAACCTAAATTACTAAAATCAGAAGTGAAAGTGGCGATATTACTACTGATATTACCAAAATAAAAAGGACTATAAGAGAATACTGCGAACAAATTGGATAAACTAGATGAAATGAAGAAAATGTCTGGAAGAATACATCTACCAAAACAGAATCATGAAGAAATAGAAAATCTGAGCAGAACTATAACTAGTAGGAGATGGAATCAGCAATCAAAAACTTCCCACCAAGTAAAAGCCCTTGACCAGATGATTAGACTAGTGAATTCTACCAAATATTAGAATTTGGCTATTACAAGGGAAAAAAAGAGAAAATATCAAATGTTGGTGAAGATGTGGAAAAACTGGAATTCTTGTGCAATATAAGATGGTACAGCTGTGGTGGAAAACAGTTTGGCAGTTCCTCAAAAAGTTAAACACAGAATTACCACATGATCCAGCAGTTCCACTTCTGATATATACCCCGAAGAATTGAAAGCAGAGATTCAGACAGACGTTTGCATACCAGTGTTCACAACAGCATTATTCACACCAGCCAAAAGGTATAAACAACCCAAAAGTCCATCGACAGCAGAATGGATAAACGAAATGTGGTATATACATACAATAAGAGATTATTTCTCCTTAGAAAGGAATACAATTCTGACACATGCTACAACATGGATGAACCTTGAAGATGTTGTGCTAAGTGACTTAAGGAGTCTTTCCTTACAGAGTCTGATTGTACCCTCCAGCCTTTACCTTGGATCCCAGACCCCTGGCCCGTGTTTGCTTTCTTGTCATGAGCTGCCCTGTGTAAAATTCAAGTGTACAAACACACAGAAAGGCAAACTGTATTGATGGGTGAAGCTCAGCATGGCAGCTGCCTGTAGAATGGGATGTGATAAAAATCTAGATTTGTTTCCCTCTTCCCACCTACAGGTACACTCAGGCCCCAGTTTTTCAATGAAATTTCTAGGGATGATCCTAGGAAGGGACACTCTTTTTTTTTTTTTTTTAATTGAGATGGAATCTCACTCTGTCGCCCAGCTGGAGTGCTGGAGTGCAGTGGTGCGATCTCAGCTCACTGCAACCTCTGCCTCCTGGGCACAAGTGAGTCTCCCGCCTAGGCCTCCCGAGTAGCTAGGATCACAGACACCTGCCACCACACCTGGCTAATTTTTGTATTTTTAGTAGAGATGGGGTTTTACTCTGTTGGCCAGGCTGGTCCTGAACTCCAGAGCTCAAGTGATCCACCCGCCTCAGCCTCTCAAAGTGCTGGGATTACAGGCGTGAGCCACTGTGCCCTGCTGGAAGGGACACTCTTAATCCCAGTAACCTGGATTAACTGGGAGAGGGAGAGGCAGGAAGGAAAAGAGGCCAGTTTCAAATGTGATAAAGCCAAATAAAATGTATAACAAAATAAATTATGTCTTAATAGCTTCAAGCTATTATTAATAAAAGAAGATCCAATGGTTAGTGATTCTTGTTAGACTTGCTTTCATAATAAAATAAGCATACTTTGTTATTAGCATATTAATTGCCAATATCAGATGACAGCATAAAGATTTTAGTTTTTTTTAAAGAAATAGACTAACCATGATCATAATCTTCTTGATAGTATCAGTTTGTGTTTTGAGAGATAGATATGGTGCAACTGTGAATAGCACAGCTCTGTTTATAAATAGTCACAAAAGTCAAGCGAGTTGCACAGGTGTGGTGGTACACGCCTGAAATCCCAGCACTTTGGGAGGCCAAGGTGGGTGGATTGCAAGGTCAGGAGATCGAGACCATCCTGGCCAACATGGTGAAACCCTGTCTGTAATAAAAATACAAAAATTAGCCGGGTGTGGTGGCGCGTGCCTGTAATCCCAGCTACTTGGGAGGCTGAGGCAGGAGAATCACTTGAACCTGGGAGATGGAGGTTGCAGTGAGCCCAGGTCATGCCACTGCACTCCAGCCTGGCGACAGAGCAAAACTCCGTCTCAAAAAAAAAGTGAAGGGAGTTGCATACAAACTATAGAACTGTTACTCTATTCTCAAAGGGTGGCAGGTCCAAGTACCCTCCATGAAACTGCTGGAGGTAACAGAAGAGGACAGGGCATGTTTGTGACTCTCAACACCCCCTTGTCTTTCTTTGTCTGAATGAAGGAGGTAGGGAGCTCCCCTATCCCGGGCTTCAGGCTCCATTGGGCTTCCTGCCTGGGTGGAATTGTCTTTCCTACCTTGGAAAGTCCTCAAAGAACAGTTCTGGAGTCCACGCCCCAGAGTCCACGTGGGGTGGACATAGGACCTTGGGGGTACCAAATGGCGTTGGGCCAATCAGATTCTCTCAAATTTGAATTTGCAAGTTCAACACAAAACCCAAGTCAGTCAGAAAATGTTGGCAGCTTCAGTTAGGAGGTGAGGCAAGGACATGAGATTCTGGGTTCTGGCCTTTGTCTGATGATCATGCTTCCTCTTCCTTCCTCCACTGTCACTCCAGGAATTATGGAGACAATGGAGGGTGCCCTAAACTGTTGCTCTCAGGGAGGGAGCACTATTCCCTCCAGCATCCAAGTCAGCACCTTTCCCTGCAAGAGAGTCTGTACCTTGTAGATAATAGGGTTGAACCGCAGCCTAGGGGCTTAACGTAGGAAAGACAAAACTCGGTTTTGGCCAAAACCCACCCCAGACACTGCCTTTCTTTCCAGTAAGGCTCACCACAGAGGTTAAGGCGTGGAACTGGTTACAGGGAAGGGAGGGGCAGAAAGGGCTGCAGGCGTTGTGCAGGTCCCTCCGCCCAATCTGGACTCGGCCCAATCTGGACTTGCACTGTGGGAATAAGAGGTGAAGCCAGCTGGGCTTCTTGGTAGGGTGGGGACTTGAAGAACTTTTCTGCCTAGCGAAAGGATTGTAAATGCCCCAATCAGCGCTCTGTGTCTAGCTAAAGGCTTGTAAACACACCAATCAGCACTCTGTAAAAACACACCAATCAGCGCTCTGTGTCTAGCTAATCAGGTGGGGACCTGGAAAACTTTTCTGTCTAGCTAAAGGATTGTAAGTGCACCAATCAGCGCGCTGTGTCTAGCTAAAGGTTTGTAAATGCACCAATCAGCACTCTGTAAAAAATGCACCAATCAGCGCTCTGTGTCTAGCTAAAGGTTTGTAAATGCAGCAATCAGCACTGTAAAAACTGACCAATCAGCACTCTGCAAAATGGACCAATCAGCAGCATGTGGGCGGGGCCAAATAAGGGAATAAAAGCTGGCCACCGGAGCCAGCAGTGGCAATCCGCTCCGGTGTGTTTCCATGCTGTGGGAGGTTTGTTCTTTCGCTCTTCACAATAAATCTTGCTGCTGCTCACTGTGGGTCCACACTACCTTTATGAGCTGTAACACTCACCTTGAAGGTCTGCAGCTTCGCTCCTGAAGTTAGCAAAACCACGAACCCACCGGAGGAATGAACAACTCCGGGCATGCCACCTTTAAGAGCTGTAACACTCACTGCGAAGGTTTGTGGCTTCACTCCTGAAGTCAGCAAGACCACGAACCCGCCAGAAGGAAGAAACCGGACACATCTGAACATTGGAAGGAACAAACTCCGGACACACCATCTTTAAGAACTGTAACACTCACTGCGAGGGTCTGCAGCTTTATTCTTGAAGTCAGCCAGACTAAGAACTCACGGGAAGGAACCAGTTCCGGCCACAAGAACAGCAGCTGTTCATGCCCAGAACTGTTTATCAGGCGGGTCACTCCGTGGCCCCATGCAGGCCTGAGGTCACCAGTTCCCTATTTCAGGGGGCCACAAGCTGGGACTGAAGACAGCAAAGCTCAGGGCCATGTACTAGCCCAGGAGTCAGAAGTCCACCATCCAAAGCTGGGTCTGCCACCCTCTCACTCTGCATCCTGTAGTGGAGTTCTCAGGAGCCCTGGGCTTCAAGCGTTCTTTTCGCTTATAGAACGCATCTTTTTTCCCCTCCAATATTTCAAGTTCCTGGATGAGTTCCCATCTGTCCCTGGGTGTAGCATCACCACAGATTCTTCGATGGCTAGGAAGGACTCTAATTTTTCTGTTTCTTATATTAGGTAGGACTTATTTGGCTGTGTGTAATAGAAATCCCAAGTAACAGCGGCTGAAACAGGATCAACATCTCTTTCCTTCTACTGTAAAAGGCTAAATGAAGGTGGCAGGATGGCTCTGCGTTAATCCCCAAACCGGGCTCTCCAGGCCACCTGCTTGGCTATTCCTGGGAGGTAGTTCTGAATTTCATGGCTTAGGGGACTCCAGCCATCACATCCACGTCCCCCAGGCAGGAGGGAGAAAGCAAAAGGTGAGGCACGACCCTTCCTTTAGTGGATCTCATCCCAGATGTTATACACAACCCTTCCCCGACATTACATTGGTCGGCAAAGTCACCTGGCCACAGAGGTGGTCAAGAAATGTAATCACAAACCTAGCCTAATATCGAGAGATCTATTATGCAAGAAAGTATGACGATCAAGGGGATAGCAGTCAGCTTCTGAAACATATTTTACATTAAAATTTTCTGCTATAGTGATTTTTTACATTTCAAAATGCTTACAACATCAAGCAATATGAAGATATATAAGGAAAAATCTTACGGCCTGTGAGGGAACTAATAATACAGCTCAAGGTGTATTCTTTGCCTTTCTTTAGAGTCATTCAAAAATACACAAACTTGGCTAGGTGCGGTGGCTCGCGCCTGTAATCCCAACACTTTGGGAGGCTGAGATGGGCGGATCACCTGAGGTCGGTAGTTCGAGACCAGCCTGACCAACATGGAGAAACCCCGTCTCTACTAAAAATACAAAAAAATAGCTGGGCCTGGTGGCACATGCCTGTAATCCCAGCTACTCAGGAGGCTGAGGCAGGAGAATCACTTGAACCTGGGAGGCAGAGGTTGCGGTGAGCTGAGATTGCACTATTGCACTCCAGCCTGGATGGCAAGAATGAAACTGTCAAAAAAAAAAAAAAAAAACCCACAAACTTTTCTGCTCCCTCCAATCTTAAATTCCTTTTTTTACAGAAATGAAATCATTCTATACACCCTGCACCAGGCATGGTGGTGCACACCTGCAATTCAGCCACTCATCCAAAAGCTGTTGGAGGTTTTGCTTGTTTCTAATACCTAATGAACCTGTTTATTGGTAACTAATTGGCTTTAACCTGTTCTTTTTAATAACTACATAATATCTCACAGTACAGCATAGATTTTATAATATTTTCATTTACCATTCCCTAATTGAATATATGAGGTATCCCCTTTTTTGTCACTGTAAAAAACGTTGCCATAAACAACCTAGTACACATAGCCTTAGCTATTTATTTCGGCAGGACACTAAACCAAAAGTTATGTACAGTTTCAGTAGCAGACGCCACGTGGTAACTTTCTGAAAAGAGTGTCACCAGACATAATGTGAATGACTATGGCCATTTGGCAGCAATCCTTTGCTGTTGGAAGGAAGGAGAGAAAGGTGAAGGAGGGGTGCAAGGAAGACGTCAAGATTTCCAGGAACACTTTTCTTGGTTTAGCAGCCCAGAAAGTGCTTTATCCTCTGCTTCAGAGAGGGAAACAATGACGGCATCTTTCTCTTCGCTGCCTAAGCAGCAGATAAAATCACAGTGCCTGTTTCATGGGCCAGGCCTGCCCTAGGGGAAGGCTGGAATGAAGATTAATTGCGGTGAAGAGAATGGACATGAACTCAACTCATCACAGCCCAGCAAGGGGCCAGGATTTGGGGAGGCAGCACCTGGCCACAGCCCCATGAGCAGAAGGAACAGCGCCTCCCACCCTGACTCACAGAACCTTTCATCCATGCCTAAATGCACAGCTCCCCATTGTTCAGGCAGGGAAACCGAGGCTCAGGTTGCTGCAGGCCTCTCCCAAGTTCACTGGGGAACGTTGGGGCAGAGTCTGGAGCCTCGGACCCCCATTCCCAATGCCATCGCTGGCGGTCTTGCAACTGGCCGGCATCAGCGGGCTTTTTAGCTTGGGTTGGCCTCTGCTTTTTCCAGTTTGCAGCCTGGGGAAGGTGACAGGGTGGTCACACAGGCTTGTCGTGTGTGGCTGTGCACAGGTGGGGGCAGGGATAGAGCAGAGTGGCCTCACAGGGGTGAGGTCTGCAGGAGCAGGAGGCCACAGCTGGGGGTGTGGCGGCAGGAAGTCAGGGAGGCTCCATCCTGCTCCTCCTCTTCCTCCTCGGTCTTCTCAGCTTGTTGGGCATGCCCAGCAGACGGGCAGCTTCTGGTGATAAAGATTAAGCACCTCCCAGCTGGTCAAGGCAGGGAGGGAGTGGGCATTTCCTGACCGTGTTATTCCCGCCCCCCGCCCCAGCCTTATCTCTGCTTTGATTAGGGGTGGAGAACTGAAACCCTCCAGCCAATGAATGACGGCAGGTTTGAGCAATGAGCTTGGAACTGACTGGCTCCCCATCCTGGCTTCCCCTCCACTGCTGGGCGTGTTCTGTTGCTCCTTCACATCAACACAGGGCTCATCCCCACCTGTGGGATGCGGGAGCTGTGTGGGAAGGTCGGGGGCGGGGGGCTTGTTCCCCGACTCTCCCAGCAAGCAAAGGAGAGGACACTGGGGCAGGCTGGCTAGTTCTTTGCATGGCGTCGTGTTTTGATGTTGGGGTATTGGCGTGGGGTGGAATATTCCACTGCCCAGGTTTCCACCTCCTGGAAGGATGCACCGCCACTACCCATCCCCCACAAACCCTCTCTTCCCACCACATGCATACGATTGCATCTGGGGCAGTAAGCTGACCATTGCCCAAGCAATTTTACCGACAGCGAACAGAGAAAATAACCCACACAGTTGGAGAGAGAAGGGCATTTTCTTACAGCTCTAAAGATTCTGGGCATCTCGTGTCTTTCAGTGAAATAACTGCTGTCGTTGTCCACAGACAAATCAGTTATTAACTCGGAATAACTCCAATTTAGGAAGCTGCCTTCCTCACTTGGATCTGTTGGCTCTGTCACTATGGTGACTGGGAAGGTTCTCAGCTTTTTGCAGCCCGGGTGTGGAGGTGAGCGCAACCCACCCTGCAGAGCCAGGACAGGGAGCGAGCGAGCCCCAGCACAGGCCCTGCATCTCACCTTTTTATCAGCAAGTGGCTCTTCCTGCGAGGGGACACCTCATTCCTATCCACCTCCCCCTTGTTACTCAGGAGCTTATATTTAGCTGCTGTTTTGCTCACATTTGGGGAAATGCTGACTTCATGCTCTTCAGGGTGGAGACAGAGGCCAAAAGCTGTTGGATGTTTTGCCCGGCAACTCAGAAAGCTGTTGCATCCCAGGATATTTCTGAATTTAGAAAAGGAAACAAAATCCTCCAGGATAGCCCTGGACTGTTCTAGGGCAAGAGCAGCAGCTAGCTTGTCCTTTTGGATAATCAGATTATGAGCCCCCTGAGGGGCAGCGACTGTGTTCACTTAGTTACTGAATCCCCAGCACCTATGCAGGGCGTGGCTCAGAGACAGTGCTAGATAAATTTTACTGGGCAAATGCAGAGAGACCCTGGGCTCACAGAGAGGCCATGGGCCAGGAATGACTGCACCCAGGAACCCACTGCCTTTTGTGGTAGGGGACCCAAAGGTGACTGCAGCTCAGGCAGGAGGACCTGAGTGGCATTGCCTCAGCCCCTGGGGCAGTGGCTGCATGTTTGTCCCATGGCTTCTCAGGGCTGAGTCATGCTGTACAAGGAAGCTATAGGTTATACCAGGTGACAGGAGCAGGGAAGGCTGCACCCAGGGAAGGCCAGTGTACTCTGGGGCAGTGGGTGGGAGCCCTGAACCCTAGATGCTCTCTGGGGCTCTTTATTTCTGTCCTGCCTGCTCTGCTCCAGCAATTTAAATCCACCAGCCCTAGCAATAGTTGCCAAGATAAACAAACAGTAGAGGAAGCCTGGATCGCAGCTCCCTCCCTTTTGGGGGTGGCCCTGAGGGAGATGTTGGGCTCCACAGAATGCTCTCTCAGGGATGAGTGGAGATGAGGGGTGCCCATGGTGAACTCTTGGGATTGCTGCACGCCAAGGAGATGGGCACAGCCATTTGTTATCTGTAATTAAATTGAGCTAATTTCATTCCGGGGCACACAGCTGGCGAATGAGGGTGCTCAAAAAATGTGATTATCTTATGCCATTTTGTGTAAATGTCATCGTGGTGCAGCTGGAACGGGAATGGACGGGCATTTTTGAGATGTTCCTGGTCCCCTAACTAGGTTGTGTTCTCTTCCTTCAGCATTAAAGTCAATCTCACGTCAAGCCTCTAAGAGCTGATGTAGATGAAATACTGCATTTATGTAATCATTCCACGGACAGACGGGAAAGAGCTTTTTCCAGATAAATCTAAGAACTGAGTGAGGGAGGCAGACAGATGAGGGTCCCTGGCAGTCGCCACTCACAAACCAGCAACAGCCATTCATCTTTCTGGGCTTACCCCAGAGGGGAAATGACTTGAGAGAAACGAAGAAAAAAAACCCAGGCAGCCTAGTTCCCCTTTTAGTCACTGTCCTCCAGTGGCTCTGTGAAAGTAGACAGCCCTCAGGGTCAGGGCTGGAAAAAGAGTCAGAGAACAACAACAACAAAAACGCCCACACAATTATTTTCAAGAGGTGGGTTTGAGACATACACCAAACTTAGGAAGCTCTCTGTGAAAGGTCAAAATCTGACACACTCAGTCAACTCTTTCAAAGACTTACAAGGGGAGAGGCACATACCAATAAAAAGAGGCCAGCAAGGTGACTCGCAACTATAATCCCAGCACTTTCGGAGGCCAAGGCGGGAAGATCATTTGAGACCAGGAGTTTGAGATCTGCCTGAACAATATAAGACCCCGTCTCTACAAAAAATAAAATTAGCCAGGCGTGGTGGTGCATGCCTGTAGTCCCAGCTATTTGGGAGGCTGGGGTGAGAAGATTGCTTAAGGTCAGAAGTTTGAGGTTGCAGTGAGCTATGATTGAACTACTGCACTGCAATCCGGGCAGCATAGTGAGACCTCATTCCTACAAAAATATTTTTTGGCTGAGCGCGGTGGCTCACGCCTGTAATCCCAGCACTTTGGGAGGCCGAGGCGGGCGGATCACCTGAGGTAGGGAGTTTGAGACCAGCCTTACCAACATGGAGAAACCCTGTCTCTACTAAAAATACAAAAAATTAGCTGGGCATGGTGGTGCATGCCTGTAATCCCAGCTACTCAGGAGGCTGAGGCAGGAGAATTGCTTGAACCCGGGAGGCAGAGGTTGCGGTGAGCTGAGATCGCACCATTGCACTCCTGCCTGGGCAATAAGAGCGAAACTCTGTCTCAAAAAAAAAAAATTTTAAATTAGCCAGGTATGGGGGTGCACACCTGCAATCCCAGCTACTCAGGAGGCTGACACCGGAGGACTGCTTGAGCCCAGTAGTTTGAGGTTACAGTGAGCTATGATCTTGCCACTGCTCTCCAACCTGGGCAACAGAGCAAGACATCTAAGATATCATAGTCTACAAAAAACAAAAAAATTAGCCAGGCATGGTGGGGCATGCTTATAGTCCCAGCTACTCAGGAGTCTGAGGTGGGAGGATCCTTTGAGCCCAGGAGTTTGAGGCTGCAGTGAGCTATGATTGCACCAATGCACTCCAGCCTGGATGACAGAGCGAGGCTCTTCTCAGAAACAAGCAAACTGAACAACAACAACAAAAACAAGAGGGACAGCCTCTCTCCAGTGGGCTAAGAACTTTCTGGGCCTTGCAGCCCTCAGCGCTGGCTGTAGGATACAGGCAGGCATCCACACCCTCACTTCCTTCCCTTGCTCAACCCTGCCCTTGGCCTCCAGCCCTCTCAGAAGTCTTTCCCATCTCTGCCTGAAAGAGCTCACTGACTTTTCTTTTCACTGGGGGCATAGCTATAGTGGATGCTGGGGCCTCCCTCGGGACCAGCAGCGTTTGCCTGGATTGGGCTCCTGAATTAGTCCATTCTCACGCTGCTAATAAAGACATACCCAAGACTGGGTAATTCATTAAAGGAAAGAGGTTTAATGGACTCACGGTTCCACATGGCTGGGGAGGCCTCACAATCATGGCGAAAGATGAAGGAAGAGCAAAGGGATGTCTTACATGGCAGCAGTCAAGAGAGATTGAGAGCCAAAAGAAAAGGGAAACCCCTTATAAGAACATCAGAACTCCTGAGACTTATTCACTACCACAAGAATCACCCCCATGTTTAATTATCTCCCACTGGGTCTCTCCCACAACACATGGGAATTATGGGAGCTACAGTTCAAGTTGAGATTTGGATGGGGACACAACCAAACCATATCAGCTCCCTAGAAGAACAGCCTGACTGGAGTGATCGATGGCCGTGCCACTCTTCCCAACCATCAGACCATGGCCGTGGCCTCCTCAGTGGCTCTCTCTCTCGGTTTCGCTGCCCTCCAGCTCTCCATACAGCTGCTTCCCCTCTGTGCCAGGGATTCTGGAAGGTTCCCTTTGTGATTGTCTTGCTGTGAGAGATGAACAAAGCCAAGTGTCCAACATGTTTGTGCACCATGAGCCTAGATGCACTTTCATGAAACCCTGGTGACCTTGCAGTCCTCTGCACCTCTGGCCCACTGAATGTGTTGGTCTCTGGGATTTCTGCAGTTTGCTGCACTGGAAAGGCCCATTATAGATTCAGATTTTAGGAGTGAAGGAGCCCAGCTTCCAGAAGAGGTGTCTCAGATACTAAGGACCACACATGTCATTTTTGCAATGTGCTTGAATTTCTCTATGGTGTGCAATTCATGTGACCACATCAGCTCTGTGTGCTTGTGTCCTTGGGAAGACTACTTGTCCCCATCCACCTCTTTCCTACCCTATACTGCCCCAGCCTGTGCTCAGCCCACACCCGTTCTGCCAAGTCACCAAGTCGCTGGCCCCTCTGCCTCTGGAGTTCACAGAAACATATGGTTTGGGATTGGAAGGGACCTCAGAAAGTAGTTTATGTTTCTGTCATGCTACATAGTTGCTTTCCTATATGTTTTCTCATTTCATCATAAATATGGTCATCCATCCCACTGAGACCACAGACAAAGACACCAAGATCTGGGGAGGTTAAGTGGTTTTGTGAAGGCCACAGCTGACTCCATGCCTTCCTTGGTGTTTCAAATCCCAATGGCTCCTCATTCTTTCCTCCTTCGACTGGCCCCAACCTCTGGTGTCAGTTAAGTTTCATGCATCAAACCTCAGTTCAGCCTTGGCCATCCTAGTGGATGGGACTGCTGGGGACACTGTAAGTCTTGAAGCTCCAGTGGCTTGGACAGGGGTGTTATCAGCAGACGCTAGTTCTCCTGAGCCCCATCCTGGCTGGAAAGTCTTCAGGGCTTTGTTTAGATTCCCCATCATGGTGATTCTGGGCAGGGCTGGCCCAAACACAGATGTTCTAAAGTCCTCCTTCATTGCGGGTCATCCATAATGAGCTGGAAACCCTCTGAAGCACAAGTGAAGCCCCTGCCACAAGCCTAAGCTGTGACTGATGACTCATCAGGTGATTTTATTTAAAATCCCCAGCAGACCTTTTTTGCCATGTGCCTGATGGCAGAGATACCGGAGCTCTTACAGAGCCTCTGACAAAAACAAGCACTGGGGCCAGCTGATGGGGATGTCACCCTTGAACATTTTACAAACACAATGAAGTGCCCGGGGCCATGATGCTAAATCAGAATCTGAGGGAAGAGGATGTGTCTTGGGATTCTCCCTTCTGGGTCTTCATAGACCCAAGATTGGAGAAAGGCTCCTTGTTCCTCCAAGCCAGGTCATGACAGATGACCTGCTCCCTGTGGCTTGATATGGGTTAAGTTCAACCCTAGCAAGTCATCTTAGCCATCTCCCTGCCTTCCAGGGGGTGCACATACATCTTTGTAGGCAAGGGAGAGTCTGACCTATTTTTAAAGACCTTTTTGATGAAGAGGCCCTTTCATCTGAGGACACAGATGAAAGACGCTGGTTTGTGACACTGCTTCCTGGCACTGTTTAGAGCTGGCAGTGCAGAGGAGGACACAGTGATGAGGCCCCACTTGGGTGTGTTGTACCCTAAGAGGGCACAGGATGGAGCAGCCATCCTGGAGGGTGAGAGTGATTGAGGAATAAGGAGGCTTTGGCCAGAGTGGAAAGAAGGGAGTCGTGGTTTTGGAGGAAGGGAGGTTGCATTTTAGGCTGAGAGATGAGGGCATTTAGGGCATGGCATGCTGGCTGGATGCTGCAGCAGTTGGCTGCAGTTGGCTCACCTGCTGGAGGCTGGCAGGGAGCCAACAGGAGGCTTAGTCATGATGTGAGGGTCTGTGCTTAATCTTGAAGGCCTCAGGAACCACTAATCAACTTAAATTGGGCAGTGATATTCAGGCCATTTCTTCCTCAACCTCTGTGTTGAGCTGAGCTGCTGATCAGCATGATGATGGTGACAGTCCTGTTGCAGCTCTCTGGCAGAGCGCTAAAACACAACCCCAGGAAAGAAAATTTTATGGCGCCTCCAGTTTACCCCAGGATGGAAGAATTCAAGCCAGTATGTCCCCATGCAGAAGCTGATGTGTTTTTGGAACCAGATGCTCTGGTCTAGAAAACTTAATGCCTTCTGAGGAGGCTGGGAGGTTTCCACAGGGTTATTCAGACAGAGAGGTTCTTTTAAATAGTGTACTCATAAAGACATTCAGCTCATTTTAATGGGTTGGACCCTGGCCACCATCATCAGTGCCCTTGGTGTTTATAGCTTCATGATGGTCTTTGGTACCAGGAAAGACATTGAGACTAAGGCCAGGTCTGTGGGGCTCAGGCTGGAGAAGACAGGCAGAGACTTCCTTATGCATAGATGGAGTATGCTCCATCGTTATACCTATTTGATTATTTCAGATGCACAAGAAGCCTCCTCCATGACTGAACAACATTCCTGCAATTGTGAAATGAAAGGCTTTGGCTTGGTTAAGGCCTATTTCCCTAATAAAGATCAAGTCCTAGAAGAAGTGTTTTCTTTACTCTCATGAGGTTTTGCAGCTTGTTATAAAACAGTCTGCATGAGACTTTCCAAGAAGAGCTTCCATATGGTGAGTGTAGAGAAAGGGCCAGGGTGCTGGATACATGAGGGAAGCAAGTGGGTGTCTTAGTCCATTTTCTGCTACTGTAACAGAATACCACTGGCTGGGTAATTTGTAAAGAAAATAAGTTTATTTGACTAGTGGTTCTGGAGGCTGGGAAGTCCAAGAGCATGGTGCCGGCATCTGGTGAGGGTTACCCCATGGTGGAAAAGCAGAAGGCAGAGATGAGCACAAAAGACAGAGAGAACAAGTCACCCTTCTTATCAGGAACCCACTCCCAAGATGACTAACTCATCCCAAGATAATAGTATTAATCCACTCATGATTGGGCAGCCATCATGAGCTAATTACCTCTTAAAGGTGATTAGAGGCACCTTCTAATGCCATTGCATTGGAGATTAAGATTCTGACACAAGAGCATTGGGCACACGCACATTCAAACCACAGCAGTGGGAAACCAGAAAGGAAAGTTCATATCTCCATCAGCTGCATTATTTGCCTGGGCTTGGTGATGCTCAGCTGTGCTGTGCCCCTCAGGCAGAGTCAGAGTGGGATGACCTCCAGGCCCTCTACTGGCCCTTCTACACCATTGGCCCAGTTTGCAACCCTTTAAGATGTTCTGAGGGAACCCAACACATTTCTCAACTTAAGGCCAGGGAAGTGGTCTGAATATTTTTCTCTTTCTTTCTTTCTTTCTTTCTTTCTTTCTTTCTTTCTTTCTTTCTTTCTTTCTTTCTTTCTTTCTTTCTTTTTTTCTTTCTTTCTTTCTCTCTTTCTCTCTCTCCCTCCCTCCCTCCCTCCTTTTCTTTCTTTCTTTCTTTCTCTCTTTTTCTTTCTCTCTCCCTCCCTCCCTCCCTCCCTCCCTCCCTCTCTCTCTCTTTCTTTCTTTCTTTCTTTCTTTCTTTCTTTCTTTCTTTCTTTCTTTCTTTCTTCCTTTCTTTCTTTCTTTCTTTCTTTATTAATCAGGACATGTTCCTGTCAAACAATGCTTTTGCTTGTTGGACATTTAGTCTTGGGTGAGCCCACAAAAGCTTGACTTCTCTGTGAGGTGGCTGGATACGATGCAAGCCTTCCTCATGAGCTCATCTCTATTCCCTTGGAGGTGGGGACTCCCTGGAGGAAGCCGGGGCAGTAGAGAAGTGGGGAGAAATAAGGAGAGAGAAAAGGGCAGCCTTTGGGATGTGTGTATGCATGTGCGTGTGTGTGTTTGTGTCTGTCATCTGTCACTATAGTTTTGTCTTCTCTAGAATGGATAGAATCATTAGCTGTTGAGTCTGGCCTCTTTCAGTTAGGTTTCATTCATGTTGTTCCCTTTTCTTGTTGATGGTATTTTCTTCCAATAGAAAGCTGTTTTCATCTCCATGGAAAACCTATTGTTTAGTGTAGCCACCTTCAGCAATTTTCTTAGCTAGATTTTCTGAATAACTTGTTGCACCTTCTGCATCAGAACCTGCTGCTTCTTCTTGTAATTTCATGTTATGGAGATGGCTTTTTTCCTCAAACCTCATGAACCAATCTCTGTTAGCTTCCAGCTCTTCTTCTGAAGCTTCCTTGCCTCCCTCAGCCTTCAAAGAATTGAAGCTCTGGATTAGGCTTTGATTTAAGGGAATACCATGGATGCTTTGGTCTGCTATTCAGATCACTCAAACTTTCTTAGTAATAAAGCTATTCTGTTGTCTTATCATTCATGTGTGCACTGCAGTAGCACTTTTAATTTCCTTCAAGAACTTTTCCTTTGCCCTCCCAACTTGGCTATTTGGTGCAAGAGGTGTAGCTTTTGGCCTGTCTGGGCTTTCCACATGCCTTCCTCACTAAGCTTAATCATTTCTAGCTTTTGATTTAAAGAGAGAGATGTGACTCTTCCTTTCACTTGAACACTTAGAGGCCATCGTAGGGTTATTAATTGGCCTAATTTCAATATTTTTGTGTCTTAAGGAATATGGAGGCCTGAGGAGAGGGAAAGAGATGGGGGAATGACCAATGAGTGAGGCAATTGGAACACACACATTTCTGGATTAAGCTGGCAGTCTTATGTGGACACAGTTTGTGACACAATAGTAACATCAAAGATCACTGATCATAGATCACCATAATAGACTTCATAACAATGAAAGGATTTGAAATATTGCAAAAGTTACCAAAATGTGACACAGAGACATGAAGCAAGCACATGCTGTTGGAAAAATGGCATAAATACACTTAACACAGTGTTGCCACAAACCTTCGCTGTATTAAAAAAGTACAATATCTGCAAAGCACAGTAAAGTGAAATGCAATAAAATTAGTTATGCCTATATACATTTCTATATTTCCGTAAGATAATTAATGTTACGGTCTTTGAATTATTTAAAGCCAGGCGCTTCGGACATCATTTGTGTTACAGGTTTGTTTGCCAACATCCTTGTCAAAGAAGCCTGTCTCTTCAGTGTTGAAAAGCCCGTCTTTCACATAACCTTTTTTCTGTACAACAATTAACAGGCATTAAAAAAATTCTTCCATAGCCTCCTGATCTGTAGAACTTTCCTCGCCTGCAAGTTTCACATTTTTCATGCTGTTTTGCCTTTTGAAACTTGTGAGGCATCCCACACCAGCTGAGAAGGGTTTAACATTTCCCTGACTCTTGGTAACATGACTGTAAATTTATTTGGCTTTCAGCTTCATAACAATGCTGTCCACTATGAATTTCTGATTGGTCATCCTCTCGTGAATTCACACAGTTAGCTGCTTTCCCACCTTTTGCATAATTCCTCATGCACTCTAGATGTTATTTTGGTACTTGCCAAAGCAGTCTCATATACGGATTGATGAATTTCCTCCTCCTTTCTCTGGATGTACTGAGTTGTTGACTCATTAACATTGAACTCACAGCCAACAGCCCTGTAACTCATGCCTGAATGAAGTTTACACATGTATTTTTTTCATAAGGCACATCACTGCTTTCTTACTTATGAACACTAGGCAGACACTTCAGTACTACACATAGGGGCCATTTTAAACAGAGAAATCACTGGCAAAATGCACAGAAATGTGAAAAACATGACACTTGTTTTACAGTTTGAGAGCTGAAACAAGACAACAGAGTGTCACCTTGTTCAGCTTCAGCTGGGACCAGGCATGTTGAAAAACTCAAAGTTTTCACTTCTGTGCATGTATGGGAATGACTGCTAAAATAAATTTTAGCAAGTGGGCGAATTCATAAATGCCATACTTTGGAATTATATCAATATCTAATAGAATAGATTTCCCCACCCTTTGTGTTTCTTCAAAATGAACTTTCCTATTTGTATATATATAGTTTTTCATAGACATTTCATTACGTAGTCTTTGAAACACTGAAGCAATCCAACCGGAATTTTGTTAGGCATTGCATTTAATTTAAAGATTAATTAGGGAATAGTTGACCT
Organism: Homo sapiens; assembly: GCF_000001405.40. NCBI lineage: Eukaryota > Metazoa > Chordata > Mammalia > Primates > Hominidae > Homo > Homo sapiens. The sequence continues at coordinate 31,574,193 of NC_000010.11, read as the reverse complement.
TAGACTGTTAAGTTATCCATCTATGAATGTAGTATACCTCACCGTTTATTTAGATTTTCTTTTGTATCAATTAAAAATATTTAAATATTTTTATTTACATTATTCATGAGATAAATTTCTATGTACATTGTAGTTCTTGTAACTATTGTGAATGGTGTCTTATTTTCTATTATATTTTAAAGTTGGCTGTCATAGAATGGCACTATTAATTTTTGTAAGTTGATATTTTATCTTGCAATATTGATACACTTATTAGTTATAGTAATTCATCGAATGGCACTGTTGATTGTTTTAGGTTTACAGAAAATTTAAAAATTAAACAGCAGTTTTAGGCTTACTGCAAAATTGAGAAGAAGGTATAGAGACATCCCGTGGAACCCCTGCCCTTTACATGTGCATAGTCTCTTTCACTATCAACATCCCCCACCAGAGTGGGGTATGTTTCTTACAATTAATGAGCCTACATTGACACATCATTATCACTCAAAGTTCATAGTTTACACTAGAGTTTACTCTGGTATTGTACATTCTATGGGCTTGGACTAATGTATGATGACATGTATCCACTATTATAGTATTTCCCTACCCTACCCCTGGCAACCACTGCTCTTTTTACTGTCTCCACTGTTTTGCTTTTTCTAGAATGTTATATAGTTTAAATCCTATAGTATGTAGCCTTTTCAGATTGGCTTCTTTTACTTAGTAATATGTTTTTAAGTTTCCTCTATGTCTTTTCATGTCTTGATTGCTCCTTTCTTTTTTGCACTGAATAATATTACATTGCTTATACAGGCTAAAGTTTATTTATCCAGTCACTGAAAGACATCTTGGTTGCCCTCAAGGTTTGGAAGTGATGAAAAAAGTTACTATATTGTGTGCAGGTTTTTCATAGACATGTTCTCAGCTCCTTTGAGGGAATACCAAGCAGTGCAATTCCTGTATTTCATGGTAAAGTATGTCTAATTTTGTAAGAAACTGCAAACTGTTTTCCAGATTGGCTATACCATTTTGCATTCCCACCAACAGTGAATGAGAATGCCTGTTGCTTCACATCCTCGCTTATATTTGGTGTTGTTAGTGTTCTGCATTTTGTACCTTCTAATAGGTGTGTAGTGGCATCTTATTGTTGTTTTAATTTGCATTTTCCCAGTGACATATAATGTGGAGCATCTTTTCATATGTTTACTTGCCATCGTGTATCTTTGGTGAGGTGTCTGTTGAGGTCTTTCACTCATTTTTAAACCAGGTCATTTTCTTATTGTTGAGGTTTAAGGGTTCTTTATGTATTTTGGATAACAGCCCTTTATCAGGTGGGTCTTTGGCAAATATTTTCTCACAGTCTGTAGCTTGTCTTTTCATTCTTTTGACAGTGTGTCTTGCAGCAAGGAAATTTCTATTTTTAATGAAATTCAGCTTATTTATTCTTTTTTTAATGAATCATGCCTTTGGTGTTGTATCTAAAAAGCCATTGCCAAACTCAATGTCATCTAGATCTTCTCCTATGTTATCTTCTTCAGCTTTTGTAGTTTTGCATTTTACATTGAAGTCAATGATCCATTTTGAGTTAATACTTGTGAAGAATGTAAGGTCTGTGTCTAAATTCATCTATTTATTTATTTTTGCATATGGATGGCCAGTTGTTGCAACACTGTTTGTTGAAAAGACTATCTTTGCTTCACTATATTGACTTTGCTTCTTTGTCAAAGGTCAGTTGAATACATTGATGTGAGTCTATCTCTGGGCTCTCTATTCTGTTCCATTGTTTTATTTGTTTACTTTTCACCACACTGTCTGGATCACTGTAGCTTTTATAGTAAGTCTTTAAGTCAAGTAGTCAGTCCTCCAACTTTGTTCTTCTCCTTCAATATTGTGTTGGCTATTCTGAGCTTTTGCCTCTCCGTACAAACTTTAGAATCAGTTTGTCAATATCTACAAAATAAGTTGCTGGGATTTTGATTGAGATTGTGCTAACTCTATAGATAAAGTTGGGAAGAGCTGGCATCTTGACAATATTGAATCTTCCTGTATTTGAATATGGAATGTATCTCCGTTTATTTAGTTCTTTTTTGTATTCTTCCATTAGAGTTTTATAGTTTTCCTCATAGATATCTTGTACATATTTTGTTAGATTTATACTTAAGTATTTCATTTGGAGTGTCAATGTAATTAGTATTATGTTTTTAATTTCAAATTCTGAATCTTCTTTGTTGGTATATTTTAAAAATATTTACTTTTGTATATTAGCTTTGTATCCGGCAACCTTGCTATCATTGCTTAGTAGTTCCAGGAGTTTTCTTGTCATTTCTTTTAAATTTTCTACATGAACAATCATGCCATCTGCAAACACATACAGTTTTATTTCTTCTTTCCCATTCAGCATATCTTTTATTTCTTTTTCTTGACTTATTGTATTAGCTAGGACTTCAGTACAATGTTTAAAATGTTGTGTGATGAGACATCTGGACATCCTTGTCTTATCACTGATCTTTGAGGGAAAGTTTCTGGCTTCCCACCAGTAAGTATTATGTTAACTGCAGGATTTGTTTTTTTTTGTAGATATTTTTTATCAAGTTGAAGAAGTTCTCCTCTATTCCTAGTTTACTAATAGTTTTTATCATGAATGGGTGACGGATTTTGCAAATGCTTTTTCTGCATCTATTGATATGATCATGGGATTTTTCCTCTTTATTCTGTTGATGTGATGGATTACATTAATTGATTTTCAAATGTTAAACCAGCCTTGCGTACCTGGGCTACATCTGTCTTCGTTGTGCTGCATAATTTCTTTATGTATTCTTGGGTTCAGTTTGCTAATATTTTGTTGAGGATTTTTGCATCTATGTTCATGAGAGCTATTAATCTGTATTTTTCTTTTCTTGTAATGCTGTCTTCTGTTTTGGGTTTTAAGGTAATGCTGACCTCATAAGGTGAATTAAGAAATGTTCCTTCTGTTACTGTCTTCTGAAAATTACTGTAGAAAATTGGTATAATTTCTTCCTGAAAATTTTGGTAGAATTCACCAGTGAAGCCATTTGGGCCTGGTGCTTTCTGTTTTGGAATGTTATTAATTATTAATTCAATCACCTCAATAGATATAGGCTTATTCAGAATTTCTGTTAGTTAGTGTTAGTTTTGGTACACTATGTCTTTCAAGAAATAGATTCATTTCATCTAGGTAATTAAATTTGGGGGATAGTATTGTTTATGGTATACTTTCATTTATTTTTGTACATGGGAGCTGTAGTGATATCTCCTTTTTCATTTCTGATTATTAGTAATTTATATCCTCTTTCCTTTTTCTCTTGGCCTGTCTAGAGGCTTATCAATTTTATTGGCGTTTTCAAAGAACGAGGTTTTGGTGTTACTGATTTTCTCTATTCATTTCCTGTTTTCAATTTCATGGATTTCTGCTCTAATTTTTATTTTATTTTTTCTGCTTACATTGTATTTAATTCACTCCTCTTTTGGTTTCCTAAGGTGGAAGCTTAAATGATTGATTTTAAATATTTCCTTCTTGTCTAATAAATGCATTCAACCCTATGCTATAAATTTTCCTCTAAGCACTGTTTTCACTGCATCTCACACATTTTGATAAGTTCTATTTTCATTTTCATTTAGTTCATAATATTTTAATATTTCTCTTGAGATTTATTCTTTGACCCATGTGATATTTGTTTATTCATTTATTTTATTTCATTTATAAAATAGACACAGGGTTTCTCTGTGTCACCCAGGCTGGAAGGCAGTGGCATGATCATAGCTCATTTTAGCCTTAAACTCCTGAGCTCAAGCACTCCTCCCACCTCAGCCTCCAAAGTAGCTGGGACTACAGGTACATACCACCAGGCTGGCTAATTTTTTTTTTTTTTTTTTTTGTAGCAATGGTGTCTCACCATCTTGCCAGGCTAATCTCAAATTTTTGGGCTCAAGCTATTCTCCCACCTTGAATTCCCAAAGTGCTGAGGTTACAGGCCTGAGCCACTGTGCCCAGCCACCCATACATTATTTAGAAGTGTGTTATTTAATATCCATGTAATTTTGGATTTTCCAGTTATCTTTCTATTATTGATTTCTAGTTTAATTCCACTGTGGCCCGAGAGCAGACATTATATGATTTCTCTTTTTTTCCATTGTTAAGATGTGTTTTATGGCCCAAAATATGGCCTATCATGGTGAATTCTCCATGTGATCTTTAGAAAAATGTGTATTCTGCTTTTGTTTGATGAAGTCATCTACACATGTCAATTATGTCCAATTAACTGATTGTATTTTTGGGTTCAACTATGTCCTCACTGATTGTTCTGCCTGCTGGATCTGTGCATTGCTGATAGAGGGATAAAGTCTCCGACTATAATAGTGGACTCATCTATTTCTTCTTGCAGTCCTATCAGTTTTTGCCTCATTGTTAGGCAATTCTCCAGTTGTTCTTGAAGAATTGACCCTATTATTATTATTTTGAGATGGAGTCTTGCACTGTTGCCTGGGCTGGAGTGCAGTGGCACGATCTCAGCTCACTGAAACCTCTGACTCCCAGGTTCAAGAGATTCTCCTGCCTCAGCCTCCCGAGTAGCTGGAATTATAGGCGCCCACCACCATGCCCGGCTAATTTTTTGTATTTTTAGTATAGATGGGGGTTTCACTATGTTGTCCAGGCTGGTCTCGAACACCTGACCTCGTGATCCACCTGCCTCAGCCTCCCAAAGTGCTGGCATTACAGAAGTGAGCCACCTCGCCCAGCCCCCTTTATTATTTTGTAATGCCCTTGTCTCTGATAACTTCCCTTGCTTCAAAGTCTGCTCTTACTTTCTTTTGATTAGTATTAACATAGTATATTTTTCTTCATCCATTAACTATTAATTTATATGTACCTTTATATATAAAGTTGTTTCTTATAGATGACATAGTGTTGAGTCTTGTTTTTGGATCCATTCAGACAATCTCTGTCTTCTAATTCAGAATATTGATATTCGAAGTGATTATTAATATAGTTGTATTAATATTGATCATATTGGCTACTCTTTTCTATTTGTCTCCCTTGCTTTTTGTTTCTCTTTTTGTCTTTCACTATTTTTATGCTGTTTTTAGTTTTAATTGAGCATTTTATGTGATTCTATTTTCTTTCCTTTCTTGGCATATTAGTTATACATTTTTTAAACTTTTTTTTAGTGGTTGGTGTAGAGTTTGCAAGGCACACTTACAACTAACTCAAGCGCTATTTCAAATAACACTATACCACTTCATGGCTAGGGTGAGTACCTTATTATAACAAAGTAATCATAATTTCTCCCTTTGTCCCTTGTATAATTGCTGTCATTCATTTTATTAATTTATAAGCATGCATACAGACATGATATGTACATAAGCATACACAATCCAATGCATTATTACTGTTTTGGGGGAAGATTTACCTCTGTTTAATTTTATGTTGAACATTCTTTCATTTCAACATTTATTTATTGAATGTCTACACCATGAAGTCATAGTGCCTTGAATAGGGTTGTATTAAGATGAATGAGGGTTTGAGCTGGGAATGTTATGATCAGCACTAAAATATGGAAGCTATGACAAGCCCAGGTGGATGTGATGAGATTCTGAACTAAGTTGAGGGAAGGGAGAATGGAAAGGAGAAACAAGTCCATACTATTTTGCCCAGACTCAGAGAACAGGTATGTAAATGTTATTTAAAGATCTGCCATGCACGCTCATACCAGATACTCAAAATTTTTTTGAATACAACAGGCCTCAAATCTGAAGAGAGCAGCAGATCTTCCAGCACAGTGCTCGAGCTCTGCTAAGGGACAGACTGCCTGCTCAAGTGACCTCCTGACTGGGAGATACCTCCCTGCAGGGGTCAACAGACACCTCATACAGGAGAGCTCCGGCTGGCATCTGGTGGGTGGAAGCTATGACAAGCCCAGGTGGATGTGATGAGATTCTGAACTAAGTTGAGGGAAGGGAGAATGGAAAGGAGAAACAAGTCCATACTATTTTGCCCAGACTCAGAGAACAGGTATGTAAATGTTATTTAAGAAACAGGCAGCAATCTTTGCTGTTCTGCAGCCTCTGCTGGTGATAACCAGGCAAACAGGGTCTGGTGTGGATCCTCAGCAAACTCCAGCAGACCTGCAGCAGAGGGGCCTGACCATTAGAAGGAAAACTAATAAACAGAAAGGAATAGCATCAACATCAACAAAAAGGATATCCACTCAAAAACCCCATTTGAAGGTCACCAACATAAAAGACCAAAGGTAGATAAATCCATGAAGATGAGGAAAAACCAGAGCAAAAAGGCTGAAAATTCCGAAATCCAGAATGCCTCTTCTCCTCCAAAGGATCACAACTCCTTGCCAGCAAGGGACAAAAACTGGATGGAGAATGAGTTTGATGAATTGACAGAAGTAGGCATCAGAAGGTGGATAATAACAAACTCCTCTGAGCTAAAGGAGCATGTGCTAACCCAATGCAAAGAAGCTAAGAACCTTGAAAAAAGGTTAGAGGAATTGCTAACTAGAATAACCAGTTTATAGAAGAACCTGAATGACATGATGCAGCTGAAAAACACAGCATGAACTTCGTGAAGCATACACAAGTATCAATAGCCAAATAGATCAAGTGGAAGAAAGGATATCAAAGATTGAAGATCAACTTAATGAAATAAAGTGTGAAGACAAGATTAGAGAAAAAAGAATGAACAAAGCCTCCAAGAAATATGGGACTCTGTGAAAAGACCAAACCTATGTTTGATTGGTGTACCTGAAAGTGATGGGGAGAATGGAACCGAGTTGGAAAACACTCTTCAGGATATTATCCAGGAGAACTTCCCCAGCCTACCAAGACATGCCAATATTCAAATTCAGGAAATACAGAGAACACCATAAAGATAATCCTGGAGAAGAGCAACCCTAAGACACATAATTATCAGATTCACCAAGGTTGAAATGAAGGAAAAAATGTTAAGGCAGCCAGAGAGAAAGGTCTGGTTACCCAAAAAGGGAAGCCCATCAGACTAACAGTGGATCACTCTGCAGAAACCCTACAAGCCAGAAGAAAGTGGGGGCCAATATTCAACATTCTTAAAGAAAATAATTTTCAACCCAGAATTTCGTATCCAGCCAAACTAAGCTTCATAGCCGAAAGAGAAATAAAAATCCTTTATAGACAAGCAAATGCTGAGAGATTTTGTCACCACCAGGCTTGCCTTATAAGAGCTCCTGAAGGAAGCACTAAATATGGAAAGGAACAACTGGTACCAGCCATTGCAAAAACATATCAAATTGTAAAGACCATTAATGATATGAAGAAACTGCATCAGCTAATGGGCAAAATAACCAGCTAGCATCATAATGACAGGATCAAATTCACACATAACAATATTAACCTTAAATGTAAATGGACTAAATGCCCCAATTAAAAGACACAGACTGGCAAATTGGATGGAGTTAAGACCCAGTGGTGTGCTGTGTTCTGGAGACCCATCACATGTGCAAAGACACACATAGGCTCAAAATAAAGGGATGGAGGAATATTTACCAAGAAAATGAAAAGCAAAAAAAAAAAAAAAAAAAAAAAAAAGTAGGGGTTGCAGTCCTAGTCTCTGATAAAACAGACGTTAAACCAACAAAGATCAAAAAACACAAAGAAGGACATTACATAATGGTAAAGGGATCAATTCAACAAGAAGAGCTAACTATCCTAAATATATATCCACCCAATACAGGAGCACCCAGATTCATAAAGCAAGTTCTTAGAGAACTACAAAGAGACTTAGACTCCCACACAATAATAATGGGAGACTTTAACACCCCATTGTCAATATTAGACCAATCAATGAGACAGAAAATTTACAAGGATATTCAGGACTTGAACTCAGCTCTGGACCAAGCGGACCTAATAGACAGCTACAGAACTCTCCACCCCAAATCATTCTTGGATATACATTCTTCTGAGCACCACATTGCACGTATTCTAAAATCAACCACATAGTTGGAAGTAAAACACTCCTCAGCAAACACAAAAGAATGGAAATCGTAACAAACAGTCTCTCAGACCACAGTGCAATTAAATTAGAACTCAGGATTCAGAAACTCACTCAAAACCTCACAACTACATGGAAGCTGAACAACCTGTTCCTGAATGACTACTGGGTAAGTAACAAAATTAAGGCAGAAATAAATAAGTTCTTTGAAACCAATGAGAACAAAGACACAATGTACCAGAATCTCTGGGACATAGCTAAAGCAGTATTCAGAGGGAAATTAATAATACTAAATGCCCACAGGAGAAAGTGAGAAAGATCTAAAGTTGACACCCTAAGATCACAATTAAAAGAACTAGAGAAGCAAGAGCAAACAAATTCGAAAGCTAGCAGAAGACAAGAAATAACTAAGATCAGAGCAGCACTGAAGGAGATAGAGACATGAAAAGCCCTTCAAAAAATCAATGAATCCAGGAACTTATTTTTTGAAAATATTAACAAATTAGATAGACCACTAGCCAGACTAATAAAGAAGAAAAGAAAGAAGAAATCAAATAGACACAATAAAAAATGATAAAGCGGATATCACCATTGATCCCATAAAAATAGAAACTACCATCAGAGAATAGTATAAACACCTCTACGCAAATAAACTAGAAAATCGAGAAGAAATGGATAAATTCCTGGACACATACGCCCTCCCAAGACTAAACCAGGAAGAAGTCAAATCCCTGAATAGACCAATAACAAGTTCTGAAATTGAGGCAGTAGTTAATAGCCTTCCAATAAAAAAAAAAAAGCCCAGGAACAGATGGATTCACAGCTGAATTCTACCAGAGGTACAAAGAGGAGCTGGCACCATTCCTTCTGAAACTATTCCAAACAATAGAAAAAGAGGGACTCCTCGCTAACTCATTTTATGAGACCAGCATCATCCTGATACCACAACCTGGTAGAGACACAACAAAAAAAGAAAATTTCAGGCCAATATTCCTGATGAACATTGATGCAAAAATCCTCAATAAAATACTGGCAAACCAAATCCAGCAGCACACCAAAAACTTATCCACCATGATCAAGTCAGCTTCATCCCTGGGATGCAAGGCTGGTTCAACATATGCAAATCAATAAACATAATCCATCACATAAACAGAACCAATGGCAAAAACCACATCATTATCTCAATAGATGCAGAAAAGGCCTTCAATAAAATTCAACACTCCTTCATGCTAAAAACTCTCCATAAACTAAGTATTGATGGAACATATGTCAAAATAATAAGAGCTATTTATGACAAACCCACAGCTAATATCTTACTGAATGGGCAAAAGCTGGAAGCATTCCTTTCGAAAACAGGCACAGAACAAGGATGCCCTCTCTCAGCACTCCTATTTAACATAGTATTGGAAGTTCTGGCCAGGGCAAACAGGCAAGAGAAAGAAATAAAGAGTATTCAAATAGGAAGAGAGGAAGTCAGATTGTTTCTGTTAGCAGGTGACATGATTATACATTTAGAAAACCCCATTGTCTCAGCCCAAAATCTCCTTAAGCTGATAAACAACTTCAGCAAAATCTCAGGATACAAAATCAATGTGCAAAAATCACAAGCACTTCTATACACCAATAATAGACAGAGAGCCAAATCATGAGTGAACTCCCATTCACAACTGCTACAAAAAGAATAAAATACCTAGGAATACAACTTACAAGGGATATGAAGGACCTCTTCAAGGAGAACTACAGACCACTTCTCAAGGAAATAAGAGAGGACACAAACAAATGGAAAAACATTCCATGCTCATGGATAGGAAGAATCATTATAGTGAAAATGGACATACTGCCCAAAGGAATTTAAAGATTCAATACTATCCCCATCAAGCTACCATTGACTTTCTTCACAGAATTAGAAAAAAACTACATTAAATTTCATATGGAACCAAAAAAGAGCCCATATAGCCAAGACAATCCTAAGCAAAAAGAACACAGCTGAAGGCATCACTCTACCTGACTTCAAACTATATTACAAGGCTACAGTAACCAAAACAGAATGGTAGTGGTACCAAACCAGATATATAGACCAGTAGACCAGAACAGAGGCCTCAGAAATAATGCCACACATGTACAACCATCTGATCTTTGACAAACCTGACAAAAACAAGCAATGGGGAAAGGATTCCCTATTTAATAAATGATGTTGGGAAGACTGGCTAGCCATATGCAGAAAACTGAAACTAGACCCCTTCCTTAAACCTTATACAAAAATTAACTCAAGATGGATTAAAGACTTAAACGTAAAACCTAAAACCATAAAAACCCTAGAAAAAACCTAGGCAATATCATTCAGGACATAGGCATGGACAAAGACTTCATGACTAAAACACTAAAAGCAACAGCAACAAAAGCCAAAATTGACAAATGGGATCTAATTAAACTAAAGAGCTTCTGCTCAGCAAAAGAAACTATCATCAGAGTGAACAGGCAACCTACAGAATGGGAGAAAAATTTTGCAGTCTATCCATCTAACAAAGGGCTAATACTTAGAATCTACAAGGAACTTCAACAAATTTACAAGAACAAAACAAACAACCCCATCAAAAAGTGGGCAAAGGATATGAACAGATACTTCTCAAAAGAAGACATTCATGCTGCCAACAAACATATGAAAAAAAGCTCATTATCACTGGTCATTAGAGAAATGCAAAACAAAACCACAATGAGATACCATCTTACACCAGTTAGAATGGAAGTCATTAAAAAGTCAGGAAACAACAGATGCTGGGAGGATGTGCAGAAATAGGAACACTTCTTTTACACTGTTGGTGGGAATGTAAATTAGTTCAACCATTGTGGAAGATGGTGTGGTGATTCCTCAAGGATGTAGAACCAGAAAATACCATTTGGCCCAGCAATCCCATTACTGGGTATATACCCAAAGGATTACAAATCATTCTGCTATAAAGACACACGCACACATGTTTACTGAGGCACTATTCACAATAGCAAAGACTTGGAACCAATCCAAATGCCCATCAATGATAGACTGCATAAAGAAAATGTGGCACATATACACCATGGAATACTATGCAGCCTTAAAAGAAAGGAGTTCATGTCCTTTGCAGGGACATGGATGAAGCTGGAAACCATCATTCTCAGCAAACTAACACAGGAACAGAAAACCAAACACCGCATGTTCTCACTCATAAATGGGAGTTGAACAATGAGAACACACGGACACGGTGAGGGGAACATTACACCCCGGAGCCTGTTGGGGGATGGGGGACTAGGGGAGGGATAGCTTAGGAGAAATACCTAATGTAGGTGACAGGTTGATGGGTGCAGCAAACCACCATGGCACGTGTATACCGACGTAACAAATCTGCACGTTCTGCACATGTATCCCAGAACTTAAAGTATATGTACTAAAAAAGGTACAGATAAAGAGGGAGAAAGAGCTGACAATCTGTGTTCAAAGGGGAACATTTCGATGAAAGATATATGTTTATTCTGAATTCTAAAAACGAAAACAAAGCATGAGATAAACAAGTGAGGAGAGTTCATTAGAAAGAAAGATCTGCACACAGGAAGAAAATCTCCTTCTCTCTGCTCATAGAGTACTTTTTTCATGTCTGTTATAGCCTTAATCGCACTGGATTGTAATTGTTTATTTTCATTTCTCCCATAATTTTGAGTACAAAGATCAGGTATACTATTCATCTTGTGTCCACCTAGCACTATGCCTATCACATAGTAGATACTTGGTAAGAGACTGCTGAATGTCATCTTACTTGACTCGTCTGAAACATTTAAAATTATTGGCCATAACTTTTGAAACACACTCTCTCTTTGCTTTTATGACATTGGATTAACTTGGATCTTCTTTCTCTTCCCTAATAAGTCAGTTTTCTTTGCTGAATCCTCCTTCCTTCAACCACACGTTCAGTGTGGGTATTCTTCAAGGTACTGTTTTATTTTCTCCTCTCATTTCTGTTCTTATTTTTATTTTTATTTTTTTGAGGCAGGATTTCACTCTGTTGTCCAGGCTGGAGTACAGTGGTGCAATCATAGCTCACTGCAGCCTGGACACAAGCAATCCTCCTGCCTCAGCCTCTTGAGTAGCTGAGACTACAGGTGATGCCACCATGCCTGGCTAGTTTTAAAAATTTTTTAATTTTTTTGTAGAGACAGGGGTCTCACTATGTTGCCCAGGGTGGTTTCAAACTCCTGGCCTCAAGTGGTCCTCTCACCCCAGCCACCCAAAATGTTGCAATTACAGGCATGAGCCACTGCACCCAGCCTCTCTTTTCCTTTATATTAAATCTAAAAAAATTCATAGCACTTTATCTCTTTGAATATTTCTTTAATATTCTATCTACACTTGCCTTCTGAAACTTCAATTAGCTATATTTTAGACTTTTTAATGCCATAGTCGATGTTCCTTAACCTCATTTAGATTTTTTTTCATATCTTTGTCTCTTTGTGCTTCTTACTGGAGAATAACACGTGATCTGTTTTCCAGTTCAAATATTCTCCCAGCTCACTTTTAATACAACCATTGAGGTTTTATTTTGTACATAAATTATCATTTTTTCCCCAGAATTATGTTTGGGTCTTTTCTTCAAACCTGCCTACTCAGTTATCTTAGTTTCTTATTTCTTAATCATCTCTATTTTTTACAAAATTGTATTGTAAATTGTCAAATTATAGTTCTATCTATTTGTGGAGGACAGAGTGATGTTATGATTTATGAATACAATATAGAAGAATTAAATCAAGCTAATTAACATATCTATCACATCAAATGCTTATTACTTTGTGTGGTAAAAACATTTGAAAATTTGAAATGTATAATACACTCTTAACTGTTTTCACCAAGCTGTGCAATAGGTCTAAAAAAACCCTAAACCATATTTTTCCTGTTTGAGTCTTTGTGCCCTTTGACCATCATCTCCCCATTTCTCCCACTGTTCAGCCTCTGATAAGCACTATTCTATTCTCTGCTTCTATGAGTACAATTGTTTTAAATCCAGCTTATAAGTGAGAATGTGTAGTATTTGTCTTTCTGTGCCTGGCTTATTTCATTTGTCATAATGTCCTCCAATTCCATCCACGTTGTTGCAAATGACAGAATTTATTTATTTTTCAAGCTTGAATAGTTTTCCATTTTGTGTACATACCAAATTCCCTTATCCTGTCATCTGTTTATGGATAGTTATGTTGGTTCCATAACTTGGCTGTTGTGAATAATGAACATGGTAGTGTGGACATCTCTTCGTTACTGATTTCAAGTCTTTTGCATCCCAAGGTGGGACTGCTGGATCATAAAGATCCAGGTATACTATTCAGCTTGTGTCCACCTAGCACTATGCCTGTCACATAGTAGATACTTGGTAAGAGATTGCTGAATGTCATCTTACTTGACTTGTCTGCAACATTTAAAATTACTGGCCATGTCTTTTGAAACACACTTTTTCTTTGCTTTTATGACACTGGATTCTCTTGGCTCTTCTTTTCAAGTTGGTTCAAATTTTTCTTGAGGAACCTTCATACAGTTTTCTATAATGGCTATTCTATAACGATTTGTCAATTTTGTTTATCTTTTCAAAAAACTAACTCTTAGTTTTGTTGATCTTTTGTATTGTTTTTCTAGTCTCTACTTCATTTATTTCTGTTCTGATCTGTATTATTTGTTTCCTTCCAGTAACTTTTGACTTAGTTTATTATTATTCTCTATTTCCTAGAGGTATGTCAGGCTGTTTATTTGAAATCTTTATTTAATCTTAATGTAGCCTTTATTGCTATGAAATTTCCTCTTAGAACTGCTTTTGTTGCATTCCATAAGTTTTGATTTATTGTGTTTCCATTTTCATTTGACTCAATATATTTTAAAATTTCCTTTTTAATTTGGTCACTGACCCATTTGTTCAGAAGCATGTTGTTTAATTTGTATACATTTGTAAATTTTCTGAAATTCTTCCTGTTATTGATTTGTAGTTACATACCATTGTGGCAAGAAAAAGATACTTGATATGTTTCAATCTTCTTAAATTTTCCAACATTTGTCTTATGGTCTAACATATGATTTATCCTGGAGAATGTTCTATGTATTCTCCACATTCTAGCCTTGAGAAGAATGTGTATTCTGCTGCTGTTGGAGAGAATGTCCTGTATATGTCTGTTAGAGCCACTTGATCTAAAGTGTTGTTCAAGTCTAATGTTTCCTTATTAATTTTCTGTATGGATGATCTACCCATTGTTGAAAGTGTAGTACTGATGGTCCCTAATATTATTGTATTGCTCTCCAACCTTCCCTTAAGATCTATTAATATTTGCTTTATATATTTAGGTGCTTTAATGTTGGGTGCATGTATACTTATAATTGTTATATCCTCTTGATGAGTTGATGCCTTTATTATTATGCCCCTTGTTGGCTTATTTTTTATTACAGTTTTAACTTAAAGTATATTTTGCTTGATATAAGCATGGCTACCCTTGATCTCATTTGGTTTCCCTTTGTATGGAATATCTTTACCCTTCCCTTCCCTATGTGTGTTCTTCACTATGTATGCCTATGTGTGTCCTTAAAACAGAGGTGAGTCTCTTGTAGACAGCATATGGTTGAGTCTTGTTTTCTTCATCCATTCAGTCACTCTATGTCTTTTCATTGAATTTATCCATTTACATTCAAAGTTGCTACTGATAGGTAAGGACTTACTACTAATGTTCTGTTAATTGTTTTCTACCTGTTTTGTATATTGTTTCTTTCTTCCTCACTTGATATGTTTCCTCATTATTTGATGGTTTTGCTTAGTGATATGATTTGAATCCTTTCTTTACTTTTCTTTTCCTTTCTTTTTTTTTTTTTTTTTTTTTTGAGACAGAGTCTTGCTCTGTCACCAGGGCTCACTGCAACCTCTGCCTCCCAGGCTCAAGAGATTCTTGTGCCTCAGCCTCCTGAGTAGCTGGGATTACAAGTGCCTGCCACCATGCCTGGCTGATTTTTGTATTTTCAGTAGAGATAGGGTTTCACCATGTTGGCCAGGCTGCTCTCAAACTCCTGACCTCAGGTGATCCACCTGCCTCAGCCTCCCAAAGTGCTGGGATTACAGGCATGAACCACCATGCCCAGTCTGATTTTTTTCTATTTTTGTTTTGTGCATTTACTTCAAATTTTTTCTTTCTGGTCACCATGAGACTTACATAAGACATTGCATACTTGCAACAGTCTGTTTCAAACTAATAACAAGTTAACTTTGATTGCATACAATAACTCTATCCTTTTTTCTCCCACATTTTGCGTTTTTGATGTCAGAATTTGTATCATTTTGTAATATGTATCTGTTGACCATTTCTTTTAGCTATAGTTGTTATTAATAGTTTTGTTTTTAACTCTCATGCTGGGAATAAAATTGCCTTATATAACACCATTACATCTCTAGAATATTCTGAATACGGCTCTGTATTACTTAGATTATACAATCTGTATTACTTACTATACAATTGAGTTTCATGTGTTCATAAATTTTTTAAATTAATTATCAGCATTTGTTTCAGTTTAAATAACTCTCTTTAGCAATTCCTGCAAGACAGGTTTAATGGTGATGAACTTCTTTAGCTTTTGTTTGTCTGGGAAAGTTTTGTTTTCTCCCTCATTTCTGAAAGACAGCTCTGTAGGTAAAGTATTCACAGTTTTCTTTCTTCTTCTTTTTCTTCGGCACTTTGAAAATATCATCCCACTGCCTCCAGGCCTGCTGAGTTTCTGTTGAGAAATCCACTGATGTGTTTCTTATCTCTTGCTGCTCTCAGATTTTTTCTTGGTCTTTGATTTTTAATCATTTCATTATTATGTGTGTTGGAGAAGTCCTCTTTATTTCAACTTGATTTGCAAGCTCTGTGATTCCTATATCTGGATGTTGGCATCTTTCTCCAGATTAGGGAAATGTTTAGCTAGTATTGCATTAAATACCCTTTCTCGCTCTTTTTCTCTTTACCCTCCTTCTCAAATTCCTGTTATGCAAAGGTTAGGTCTCTTGATGGTGTCCCACAATTCCTGTAGGCTTTCTTCATTCTTTTTTATTCCTTTTCCTTTTTGCTCCTCTTAGGATAATTTCAAATGTTCTGTCTTTAAGCTCACTGATACTTTCTACTGCTTAATCAAGCCTGCTGTTGAAGCTTTCTATTGCATTTTTCAGTTCTGTCATTATATTCTTCATCTCTAGGACACCTACTTGTTTTTATTGTTGTTTTTATTTCTTTGTCAGACTTCTAATTTTGATCATGTATTGTTTTCCAAATGTTATTTGATTTTTTTTCTGTATATTCTTGTAGCTCACCAAACTTCTTTAAGAGGATTATTCTGAATTCTTTGTAATTTCAAATATCTCCATTTCCTTAGGATCCATTGTTGGAGATTTTTACATTTCTTTTGCAGGTGTCATAATTTCCTGAATCTTTGTAATCCTTATATTCTTGCATTGGTGTCTGTGCATTTGAGAAGACAGCCACCTCTTCTGGCTTTTATAAGTGTTCTTTGGAAGGGGTAGACCTTCACTATTTAGTCTAACCTGTGATTCTGGATGGGCCAGTTGGTAATAACTGTGGGCAGGCAGACTTGCTTTTGCATTCTCTAGATGGGTGGGCCACTGCCTTTGCTCTGAGTTCAGGTGGGGCAGCCAGCTGGGCTCTGCAGTCTGACAAGACCACTGACTGAGGTCTGCCATCAGGTAGATGTACTCGTTGGGCACTGTAATCACTTCTGATCAGGCTAGGGCCTCAGAGTGTATTCCCTGGCCAGGTGATGTGGCTGTCTGAGTTCTGCAGTTGGACAGGGTTGCAGAAGGGGCCCTGAGGTTAAGTGAAGTTGTTGCTCAGGGTGGAAAGCACCAGTTGCTATTTCAGTATAAATACATGGTTGAGGTTTGCCTCCCTCCTTAGGTGAGAGGCTTGGGTGGGAATTGAAATTGAGCTGAGTGCTGTTTAAACTTCTGGATGTGGCAGAATTAGCCCCTGCACTTTACCAAAATGTGCTATGGTGGTCATGTCTTTACACTAGCCCCTGCTTTTTACCAAAATGTGCTGTGGTGGTCATGCCTTTGTGTGGGGTCTTGCAGTGGGCTTTGAGGCCCCACTAAGGACTGTTTAAACTCCCATGTGTGGCAGACCTAGCCCCTGTTCATTGCCAAAATGCAGTGGCAGGCGTCTTTCTCATTAGGTCAGGCTTTGGGGAAGAATCTGAGGCTGGGCCTGGAGGTTGGCCATCTAGGGATTCAAGTCAGGTAGAACTTCCCATCACTTCTGGAATGTCCAGCTTGGCTTTGCAGGTAGAGTATGCTGTTAGCTAGTACCTCTGACTGGGCACCACCATTAGCAGGTGCAACATAGAGTTACCACGAAGATCTACAAGCTGATTTTTGTGGCTCAACCTTCTTGCTTTGTTTCTACCTGACCCCAGGTTGTCTAGTCATGTTGTTACCCCCTGTATTTTCCATGGTGTGAGACCAAAATGAGATTCCTAAGAAGTGTCTTGGAATGCTAGGGAAGCCAAATGTCCACTTCTACTTCTCTTTTCCTACTGTACATACCATGAGCCCTGCGAAATCCTCTCTGTGTGGCACTGTGAAAACTTGAGGGAAGGAGAAGGGTGACACAGTCAAAGTGAGACCATTTCTTTTATCCTTCGAATGCAGTTTTTATTTAGTTCTGTGGTCCATGCAGGTGTCGCAGGCTTATTCCCAAGCTTAGAAATCTTCACCAAGATATTCTGATCTGTGGATAGTTGCTAGTTGGACTTGCTGTGAAGGGTAGTGAAGCCTGGGACCTCCTATTCCACCATCTTGCTCTGTTGCTATTAATATTTTGAACCAACTGTCATCTATTAGACCAATTAAGGGTAATACAATAATTTTTTTATTTTACTTTCACTTATTCTTTCTTCAGTGTTCTCTCTTTCTTTATGTTGATCCAATTTCTGACCTATATTATTTTCCTTCTCTCTAAAAAACTTCTTTTAACATTTCTTGCTAGGCAGGTCTACTGGCAACAAATTCTCTCAATTTTGGTTTGTCTGAGAAAGTCTGTATTTCTCCTTCATCTTAGAAAAATAATTTTATGAGGCACAGAATTCTACATTGGTGTTTTTTCTCTTTCAACATTTAAAATATTTCATTCTACTCTCTTTTTATTTGCATGGCTTCTGAGGAGTTGGATATAATTCTTACTTTTGCTCTTCTGGAAGTATGGTGTTTTTCCTCTCTGGCTTGTTTTAGGACTTTTAATCTTAATTTTCTGTAGTTTGAAGAGGATATGCCTACGTCTAGGGTTTTAAAAAATATTTATTCTGCTTGGTGTTCTCTGAGCTTCCTGAATATGTAGTTTGGTGTCTGATATTAATTTGGGGGAATTCTTTGTCATTATTGTTTGAAGTATTTATTCGATTCCTTTCTTTCTTGTTTTTCTAATATTTCCATT
Organism: Homo sapiens; assembly: GCF_000001405.40. Classification (NCBI taxonomy): domain Eukaryota; kingdom Metazoa; phylum Chordata; class Mammalia; order Primates; family Hominidae; genus Homo; species Homo sapiens. The sequence goes on along the minus strand of NC_000010.11, from coordinate 31,555,754 downwards.
ATGCATATATTTCACCTTTTGTAGTTACCCCACAGTTCTTGGATATTCTTTTCTGTTTTTGTCTTTATCTCTTTACTTTTCAGTTTTGGGGGTTTCTATTGAGATATCCTTATGAACAGAGATTTTTTTTTTTCTCAGCCATGTCTAGTCTACAAATAAGCCCATCAAAGGCATTCTTCATATTTGTCACAGTAGTTTTGATCTCTAGCACTTCTTTGTAGTTCTTTTTTAGGATTTTGATCTCTCTGCCTAATTAATCATCTTTTCTTGCTTGTGGCCTACTTTATTCATTAAAGCTCTTAGCATATTAATCATAGTTGTTTTAAATTCCTAATCAGATAATTTCAACATCTGTGCCTGCGACGTTTGGTTCTGACTCTTGCTCTGTCTCTTCAAGCTATGTTTTTTTGTTTGTTTGTTTGTTTGTTTTTGTTTTTTGAGACAGAGTCTTGCTGTGTCGCCCAGGCTGGAGTGCAGTGGTGTAATCTCGGCTCACTGCACCTCTGCCTCCTGGGTTCAAGTGATTCTCTTGCCTCAGCCTCCTGAGTAGCTGGGACTACAAGCATGCCACCATGCATGGATAATTTTTGTATTTTTACTAGAGACAGGGTTTCGCCATGTTGGTCAGGCTGGTCTCGAACTCCTGGCCTCAGGTGATCCACCTGCCTCAGCTTCCCAAAGTGCTGGGATTACAGACATGAGCCACCACACCAAACCAAGGTATGTTTTTACTTTTTATTATGCCTCGTAATTTTTCTTGATAGCTGAATTATAATGTACTGGATGAAAAAGAAGTGTGTAAATAGGCCTTGTAATATGGTGGCAGAGGGGAGAAGTATTTCATAGTCCTGTGACTTGATCTGTCTTTTAGTGAGCATATGTCACTGGACTTTGAAATTCACAAATGTTTCTTGGTTCTTTTCTCATCTACTTAGGATGGATAGAGTAGGCTGAGATTCAGTATTTCCCTTCCCCTAGATTACTCATGCTCTGATAAAATCCCAGCAGGTTACAGTGTGGTTAACCACTTTCTCCAGAGGGCAGACCTTGTTAAGAAAAGAAGGTTCTGTTACATTTCAAAATGGTTCCTTTGCCACTTCTCTACTGGAAACGCAAGGGGATCTTTCTCTGATATTCACCATGAGAACCTAGTCAAGCTCCTGGAAGTGAAACTCACAAAAGTGTGAGGGCCCTTCCGCGACCGGATCCCCTGGAGTGTTCAACTCTCTGACTTGCCCACACTGAGCCTCCAGCAATTCATCAATTGCAGTTCAGGTGTTCCTACCCTGGCACTGGTTCCCATGGAGGTTTCTGGTCTGGTATGTCATGATTCTCTATATCTGTACACGTCTCTCCAATTTTGGGGGAAGTGGTTTGCCCTCAAGAGTTATTAATAATAATCTATAAGAGTTATTGATTTTTCACCTTGTTTAACTTTTTACTTGTTGTTAGGACGAAGTGGTGACTTCTAAGCTCCTTACATCTGGAGCTGAAAACTCAAAGTTCTCTGTTGATTTTTCTATGTAGATTATCAAATCTGCAAATAAGGACAGTTTTATGTTTTTTCTTAAAATTCTTCTAGTTCTTATTTTCTTTTCTTGTCTCATAGTGATTGCCAGTACTTCCAGGTTTATATTAAGTAGTAATGGCAATGGTAGTCATTTCCAATCATTAAGGAAATATTTTGGTTTTCCTATTAAATTTGATATTTTTGTTGACTAAGTGTTGATTTTTTGGTATACAGTTTTTATTACTATACAAAAATACTCTTATATTTCTAGCTTTGAGATTTTTAGAAAATAAAAATCATCAATAGATGTTGAATGTTACCTAGCACTTTTCTGCATATGTTACCATAATCCCATGATTTTTTTCCCCTTCAGTCCTTTACTAAGTAGTTAATATGACTGCTTTGATGATGTTAAATTATGCTTGAATTTCCAGGATAAACCCTTCTTTATGATGTAGCAATATCATCAATAACCACTGTTATTGTTTAGCTAATGTTTTGCTTAGGGTTCGTAAGTAGAAAGAACTATAAATTTTCTTGTATTCTTATTTTCAGAGTTTGGTAGGATGCAGTCATAAGACCCTTTGGGTCTGGGTACTTTTGGAAACTTTAATTTAATTCCCTTAATAATTGTTGTTCTATTTAATATTTCTCTATCTTCCTGTGCCATTTTCTTGCATTATATATTTTTTCCAGAAATTGATTCATTTTGTATAGATTTTCTACATTACTTAAGTTCTTAATATTTGTATCATTGCTATATCTCCATTGTGTCATAGTTATTCTGCCTTCTAATTCAGCATTTATCTGATTTGCAACATCTTTGATTTTCTTGTGCAGATGTGCCAGCAGTTTGTCTACTTAATTAGACAGATTTATCTCAGAATATATTTCCACTGGCCAAAGCAGACCCAATGTTCTTTATTTTATTCATTTTTATTTATTTATTTATTTTTTGAGACAGGGTCTTTCTCTGTCGCCCAGGCTGGAGTGCAGCAGCCTGATCTTGACTCACTGCAACCTCTGCCTCCCGGGTTCAAGTAATTCTATTGCCTCAGCCTCTCGAGTAGCTGGGATTATAGGTGCCTACCACCACGACTGACCAATTTTTGTATTTTTAGTAGAGATGGGGTTTCACCGTGATGGCCAGCCTGGTCTGGAACTCCTGACCTACCTCAAGTGATCCACCCACTTCAGCCTCCCAAAGTGCTGGGATTACAGGCATGAGCCACCGTGCCCCGCCCATTGTTCTTTAAAAATCAGCAAAACTTGGCCAGGCACGGTGGCTCACGCCTGTAATCCCAGCATTTTGGGAGGCCAAAGTGGGTGGATCACGAGGTCAGAAAATCGAGACCATCCTGGCTAACACGGTAAAACCCCATCTCTACTAAAAAAAAAAAAAATACAAAAAAAATTAGCTAGGCGTGGTGGTGGGCACCTGTAGTCCCAGCTACTCAGGAGGCTGAGGCAGGAGAATGGCGTGAACCTGGGAGGCGGAGCTTGCAGTGAGCCAAGATAGCGCCATTGCACTCCAGCCTGGGTGACACAGCAAGACTCCTTTAAAAAAAATTTTTTTTTCAGCAAAAGTTTTCCATCTATTTGGTAGTGCTTTTTCTCTTTTCAGTTTTCTTTGGGAAATTTCTAAAGTAGACAACTTATTGGGAATCCTATTAAAGGGGTTTAAGTATATATATAAAATGTAATTTCGTATACTATATGTTAGTAAAGACAACCAGATTGATTATCTTAGGGAGATTAGGGTCCAGAAGAAATCAGCCTACTATTAACCACACAAGCACAAAATTTACAACTGTTAGGCATTCTAAAAGGAAATGCTAAGAGAGATGATAAAAGAAGCACTGACTCCATTATGACAGGGAAGGTTTCTCTGAGTAAGTGATGGGAGTTAACCTGCTGAGGAGAAGAAGAAACAACATTTTATATAGAGGAAAAAGAATGAACAAAGCTCCTGGGGTCAGGCAGCCAGTGTGACTGAGTGAAGAGAAAGTGAAAAAAAAAAAACATTCTGGGATTCCTGTGGCCATGGGTTTCTCTTTGACATTAGTCTGACACAGTGGAATCAGTTGTATGTTTAGATAGAGAATGGTTGGTGAAAAGTCTTAGCTTATAAACTAAAAAAGATAAGCATTAACATTGGAAAAGCAAAATGTCAAATTGAAAGATATAAATCTTATTTGCATTCTAAGAAGAACAGTTGCAAATACATATTTTAGTCATTGAAGATACTTTCAGGAAACACTCCTCTCTAACTCACTACAAGTGCCATAACAAATGTTGGTGTATTAGTCCATTTTGTGTTGCTATAAAGTACCCATATGATATGGTTTGGCTGTGCCCCCACCCAAATCTCATCTTGAATTCCCACATGTTGTGGGATAGACCTGGTAAGAGGTAATTGAATCATGGGGGCAGGTCTTTCCCATGCTGTTCTCTTGATAGTGAATAAGTCTCATGAGATCTGATGGTTTTAAAAAGGGGAGTTTCTCTGCACAAATTCTCTTCTCTTGTCTGCCACCATGTGAGACATGACTTTCACCTTCTGCCTTGATTGTGAGGCCTTCCTAGCCACGTGGAACTGTAAGTTGATTAAACCTCTTTCTTTTGCAGATTGCCCAGCCTTGGGTAGGTCTCTATCAGCAGCATGAAAATGGACCAATACACCGTACTTGAGAATGGGTAATTTATAAAGAAAAAAGGTTTGTTTGGCTGATGGTTCTGCAGGATATACAAGAAGCATGGTGCTGCCATCTGCTTGGCTTCAGGTGAGTCCTCAGGAAGCTTTTACTCATGGCAGAAGGCAAGGGGAGGCAGCATGTCACATGGCAAGGGGTGGGCACCAGGCTCTTTTAAACAACCAATTCTCACATGAACTAACAGAGCAAGAATTCACTCATTACCATAGGGATAGCACCAAGCCATTCATGAGAGACCCACCCCCGTCACCCAAACACCTCTCACTTGGCCCCACCTCCAACACTGGAGATCAAATTTCAATATGGGATTTGGAGGGGACAAATATTCAAACCATATCAGTTGGCTTTGGACAGATAGAAAGTCCAGCCTGAGGAGGTAACCGCTTGAGCTAACTCCAACCCAAAAGGGTCAGTAAGCACCCGCGGATCTCAAACCCCAGGGCAGAGATGGACAGATAGAACTAGTTGACTTTGGAACGATTTGAAATTATTCCTACATTGATTTGAATAGTTTAAGCCCAAAATGTTGAACTGCAAAATTAAAAATAATTTAAATTTAAATTAATCCCTTGAGATCATATAATCCAAGGGAGAAGCTGCAAACATCAGACTTGCTTAAAAGCACAAACTCAGCAGCAATGCATGCTGCTGTGGCACTTTGATCTACTGAGGAAGTGATGGGCATGCACTGGCACTTGAGTCTGCATTGTGCTATATATCAACATTTTGGTTTCAAGATAATACCCACAACCATTAAGTATCTCTTGAAGTTAGTTAACAAAATTAAGGATTACTTAAAGTAAATAAACTGTAGCTGTATAGTATACAAGTGTACCAAAGATGTAACTGTAACTTAACAATTTGAGTCACAAAAGAACCAGGAATTTGAGGGGATGTGATTTACCACTTCTGTTTCTTAGAAGTTGATGCAAAATAATTTGTTCATCCTCAGCTAGGCGCGCTGGCTCATGCCTGTAATCCCAGCACTTTGAGAGGCCGAGGTGGCGGATCACCTGAGGTCAGGAGTTCAAGACCAGCCTGGCCAACATGGTGAAAAGCCATCTCTACTAAAAATACAAAAATTAGCCAGGCATAGTGGCAGGCACCTGTAGTCCCAGCTACTCAAGAGGCTGAGGCAGGAAAATCACTTGAACCCAGGAGGTTGTAGTGAGCCGAGATCATGCCACTGCATTCCAGCCTGGGTGACAGAGTGAGACTCCATCTCAAAAAAAAAAAAAAGAATTTGTTCATCCTCATAGGGTTTTAATAGATTCTTACCATGACACTTATTGCAAACTAGAACATTAAGCATAACAAAAGCCTTATTATGACTATGGATTTAGTAGTGTGACAAACAAATAGCCTTGGATATAAAACTTGAGATTGCTTCATTTGTTCTTGCAACATACGGAATTTTTCTTGCCAAGTCATTACACATGCAGTATGCCTTTCTAATTAAAACTAGTGATTCCCTTTGTCACCATTTATTCCATCATTTCCTGGTGCAGAAGCCTTCATAGCATATGATAAAGTGCCAATATCATAGTCTGAATACAGCTCCTTCATGACTTTTGTTCTTGGCCTTGCTACCCTTCTGTCTCCTATAGAAACCCGGTAGATAAACAGTCTGCATGCTCTTCCCTGAATGTGTCTTGTGACTTCCTGCCTCTATAGTGTAAGAAATGTTGCCTGGAAAGTCATTCTGTTTCTTTCTTCAATCTTGGCCTACTGAAATCCCTACAATTCTTTAAGACTCAAGCGCCATGCCTCTGGAAGCTTTACCTGTCCTTCCTAATTATGTGAACCCAAACTGGGTTCCACAGAACAACAAGCCTATGATCACACAAGGACTGTGCCTCCTGGAGTGTCACAAAACAGAAGTAGCACCTTAAATGCCCAGAGAATTCTTACAGTAGACACCTGTTAATTTTTGTTTGGTTCATCCTTTCCAAAATTTATTTGACTATGGGATTCTGCTTTTTGTTTTTCTTCAAATAACACCCATTAATATCCCAGTAAGCACACTTTGAGAAATGTTTCCCTGCCTCACTGTGTTGCCTCATCTTACATCTTTATTTACCTATGCATTTAGTCAACAAATATTTATTGACATCTGCCAGATGTAGAGAAGAATTAAAAAATGATTCAGGCTTAGAGCCTTGAGAGAAGCTTCCAGTCCAGTGTAGGAAATAAGACAGTAATGGCAGCTTAAGGTAGACCGTTACCTGTCATGAGAGAGGTGCTGAAGAGGCACTCTGGGGACTCAGAGAGGGAAAACATTATTTCAACTCAAGGGAGTGTGTTAGTATGGGTCCTTCAGGAAGCAGACTCCAAGACAGAACTAAATGTGCAGGGATTCAATCAGGAGGTATAGCTGCAGAGAAATGTGGGGTGTAAGTCCATTTTCACTCTGCTATAAAAAATACCTGAGACTGGGTAATTTATAAAGAAAGAGGTTTAATTGGTTCATGGTTCTGTAGGCTGTACAAGAAGCAGCGTGGGATCTGCTTCTGGGGAGGCCTAAGGGAGCTTTTACTCATGGCAGAAGGCAAAGCCTGAGCAGGTGTCTTACACGGCAAGAGCAGGAACAAAAGTCAGGGGGTGGAGGTAGGTGCTATACACTTTTAAACAACCAGATCTCATGAGAACTCTATCACAAGATGGTACCAAAGGAATGGTGCTAAATAATTTATGAAGGATCCACCCCCATGAACCAATCACCTCCCTATGGGCCCCATCTTCAACACTGGGGATTACAATTCGACATGAGATTTAGGTGGGGACACAGAGGCAAACCATATCATTCCACCCCGCCCAAATCTCATGTCCTTCTCACATTGCAAAATACAATCCTCCCTTCTCAATAGTTCCCCAAAGTCTTAACTGATTCCAGGATTAACTCAAAAGTTCAAAATCTCATCTAAGACAGGGCAAGCCCCTTCCACCTATGAGTTTGTAAAATAAAAAACAAGTTAGTTACTTCCAAGATACAATGGGGGTACAAGAACTGGGTAAATATTCTCATTCCAAAAGAGAGAAACAGGCCCCCAAAAAAGGGGCTACAGGCCCCATGCAATTCCAAAACCCAGCAGGACAGTCATTAAGTCTGAAAGCACCAAAATAATTTCCTTTGACTTCATGTCTCACATCCAGGGTACGCTGATGAAAGAGGTGTGCTCCCAAAGCCTTAAGCAGCTCTGGCTCTGTGGTTTTCCAGGGTTCAGCCCCTGTGGTTGCTCTCACAGGCTGGTGTTGAATCTTTATGGCTTTTCTAGGGATCTACCATTCTGTGGATCTGCCATTCTGGGGTCTGGATCTACCATTCTGGGATCTGGAGGACAGTGGATCTACCATTCTGGGGTCTGGAGGACAGTGGCCCTCTTCTCACAGCTCCACTATCAGTGCCTCAATGGAGACTTTGTGTGGGGGCTTCAACCCCACATTTTCCCTTCACATTGCCCTAGTAGAGGTTCTCCATGAGTGCTCCACCTCTACAGCAGGCTTCTGCCTGGACATTCAGGCTTTTCCATACATCCTCTGAAATCTAAGCAGAGGCTCCCAAGCCTCAACTTTTGCACTCTGCGTAACCACAGGCTTCACATCATGTGGAAGCTGCCAAAGCTTACAGTTTGTATCCTCTGAAGGAGTGGCCAGAGCTGCATCTGGGCCCCTTTGAGCCAAGGCTGGAGCTGGAGTGGCTGGGATGCCGGGAGCATGTCCTGAGGCTGAGTAGGGTAGCAGAGCACTGGGCCTGGCCCACAAAACCATTCTTTCTTCCTAGGACTCTGGCCTGTGATGGTAGGAGCTGCTGTGAAGGTCTCTGAAATGCCTTCAAGGCCTTTTCCCCATTGTCTTAGATTGATATGGTTTGGCTCTGTGTCCCCATCCAAATCTCATCTTGTAGCTCCAATAATTCCCACGTGTTATAGGAGGGACCCAGTGGGACATAATTGAATCATGGGGTTGGGTCTTTCCTGTGCTGTTCTTTCGATAGTGAATAAGTCTCACAAAATCTGATGGTTTTAAAAAATGGGAGTTTCCCTGCATAAGCTCTTCTCTTGTCTGCTGCCGTGTGCCCAGTTCTTGTACCCCCATTGTATCTTGGAAGTAACTAACTTGTTTTTTATTTTACAGACTCATAGGTGGAAGGGGCTTGCCCTGTCTTAGATGAGATTTTGAACTTTTGAGTTAATCCTGGAATCAGTTAAGACTTTGGGGAACTATTGAGAAGGGAGGATTGTATTTTGCAATTTCACCTTCTGCCATGATTGTGTGGCCTCCCCAGCCAGGTGGAACTGTAAGTCCACCTTTCTTTTGTAAATTGCCCAGTGTTGAGTTTGACTTTATCATCAGCATGAAAACGGACTAATACAGTAAATTGGTACCAGTGAAGTGTGACATTGCTGAAAAGATACCAAAAAATGTGGAAGCGACTTTGGAGGTGGGTAACAGGCCGAGATTGGAACAGTTTGGAGGGCTGGGAAGAAGATAGGAAAATGTGGGAAAGGTTGGTACTTCCTAGAGACATGTTGAATGGCTTTGACAAAAATGCTGATACTGATATGAACAATAAGGTCCAGGCTGAGGTGGTTTCAGATGGAGATGAGGAACTTGTTGGGAACTGAAGCAAAGGTGACTCTTATTATGCTTTAGCGAAGAGACTGGCAGCATTTTGCCCCTGCCCTAGAGACTTGTGAAACTTTGAACTTGAGGGAGATGATTTAGGGTATCTGACAGAAGAAATTTCTAAGCAGCAGAGCATTTAAGATGTGTCTTGGGTGCTGTTAAAAGCATTCAGTTTTATAAGAGAAGCAGAGCATAAAAGCCCAGAACATTTGTAGCTGGACAATATGATAGAAAAGAAAATCCCATATTCTGAGGAGAAATTCAAGCCAGCTGCAGAAATTTGCATAAGTAACGAGGAGCTGAATGTTACTCCCAAGACAATGGGGGAAGATGTCTCTAGGGCATGTCCACAGGTCTTCACGGCAGCCCCTCTCATCACAGGCCTGGAGGCCTAGGAGAAAATGGTTTCGTGGGCTGGACCCAGGATTCCTGTTTCTGTGTGCAGCCTAGGGACTTTTAGTACCCTGAGTCCCAGCTGCTCCAGCCATGGCTAAAAGGGGCCAATGTAGAGCTAGGGCCATGGCTTCAGAGGGTGCAAGCCCCAAGCCTTGGCTGCCTCCATGTGGTGTTGAGCCTTGTGAGTGCACAGAAGTCAAGTATTAAGGCTTGGGAACCTCCACCTAGATTTCAGAGAATGTATGGAAATGCCTGGATGTCCAGGCAGAAGTTTGTTGCAGGGGCAGGGCTCTCATGGAGAACCTCTGCTAGGGCAGTGCAGAAGGGAAATCCCCCACACAGAGTCCCTACTGGGGCACCACCTTCTGGAGCTGTGAGAAGAGAGCCACCATCCTCCACACCCTAGAATGGTAGATCCACTGACAGTTTTCACTGTGCTCCTGGAAAAGCTGCAGACACTCAATGCCAGCCCTTGAAAGCAGCCAGGAGGGAGGCTGAACCCTGCAAGGCCACAGGGGTGGAGCTGCCCAATACCATAGGAACCTACCTCTTGCATCAGCATGATCTGGATGTGAGACATGGAGTCAAAGGAGATCATTTTGGAGCTTAAAGATTTGACCGCCCCCCTGGATTTTGGACTTGCATGGGGCCTGTAGCCCCTTTGTTTGGCCGATTTCTCCCATTTGAAACAGCTGTATTTATGCAACACCTGTACCTCTATTGTATCTAGGAGGTAACTAACTTGCTTTTGATTTTACAGGCTCATAGGTGGAAGGGACTTGCTTTGTCTCAGATGAGACTTTGGACTGTGGACTTTTGAGTTAATGCTGAAATGAGTTGACTTTGGGGGATGGTTGAGAAGGCATGATTGGTTTTGAAATATGAAGACATGATATTTGGGAGGGGCCAGGGTGGAATGATATGGTTTGGTTCTGTGTCCCCACCCAAATCTCATCTTTTAGCTCCCATACTTCCCATGTGTTGTGGGAGGGATCTGGTGGGAGATAATTGAATCATGGGGCAGGTCTTTCCAGTGCTGTTCTCCTGATAGCGAATAAGTCTCACTAAATATGACGGTTTTAAAAAATGGGAGTTTTCCTGCACGAGCTCTTCTCTTGTCTGTCGCCATGTGAGATGTGCCTTTCACCTCCCACCATGATTGTGAGGCCTCCTCAGCCACGTGGGATTCTAAGTCCAGTAAACCTCTTTCTTTTATAAACTGCCCAGTCTTGGGTATGTCTTTACCAGCAGTGTGAAAACAGATGAATACATGGATATTAGCACTTGGCTCCTCTTTATTTATGCAAATTTCTGTAGCTGGCTTAAATTCCTGTCTTGAAAATGAGATTTTCTTTTCTGCCACATGGGCAGGCTGCAATTTTCCAAACTTTTACTCTCTGCTTCCTTTTAAATGTAAATTCCAGTTTCAGGTCATGTTTTTACTCACATATGTAAGCATAGGCTGTTAGAAGTAGCCAGGCCACATCTTGAATGCCTTGCTGCTTAGAAATCTTCCACCAGATACCCTAAATCATCACTCTCAAGTTCAGAGTTCCACAGATCCTTAGGGTAGGGGCATAATGCCTCCAAATTCTTTGCTAAAGCATAACAAAAGTGACCTTTGCTCCATTTCCCAATAAGTTCCTGATTTCCATTTGAGACCTCCTCATCCTGGACTTCACTGTCCATATCACTATCAGCATTTTGGTCAAAACCATTCCACAAGGCTCTAGGAATTTCCAAACCTCCCCTCATCTTCCCGTCTTCTGGGTCTTCCAAATATTTCCAGCCTTTACCTGTTACCCAGTTTGAAAGTTGCTTCCACATTTTCAGGTCTCTTTATAACAATGCCCCGCTCCCAGTACCAATTTTCTGTATTAGTCCATTTTTGCACTGCTATAAAGAAATACCTGACATTGGATAATTTGTAAAGAAGAGAGGTTTAATTGGCTCACAGTTCTGCAGCCTGTACAGGAAGCATGGTGGCATCTGTTTCTGGGGAGGCCTCAGGGTACTTTTACTCATGGAAGAAGGCAAAGCAGGAGCGGGCATCTTATATGGCAGGAGCAAGATCAAAGCGGGGCGAGGGGCCACACACTTTGAAACAGCCAGATCTCATGATAACTCTGTCACAAAACAGCACCAAGGGACGGTGCTAAGCCATGCATGAAGGATCCACCCCCATGATCCAATCACCCTGCACCAGGCCGCACCTCCAACATGGGAGATTATAATTTGAAATGAAATTTAGGTGAGACACAGATCCAAACCAGGGAGGAAGCTGAGAAAGCCTGGGACAGCCATAGAGCCACCATGCGAGCCTGACCCTCAGTGAAGGAAAGAGGAGGGGGTTAGGTGGAAGAGTGTGCAGCCCAAGGAAGACTTGGTAAGGCTATCGAGAGTTCCTGTGCCAAGTCAGTGTCAGAGTTGACTTGAACCTCCCAGTATTGAGCCTGCCTTAGTCTGTCACACTGGGAGCAAACTGTGGATAGCGTAGCCTCATTGCAAATACAGCAGTGAAATCATGAGTGAAGCTGTGGGTCTATCATGGCATGTAAATGAGGTGCATTACTTGGCTGTAGCACAGAATGGGGTAGAATTTGTGTAGAAGCTGGCACTGGTGTTTGATCTTAATGTACCACGAGAACATAGGGATGAGAGAGAAGAATGTTTCAGGTGTTTTTATCAACGCTTCACTGCATAGGCATGATTGAGTACGTCATTGGCCACTGCTGATTGAACTCAGTCTCCAGACCCATTCCTCTCCCAGGAGGTCAGGGTGTGGGGCTGAAAGTTCCAACCATCTAATTCTCTGCAGGGTTATTCTGGCAGGGCCAGCTGCTCCCTCGAAACATCTGAGGGGCCACCTTAAGTCACCTTGTTAGCACGAACTCAGATATAGTTGAAAAGAGCTCATTATGAATAACAAAAGACACTCCTTTAGTTCAGGAAATTCCAAGGGTTTTAGGAATTCTGTGCAAAGACCAAATCTACAATATATTTTTGTGATATTAAAAAATATATGCTTGGTCCTCATCCCAGTCTCCTGACATACAACTCCTAAAATCCTTGGAATCTTTAAAGTGATAAGTGTCTATTTGTATGCTAATGATTGACTGATGGTTGGCAGTCCCTAGTTAGTTAGCTCCTGGATGGGAGCTGGTCACCAGAAAGACTGAAGCGTGATTAGAGGGTTGGGACTTCCCAATCACACACTCATCCCACTCTCACTTTCAGGGAGTGGAGAAGAACTGAAGTGTAGCTGAAGTTGATCATCAATGGTCAATGATCTAATCAATCATGCCCATGTAATGAAGCTTTCATAAAACCCAAAAGAACAGGGTTCACATGAACTTTCGGACAGCTGAACATGTAGAGCTTCTTGGAGGGTGGCATCCCAGGGAGGGCCTAGAAACTCCATGCTCTTTCTACTATACCTCACCCTACTTATCTCTTCATCTGTACCCTTTCTTTATAATGAACTGGTAAGCATAAGGGTTTTCCTGAGTTCTATGAGCCACTCTAGCAAGTTAATCAAACCCAAAGAGGGAGTTGTGGGAACCCCGATTTATAGCAGTTGGTCAGAAGCACGGGTGGTAATACAACATAGGGCTTGTGATTGGCATCAGAAGTGGGGACAGTCTTGTGGACTGAGCCCTCAACCTGTGGGATCTGACACAATGTGCCCAATACTACCTCCAAATAATGTTAGAATTGAACTGAATTAGAGGACAACCAGCTGGTATCCACTGTGGATGTGTGATGTAAGAGTATAGTAGAAGAAACTACAAAAAATTGTTTTCCTTGCAATTTTTCGTTATATCACAGGCACCTATCTCAAAGAGTTGTTACGAGGATTAAAGAGTTCATAAGAGTGATACACTTAGCTCAGTGCCTGACAAAAGTAAGTGCTCAATAAATATTAGCCATTGTTAATAAAAAGAATCAAATGCTGTAAAATATTTGAAGAGATTTATTCTGAGCCAAATATGAGTGACAAATGTCCTGTGACCAGCCCTCAGGAAGCCCTGAGAACATGTGCCTGAGGTGGTCAGCCTACATTTTGGCTTTATACATTTTAGGGAGACATGAGACATCAATCAACACATGTAAGATGTACATTGGTTTGGTCCAGAAAGGCAGGATGACTTGAAGCAAGGGCTTCCAGGTCATAGGTAGATTCGAACATTCTCTGATTGGCAGTTTGTTGAAAGAGTTAAGTTATTGTCTAAAGACTTAGAATCAATAGAAAGAAATGTCTGGGTTAAGATAAGGGTTGTGAAGACCAAGGTTTTATCACTTAGCCTCCACCATAGCAGGTTTCAGAGAGAATAGACTGTAAATGTTTCTTGTCAGACTTAAAGAGTCTGTTCTATCAGTCTTCACGTCTGTGTTGATGAAAATGCCAGTCAACTTTTCCTGAATTCCAAAAGGAGGGTAAAATGAGGCATGTCTGACCCTCTCCCCAATCTCACTCCCATCATGGCCTGAACTAGTTTTTCAGGTTAAAAGTTTGGAATGCCCTTGGCCAAGAGGGCAAGTCCATTCAGATGGTCAAGGGCTTAGAATTTTATTTTTAGTTTACATCATTAATATTATTATTGAAAATAAGGTGGAAATGCTGAGGAATTTGGATTCTACTCCATAGGCAGTGGTCAAACATGCTTGAGGAGCTGTAATCAAGTTGTCCTTAGGGAAAAATATTTGCACAGCACATAGAAGACAAATAGGAGAGGAAGCTGCTATTTATTGAACACCTACTGTATGTAGCACATGCTGAAATTATGCACACATTTTCTCATTTAATCTTCAAAAGGAACATATTAAGTACATTTTACAAATGAATCTGACAAGTGATTTCTTGCATTTCCAGGTTTAAACTTAGATCTATCTGACTGGAAGAAACCAGCGGGAGGTTTTTTGTGTGTGCATGTGTGTTAGGAAGACAGGTTACAAAGAGATTTGGTTGTGTGAAAGAGGAGAAAGATGCAAATGATGGAGAGGCAATGGGAAAGAAACTGGGGTGGTTTCCATGTGTTGCCCCATGTTGCATGTCTTCTTTGTGTGTGTGACAGTCTGCTTCAGTACATTAAGTTATTTTACACATGAATCTTTCACGGTGCCTGCCTCATAATAGATAAAAACAGCTAACATTCATTACTAACAATGTGCCCAACACTGCTCTAAGAGTTCAATCTATGAACTCATTGAATGATCACAATGGCCTTCCAAGTGGGTGCTATTAATATCATCTCCATTTTACTAGAGAGGAGACTAAGGCACTAAGGTGTTGAGTAGTGATCATCGCCCAAGCTGGGATGGGAACATGGTGGTTTGGTTCCCTATTCTGCCCTTTACTATGACACCCACTGCCTTCCAACTCCATTTCAACAAATACTCACTAAATTAAATTATAGCTCTACTTTCTGATGTCTTGATTTTTACCTTGCTTAATATTTGTAACTAAAATAATGGAGCCTATGGGAATCAGAAAAATCAAGACTGCTGTTTTCTCTTCTGAAAGGAAGAATAAGATGATCAGATCTCCTGAAGATATCCTGCAGGAAAGAGGCTCTCTCCTTCAGTGCCTGCTCCCTACCTGTAGGATTTGGCTTGAGTCCCTGGGTAGATGGCAATGGTTTTTATTGGGATGGGGGTGGCTGGGAATAGGTTGAGGGTAAGAGTGGGGAAGTCAAGAGTCAGTTTGGACCTGGTTAAGTTTGAGATGTCTTTTAGTCATCTAAGTGGACTTATTAAGTGGGTAGCCTGGAACTCAGGGGGCTAGAGATATACATTTGAGAGAACACACTGTTAATTAACCAGGCAAACTTAGAGGGCTTATAAGGGAGTCATGGGTATTCCAGTGTTTTGAGATAAGGTGGAGGTAGAGGGGCTGGCAGAGGAAACAAAAGAATATGCATGACTACTAAGTGAACATAGTAGGAAAATGAAGGCGTAAAGCAGCTAATGAAAATTGTATACAGTTTCAGTTTACAAACTTAGTTATGTCCAGATGAGAAGATAAAGCAGCATTAGCTGATCAATATCAATAGAAAAGGTGACTGTCTCACAGCATCTTACAATGTAGGAGAGAACTATTGAGATATTACAATTGCCCTAAGTGATAATGAACTTGTATATAGTAAGAAACAATATATGAATAGAGTTAGCTAAATAAATATTCTGCTAAGCTATTAGGCTGGGATCAAAACAAAACAAACAAATAAGGAAGCAAAGCTCCCAAACAGTTCATAACTGCTAGTCCTTCTTTGATGAAATTTAAGCCAAATTCACTCTTGTGTCAGTTCTTTTTTTCTTTTATTGGGGGACTAGAAATATAAGACTTATAATGCAATAGTGCATAATCACCAACCCTTCAAAACAATATTACAGGAGAAAGCTAATGTATGCTGGGCTTAATACCTAGGTGATGGGTTGATAGGTGCAGCAACCACCATGGCACATGTTTACCTATGTAACAAGCCTGCACATCCTGCACATGGATCCTGGAACTTAAAATAAAATAAAATAAAATAAAATAAAACAAAACAATATTCCAGGAGGAAAATATCCTTTTCGGATTTTAAAATTTTGTGACTCATCTTGACCTAATATTTAGTAAAAGGGAAAGACCACCTACTGTAGGGTTTTGTCTTCAACACATTCTATATCTCCTTTTTCTTATTTTTGGAGCAAGAATGAATTTGAGAACAGACAAAAAGAAAGCCCAGAGGCCGGGCACAGTGGCTGACGCCTGTAATCCCAGCACTTTGGGAGGCTGAGGTGGGCAGATCACCTGAGGTCAGGAGTTCAAGACCAGCCTGACCAACATGGTGAAACCCCATCTCTACTAAAAATACAAAAATTAGCCAGGCATGGTGGCGGTCGCCTGTAATCCCAGCTACTCAGGAGACTGAGGCAGGAGAGTTGCTGGAACCTGGGAGGCAGAGGTTGCAGTGAGCCAAGATCACACCATTGCACTCCAGCCTGGAGCAAGGCTCTGTCTCAAAAAAAAAAAAAAAAAAAAGCCCAGAAATGAATTCTTGTATAATGGTGAATGAATTTTCGAGATCAGATGAGATCAGGCACGTTCGGGGTGGTATCACCATAAATAAATGGATTTTCCACAAGGGTGCCCAGACTATGCAATGTCTTTTCAATGAATGCTCTGGGAAAAATATCCACATGCCAAAGAATGAAGTTGAACCCTTACCGTACAC
Source organism: Homo sapiens (assembly GCF_000001405.40). Classification (NCBI taxonomy): domain Eukaryota; kingdom Metazoa; phylum Chordata; class Mammalia; order Primates; family Hominidae; genus Homo; species Homo sapiens. Next base: position 31,539,288 of record NC_000010.11, on the reverse strand, counting down.
CATATACAAAAAAAAACTCAAAATGGACTAAAGACCTAAATGTAAGAGCTAAAACTATGAAACTCTTAGATGAAAACCGATGAAAAGCTTTATGACATTGTATTTGGCAATGATTTATTGGATATGACACCAAAAGCACAGGCAACAACAACAAAAAAGCATAAGCTGGGGCCTCATCACAATTATAAATTTTGTGTATCAAAGGATACTATCAAGAGTGAAAAGACAACTCACAGAATGAGAGAAAATATTTGCAAATCATATATCTGATAATGGATTCATATTCAGAATACATAAAGAACCCCTACAACTTAACAGCAGAGAAAACTCAGACAACCCTATTCAAACATGGGCAAAGAACCTGAATGGATATTTCTCTAAAGAAGACATACAAATGGTCAATAAGCACATGAAAAGATATTCAACATCACTAGTCAGAAGAAAAATGCAAATCAAAACTACAATATCACTTCACACCCGTTAAAATGGCTGTTATCAACAAAACAAAACAGAAAATAACAAGTGTTGGTGAGGACGTGAAGAAATTGATATTCTTGTGCATTACTGAAGGTCAGTAAAATGGTGCAGCCACTGTGGAAGACATAAGTTCCTCAAAAAATTGAACTTAGAATTATCATATGATCTAGTAATTCCACTTCTGAGTACACATGCCCCAAAATTGAAAGCAGGGACTCAAACAGGTACTTGCAAACCATGTTCATAACAGCATTATTCACAGTAGTCAAAATGTGGAAACAATTCAATGTCCATCAAAAAATAAATAAGGTGGTTCACACATGTAATCCCAGTATTTTGGGAGGCAGAGTTAGGAGGCTTGCTTGAGGCCAGGAGTTCAAGACCAGCCTTGGCAGCATACAGAGACTCTGTACAAAAACAAATAAAAAATTAGCTGGGCACGATGGTGTGTACCTGTAGTCCCAGCTACTCAGGAGGCAGGGGCCAGAGGAGTCTGAAGCTGCAGTGAGCTATATAAATAGGTAAACAAGATGTGATGTATACAAAATGGATGGAAATTCTGACATATGCTACAATGTAAGTGAAGCTGGAAAATATTATGCTAAGTGAAATAATCTAGAACCAAAAGGATATTGTACCATTTTAATACAATATCATTTTGGTTCTGTTTATGTGAAATATCTTCTGCTTATGTGAAATATCTGGAATAGGCAAATTTGTGCAACAGAAAGTAAAATAGAGGTTACCAGGGCCTGGGGATAGGAGAGAAGGGGTAGTTAGTATTTCAAGGGTACAGAGCTCCTGTGTGGAATCATGAAAAAGTTCTGGAGATGGATGGGGGTGATGAATGCAGAACGCTGATAATGTACTTAGTGCCAATGAAGTGTATACACTTAAAAATGGTTAACATGGTGAATTTTACCACAATAAAAAAAGAGTACACAATCCCAAAAAAGAAATAATGGATTTGAGAATCTTTGATCACCTCTGGCCAGCAAGTCTCTTCTCTTTGTTCTATTGGAGGGTTAAATCTCTTCTGAACTTAGTGACTACCTCAGCGAAGGGGAAAGACATCTATTACAACATTGTTTGTTTGTCAGCCTTCCCTCGATGACATATGCCAGAGCAAAGCAATCTTTACATTTAATCATAGTCCCCTCAGTGGCTTCTAGAGAGAGCCTTGCTCAAGCAGTCTGCTTTGTGAGTAGTTACTACCTGCGGAATTTGTGTTCCACTACCCTGTCCACTTCATAGGAATTATGTAACTAATTCCTAACACACAGCGATACCTACAGCATTCCAGTATTAACCTTGATGCCTGATGAGGACTACATATTTCCACTTTTTTCAGCTTCTGTTTGTGTAGCTGAATCAAAGCCAAGATACGATTGTCCTCTGGGATGGCTAGATGTCCTTATCACCTGTTAGCAGAGAACAATAAGTTGATGTATACTTGTGTATGTGTAAGCACATGTGTATATGTGTGCATAGAGACACACACAGGCACACACATGGTTTTAGAGTTCTTCGTCTACTTTTCCAAGCGTACTTTCATAGATCTTGCCATGTATTTTAGTATATCTCTGAGAAGTAGGTTGGAGCAGAAAATTTCCCCTCATTTAAGTCCGTGAAAAATAAAATTACTGATGAAAACTTACACGAGTTAATACTGACACAAGCTCTATGATTTGTTTACATTGGGAATCATGTTCGTCAGATGAAATTATTGTGCATAATTCATAGGATTTCTGGTGATTTTATATTGATGACCCTGAACATTTTCTAGTCATAATTCCTTATTTTGAAGATCTGGAAAGCAAAAACTTCTTGAGTTTCTAATATTAAAAATGAGTTATGTGCTATCACCATCTAAAATTAACTATACTCTTGAGGAAAGCATTTTCTAAAAGTCACTGTATTTCTAAAATCCTATCTTTTTCAAATGCATAACCATCTCAGGTGAATGTCAAGCCAGTATACATTGCCAGGCCTGCCTCAGTAGTCTGGGTGTTCAGATCTTGGCTTACATTTGGGCCAGTCTAGGGCAGGTCTGGAGAAGCTCCAGGACTTGTAAACTCAGTGAACACCCCACCCCCACCCCAGGAACGTTTGCTGTAGGAAACAGTTCTCGAACACGAGCTGCTGGGTTTGGGCTCTGCCCTGTCTCCTTCTCTTCCACCAGAACAGCTCTGATTGTACATGCTTCACACATTGGATTTCCATCTCTTTTTCAAAAGTTTGAAAATTATTTCCCTCAAGTAAGCCAGGTTTGGACTAGCTCCAGAACTGACCTAATGCTCTGGACAATCTTTGGATCAGAGATGACGTGAGGACAACATCACAGGTCTAGGTTTCAGCAATAGAGGAACACAGCATTTTCTGAAGATACAGATGATTAAAAACATATAACTTGTAATTTGCCTTGAAGATGCCTGTACTGAAGATATTTTCTCCCTTCCCACCTTCTAGTATTCTAAGACTGAAAGAAAAGCAAACCTAATCCAATAACAGAAATATGAGTTACTGAACAAAAAAGGGCAACAAAGCTCAAAACGTATTATTAGAACATAAAAGAGTGCTTACTATTATGCTTAGAATATAAAACAAGTACTTTTGGTCTGTTTTTAATTAGTAAAGGAAATGAGGGTTATGTGAGGTTGACATCAAAAAGGATAATCTGTCCTCCAAATTATAAATTATGTACCTCTGTTATTCTGATGCACTATAACATTTTCTATAGTTTAGATATTATATAGAATTAAATCTACTTTAGCCAAAAAAAAAAATCCAATGTCTAAAAGCAGATGTCATTAGAATGTCTATCTTAGCCAAAGTAACATCCCAACAAGTTATACTCACAAATGCTTAGCTTTCAGAAAGGATAGTTTTCAAAGGTAAGTTGTGAAATGTACAGCAAAGTCACTAAATGAGATAATTCATTGTATGGAATTATTATTTATAAAACAGATTAAAGTTAAAAATGTTTTTCCAAGACTTAAATTTAGAATGACATACCTACCTTCTTTTGAATAAAATCAGATGATTTTTATGTAAAAGTGCATTTGTATTTCTGTTTGAGCTTGGAACTTTTGCTTTCTTATAGCTTCAGGGATTTAATTCATTTTTTGGTTATCTTAATACATTCTCCTATGTGTTTAAAAATCAGCCCTATTGAGCTATAACCTGCAGGCAAAAAAACATGGTTTTAAACACACTAATTTGTTTAGTTTTGACAAATTTGTATATCTATATAGCCACCACACCATCATGTTATACTTGGCATATCTATTTTTGATATTCATCCATGTCATTTGTTGTTATTTATTGTTGTGGTATTCCATTGCATGGATGTAATGCAATTTGTTTATTCATTCACTGGTTGATAGACATTTGAGCTATCTCCAGTTTGGCTATTATGACTAAAACTGCTAAAACTGATGTGAACATATTAATACAATTCTCCAGGTGGATATATGTTTTCATTTATCTTGGATGAATACCAGGGGGTGAGATTTTTGGGTTGTATGTTAAATATGTGGGTTTTTAATAAGAGACTGACAAACTATTTTACCATTTTGAATTCCTACCAGCCATGTACAAAAGTTCTAGTTGCTCTATATCCTGGCCAACATTTGGTGTTTGTTACTGACAGTCTTTTAAATTTCAGCCATTCTATCGGTTGTGTAGTGATAGCATAGTGGTTTTTTTTTTTTTTTTTTTGTCTATTGGTTGTGTAGTGATAGCACAGTGTTTTTGTTTTTTTTTTTTTTTGAGACGGAGTCTTGCTCTGTTGCCCAGGCTGGAATGCAATGGTGTGATCTCGGCTTACTGCAACCTCTGCCTCCTGGGTTCAAGCAGTTCTCTGCCTCAGCCTCCTGAGTAGCTGGGAATACAGGTGCCTGCCACCACGCCCAGCTAATTTTTGTATTTTTAATAGAGACTGGGTTTCACCATATTTGCCAGGCTGGTCTTGAACTCCGGGCATCGTGATCCACCCGCCTCGGCCTCCCAAAGTGTTGGGATTACAGGCGTGAGCCACCGCACCCAGGCCAGTGTATGTTTTAATTTGTCTTTTCCTAGTGACTAATGGTGTTGATCATCTCTTCATAAGCTTATTTCTCTCTTGAATGCTTTCTTTGGTAAAGCGTCTGTTTAAAATTCTGCCCAATTAAAAAATAGTGTTTTCTTCTTTTTATTTAGTTGTAAGAGTTTTTAGATATTCTTTATATATTCAACATGTATAAACACATATTTTTAACAGCTTTATTAAGATACAGTTCACATACCATAGTTAACCCCTTAAAATATATAATTACATGGATTAGTATCCTCACAGAGTTGTGCAGATATCACCACAATCTAATTTAGAACACTTTCATCACCCCCAAAAGAAACTCATACCCATTAGTAGTCAGTCACTCCCCATTCTCTCCCCACCTCGAGCACTACGCAGCCACTCATCTACTTTCTGTCTATATCGATTTGCCTATTTTGGACATTTCATATAAATGAATAATAGAATACGTACTCTTGTGATTGGTTTCTTTCACTTAGCATAATGTTTTCAGGATTCGTCTAGGTTGTAGCATGTACAAGAATTTCATTCCTTTTTAAGGCTGCATAGTATTCCATTGTATGGATACACTACATTTTAACTATTCATCAATTGATGGATTTGGGTTGTTTACATTTTTTGGCTATTATAAGTAGTGCTGCAATGAACATTCATATATAGGTTGTGTAGACGTGCTTTAAACGTCTCTTGGGTATATGCACATATGTTTTGCAAATATTTTCTCCCCATCTGTGTATCCCATTCTGATTTTCTTAACGGCATCTTCTTAACAGATTTACATTTTGATGAAGTCCAATCCAACAATTTTATGATTCATGCTTTTAGTGTCTTATCTAGGAAACCTTTGTCTAACTCAAGATCACAAAGAATTTATTTTCCTCTAGAGGTTTTATAATTTTAGCTCTTATATTTAGGTCTATAATCCATTTTGAAACAATTTTTGTATATGGTATGAGTTAAGAATCAAGTTCATATGGATATCGAATGTCATACAGATATCTAATATCAGCATTGCTTTTAGAAAGGACGATTGTGTCACCATTTATACCTTGAAACATTTGGCAAAAATCAATTGATTATATATATGTGGGTGTCTTTTCTACTATTATTTCTGTTTTCTTGATCTATGTGTCTATTCTCACACCCAATGCAACTTTGTCTTGATTACTGTAGCTTTATAAAAATGTCTCTAGAAATCAGGTAGTGTAAGTCCTCCAACTTTTTTTTTTCAAAATTGCTTTGCCTACTTGAAGTCCTTTGTATTTCCATGTAAGTGTAGAACCAGCCTGTCAATTTCTACAGATACGTTGCTGAGATTTTTAGTGCAATTGCACTGAGTCAATAAATCTTGGGGAGAATTGACATCTTAATGATATTGAGTCTTCTGATCCATGAACATAGAGTATCTCTCAATTTTCATTGCATCTTTAATTTCTTCCCAGCAACATTTTGTAGTTTTCAGTGTACAGGCTTTGCCCATATTTTATCAAATATAAGTATTTTATACTTTTGATATTTAAAACATTTCCATTCTTATTGCTAGATAGAATATGATTGACTTTTGCATAATGGCTGTGTATCTTATAACCTTACATTCACCTTTTCTAGTTTTTTGCAAATTCCTCTGTTTTCCATTCTTATCACTAGATAGTATATGATTGATTTTTGCATAATGGCTGTGTATCTTGTAACCTTACATTTACCTTTTCTAGTTTTTTGCAAATTCCTTGTTTTCTACACAGACAGCCACACTATCTGCAAATAAAGTTTTACTTATTTTTTCCCCAATGTGTATTTCTTTCATTTATTTTTGTCATGTTTCCCTGGGTGGGATCTCCAGTACAATGTTCAATAAAGGTGTGAGAGCAGATATTCTTGCCTTGTTCCTAATTTTAGGGGGAGAGCAGTAGATCCTACACACTGAGTATGATGTTAACTGTAGGTATTTTGTTGATGCTCTTTATTAGGTTGAGAAAACTCCCTTCAATTCCTGGATTGCTGAGAACATCTATGGCTTGGTGTTTAATTTTGTCAGATGCTTCTTCCACACCTATTGAGATGATTGTTTTTTCTTTTTATGCTATAAATATAGTGAATTACACTACAAACGGTCCCTGCCTTATGACGACTTGACTTTATATCTTTCATCTTTATGATGGTGCAAAAGCAATACACATTCAATAGCAACCATATTTTGATCAAAATATTTTTTGATTAACCATAATTCTGATTTTTTTGGGCCAGCAATATGCAGTACAATACTCTTGTGATGTTGCAAAGCAGCAGTGAGCCGCAGCTTCCACTCAGCCACATGATCATGAGGGTAAACGACTGATATGCCACAGTGTACTACGTTGCCAGCATTCAACACGTTCTTATAAAATAGGATTTGTGTGAAATGATTTTGCCCAACTGTGGGCTAATTAAGTGTTTTGAGCATGTTTAAGCTAGGTTAGGCTAGGCTATGATGTTCAGTAGGCATACTAAATGCATTTTTGACATGGTATTTTAAACTTATGATGGGTTTGTCGGGCTTTAACCCCTGGGAAGAAGCATCTGCAACTGATTTTTGAATGCTTAAAAAGCTTGCACTCCTAGGATAAATCTCACTTGGTCATGATCTATTTTCCTTTTGATATATGGTCCAAATTGATTTCCTAAATTTTGTTAAAAATTTTTGTATCCATGTTTATGAGCAACATCAATGTGTATGTAGATTTGTTTCTTGTAACGTTATTGACTGGTTTTGGTATTAGGTTAATGCTGGCTTTACAGGTGAAGTGGGAAGTGTGTTCTCCTCTTCAATTTTATAGATGAGTTTGTGTAGAATGGGTACAGTTATGTTCCTTACATGTTTGGTAGAATTCACCAGTGAATTTGTTTGGGCTGGGAATTTTCTTTTTGGGAAGATTTTTAACTAGAAATGTAATTTCCATTGATAATAGAAATTTAGGTTATCTATTTCTTCTTGAGTGGATGTTGGTAGTTTGAGTCAAGAAATATGTCATTTTCATCTAAGTTGCCAAATTTACTGGCATAAAGTTCATTAATATTTCCTTATTATTTCTTTATAGGCTCTGTAATGATGTGCCTCTCTCAGTCCTGGTATTAGTAATTTGTATCTCTTTTCTTCTTTCCTTGATCTATCCTGGTAGAGGTTTATCAATTTTACTAATCTTTAAAAAAATAGATTCTGATTTCATTGATTTACTCTATTTTGTTTTCTGTGCTATTGTTGTTATTTCCTCTTTCCTGCTTGGTTTCGGTTTAATTTTGTTTTGTTTCATTTCTTAAGATGGAAGCTTAGATAAGATTCAATCCTTTA